>NC_000002.12:99913860-100216890 GCF_000001405.40 Homo sapiens
TAAAATAAAAATCCATGAGTTCATACTGATTAAATATAAATAAGGTAGAAGAGAAAGGTCTTCCTTATAGAGGAATGCCAAGTAATAAATGTAGAAATAATGATGCATTTCTAGAAAATCACCATTTGGCAAGCACCACTGTATTAATTGCTTCTGGTAGGTACCACCAACGAATGCTAAAAGTAATGTCTGAGAGCTTGATGAAAAGATGTCTACACGGTCTCAAAAAGATACTTATTAATAACTTCAGTGGAGAAACTTGGCAGATACCCTCTTAACCAAGTGATGGCATTCACATCACCAGTAATGGGACAAATCAATGTCACCTGCCTCTTGACATGATGTGCAACGAACTGAGAAGGACCAGCATCTCTCCTGGGTATTCCTGCAAAAAAATGTAAAACTTGAATCTAATCATGATAAAATATTAAACAAACCTAAACTGAAGAAAAGTCTGAAATGCTGGCTTTTATTCTTCAAAAATGTAAAGTTTGTAAGGGACAAAACAAGCCCAAGGAACTGCTACATATTAAAGGAGCCTAAAGAGACATGTGAACTAAATGGAAAATGCATGAGCTTGAAGTGGATCCTGGACCAGGAAGGTGAAAGAGCCATCATTAGGACAACGTGAGAAATTCAAATAAGGTCTGTAGATTATAGCATTGTATTCATGTTAACTTCTGGATTTTGATCATTATATTATGGATATGTAAGAGGATATTCTTGCTTTCTGGGAAATACACACTGAAGTATTTGTTAATAAACATCATGCTGGCCGTGTGCAGTGGCTCATGCCTGTAATCCCAGCACTTTGGGAGGCCGAGGCGGGGGGATCACAAGGTCGGGAGTTTGAAACCAGCCTGGCCAAAATGATGAAACCCCATCTCTACTAAAAATACAAAAAAAAAAATTAGCTGGGCATGGTGGCACACGTGTGTAATCCCAGCTACTCAGGAGGCTGAGGCAGGAGAATCGCTTGAACCCAGGAGCTGAGATTGCACCACTGCACTCCAGCCTGGGTGACAGGGCGAGACTCCATCTCAAAAAATAAATACATTAATTAATTAATTAAAATAAAATAAAATAAAATAAACATCATGCCTGCAACTTACTCTCTGTAGATGTGTAACACATGTGTTATACATACATATACAGAAAGGGGCAGATCAGGCAGGGTAGGGCAGGGCAAAGCAACGTGGTGAAGTGTTCATGTTTAGGGAATCTGAATGAAAGGTGTAAGGGAATTCTTTGACTCTTCTTATTATAGCTTTTAAGTATGAAATTCTTATGTCTTAAAATTAGATTGACATAAAAAGATTTTAAAAAGGCTCTCGATAATGGAACAGATTAAAACGTTACATATTATCATCTGACAGCAGTTAACATAAAAAAAAACCAGAGCCACATGGATCAATAGGGATATCAATAGGGATCAAAAGGCAAGTTAGATAATGTCACGGACAGCATGGTACCATTTACGTAATTTAAGACACATACAGGAAACATCACTACACGTTATTTATATAAACATACAAATGTAATAAAAGCCATACAAACCTGGCCTGGATACCTATTTAGTTTCATCATACTGATGATCTCTGCGGTGGAGAAAAAGGAACTGAGAATGGGAGTAAAAAGCAAAAGCCAGGGAGGGGAGTTCAAATCCCTTTGGAGCCAGGGCTATCCGACGCAGGCACAATCTGGACAGTCACACAGGGCCTTGAGATTGGTTTAATTCACTGCCTGATGCCTTGAAATTCTTAACAATTTTTTAATTATTAAATTAATTAATCCCACATTTTCACTTTGCACTGGGCCCCATGAATTATGTAGCCAGTCCTATTTCTTTTACTTCTTTCATAAAAAAATAACTGAAATGAATTTGCTATTTCTGGGTAGTACACACCCAGGTGTTTACTGTATTAGTCTATGTACTTTTTGGGATTTAAATATCTTTTTCAAATTTTTAATTATGGAATTGAATTGAGAAGAACCAGCTTCTCTCCTGGGGATTCCTGCAAAAAATATAAAACTTGAATCTGATCATGATAAAATATTAAACAGACTTAAACTGAAGAAGAGTCTGAAATGCTGGCTTTTATTCTTCAAAAATGTAAAGTTTCTGAAAGACAAAGCAAACCCCGGGAACTGCTACTTATCAAAGGAACCTAAAGAGACAATCTGAACTAGATGGATCTTTTCTCAAGTTCACCTTAAGGTGTTACTGTAGCCTGTGGCCATAAAACTGGGAAAAACCCCATAACAAATCAAAATTCAGCGTTTCAAAGTGGGGTGGCCCTACAGGAGAGCTCAGTTAAAAGAAAAGCTCTCTGCCTGGGACACTCTTCCCTTCTGCGAGACCTTAGCATTACTTCTTCAGACATTTTCTTAAACTCCCCATCTGTAATCCCTCCCGTCCTGCCTGGACTATCACCTCATCCCTCACCCTGTTTTGGTTTTTGCACAGCATTTACTACTGTCTAAAAGTCTATCACTTATTTACAAAGTTACGCATTTTTTATTCTCCCTCATCAGAATTTGAGCCCTGGGAGGTCAGGGGATCTACATGCCTCGCCTCCTGCCATGTCCGCAACACCTAAAACAGGACTTGGCACACAAGACATCTAATATACGGTGAAGAATTGAACTTAGGATGAGAGGCAGAGACAGAGAAAGACTGGCAAAGATGGAGAGAGGCCTAAAAGTATCCATCCTTTTGGAGAAAGCTCAGAGCAAGATCTTCCAACAGGTTCTCCAATGGCCTGCAGTATGCAAGCACAGTACAACCACAGTCAAGAACCAGCAGGCCAGTGGCACACTGGTTCTTGAAAATCACCATCTCCAGTCACGTCCTGAGAACGCATATCATGGTAACACTCCCTAGGCAGAATTAGGAGCCACTTCTTCAGATGCAGCGGCCTCCCTAGGTCATCAATTCTGGTTGTCTCAAACTTCACAACAGGGGAAGGCTGTGACCGAATCTCATCCTCATGAGGCCACAAGGCAAAGACACCTGCAAAGATGAGGGGCCTGATGCTTAAGGGCGGGGATTCCTTGGCATCTCCTTGGTGAGCTAGGATTGCCAGAGATCTCTCAGAATATTTGCACTTTCTGTGCATCTCTGCTCTTGTTCATACTGTTCCACCCCAACTTCCAACAACAGACTCAAACTTCCCTCATACACTTGCTATGATGACTGAGCCCACTGTACAGGCAGGGTCCTGGCAAATGGGGCAAGCTGGGTCCTGGCAGATAAGGGTTTAATAAAGGGACTATTTGCCTACCCCATTGCAGGGATATGGTACGACTCTGTCTGAGGTTAGAAACAGAAGGGTAGTGACCACCCTTTGGCCTGAAGGGCCAGAGCCCTGAGGCTACTAACAGGGTGTCGGGGAAGAGGAGAAGACCTCACTCTTCTGCCTCCCTCTGGTCTCTTGATACTCCTCATTGGCTGAACCCACCCAGAAGCCAGAGGGCAGGAGATCCTGATGTGGTTCCTACAGTGGACTTCCCTGGCACTAAGGGAGATCGGGGAGTGGATCCAGGAGCCACCGATAGAAGAGACTCTGCATACTCACACTAACACTTATAACAGGGAATGTGGATTCTACCCCTTTTTGTGTGAGTTCTGCCCTTGCTTCCTGTGTGCTCGCCTTGTCTCCCTCTAAGAGTTTAGATTCTAGGCTCGTCAAGGAAGGTGAACAACCCCTAAAGAGCTTAACATATAATCATACATCATATCATAGAATGACAATAATTTAGTGATGATGTAATAGATTACTGAACAGGCTGCCAGATTTTTCTATATTAAAAAGGACCCCAAAGTATGAGAATTTATGATATTCTGATAATAGTGATAGCAGTGGGTATCTATCTCATTAACAGTAGCCAGAATTCTACACAACTAATTTACATTTCTACACAGGATACAGCATTACCTAGTAAGAAAAGTAAATGATGGAGAATAGTTTGCTATTCAACAAGGAAACTGCATTATCTGCCCTGCGAACAGTGCGCAAAAAAATTCTGTTGGGTATTTATTATATGGCCGTTATATAAAAATATTACAGAAATAAAAATCCTAGGAAGAGAAAAAAAATCTTCACAAATTCTTATAGGCCTGAATGGTAATATGCTAGTGCACAATCAATTCTGATAGAAAATAAGGTAAAAGAAAAAACCTTGCTTTTTTCTTTTAGTGTAGTTTTCTAAGTGGAATAAATAATTCACTATTCCTTCAACCAAGAAACTCTCTCGCTTATTATTTAAAAATATTTACTGGTTGCAGTTACAAAATATGGTGCATTTTTCCCCCTGGCTTGCCCTTTGTATTGATGTATATCTTCTGATTATAAGAATGGTAACTCAGAAGTCATAAAGAAAAGTTTTTTGAAACACCATCTTGCTTTAGAGACAATAAGGAAAGGGTAATCAATCCAAGTTTGAAACATTCTGGGTATATCTTGGGCCATTTAGAATAATTTGAAATACCTTAAACTAGACTAATTCACATCACCTTCTATGTTCTTAAAAACTCTCCTAAAAAACATGTTCATTACCCTATTCCTAGTTCTGCAGCACTCCAGAAGGCAGAGTAACAGATCAAGTCACCACTTACCAGGTTCAGGTCCTGCCTTCCATAAGGAGAATGTCTGTTCTCCCGACAGTGTTTGTAATACTAATTGCTCTAACCTTTAATTCATTAACAACTTTGCATTCCTTTATTCATTCATTCTGACAACAAATATTTATGAGGTGAGACAGACCTAACGCAAATAGGTATTCAATGACTGTTACAGTCAGTGCTAACCTAAAGGCTACCTCACAAAAGTGGTAATTAAGTGAAGTATGAATAGTGAGTACTAGTAATTACTTGAAACCAAAACCCAGTAGAAGCAGCCTCTCCAAATGCAAACCTTTCATAGGTTTTAATCTCATTTTCAAAGGTTGTTATACAAATGAATAGCACCAACAAAATTCAGTAGAAAAACTTTTGCATGAAGACCAAACTTGGGTATCTTTGAGTCTTTGTCATTCAAAACCATTTTTGCACAAAACCACTATATTCCCCCATCTCCCCACAGAAAAGTTGATTTTCATCAGGGGAATGAAATGCCTGGCTATCCTCCTTTAAAAAGCAGGAGTTAATACCAATTCTAATCATTATTTTTACTGCTTTATGGTACATCTTAGGTTACTGTCTCATTTTTATGAATATAGACAATAATCATTAATTCCCCCCGGTAGTAGTACAGAATCATCTCCCTCCACTGCAACGTTTTCCCTCATAAAAGACATGGATGAAAAACATTTGGGGCACCTAATTCTTCTTTTATGGATGATCCATGAGCATAAAACTATTAATGTTTATCTCTTAAGTGTAATTACCATATTTCCCACATCAATGCCCACGGTTGAACACATCAATTAAAACTAGATATATAATTTTCACATTTCAGATGAATTTAATTATGTGAAATCTGTTTTATGCCCTCTTGTCTATATATTTCTGGAGGTGTTAGTTTGCCAGTTCTAGAATGGGTTGTCGAATACGGGATGGCTCCTTCTATGAACTAACCCAATCCTCCAGGCAGCTGCCATTAAGAGCAGAGAAGCCATGACTGTTCAGATTATTTTATGTTGAATAGGTGAATTCTGTTCATTTTTAGAAAACTGATATTAAGTTCAACTTACCTACAATATTTTTTATTAAAAAGTCTTCATTATTTAAAAAGTATTTCATACTAAATAATCTCTTTTGTCCCCTTCCTAACCAACTGGTAGTTCCTTTAAGACAAAAGTTAAAAGCAATACAGTTCCCCAAATTAAACCAAAAGTATGCACAAGAAAAATAATACAAATAACAGGAAATAAATGAAACAACTGAAAAATAAAAAAAAAATTAACAAAGCCAGAAGTCAGTTCTCTAAAAAGCCTAATAAAATTGATGACCATTTGGCAACACTGATGAAGATTTTTAAAAAGAGAGAAAACCAAAGTTACCAATATCAAGAATAAAACAGTGAATATGACTACAGATTATACAAAAATTTAAAGTATGAGGGAATGTTGTGAACAGCATTATGCCAGTATATTCAACAACTTAGATGAAATAGAGAAATTCCTTGAAAAATACAACTTACCAAAAGGACACAGAAAGATATAGAAAATCTAAATAACTCTATATCTGTTTAAGAAATTGAATTTGAAATTAAAGAACTTCCCAAAAGAAAACTCTAGGACTAAATGTCTCCACTGGTAAGTTTTTCCAAAAAATGAATAAAGAAAATAATACCAATCCCACACAGTGTCTTAGAAAATGAAGGAGAGAACACTTCCCAACTCATCCTGTAAAGTTATTATAATCCTAGTACCAAAACCAAAGACATTATAAGAAAATTACCAACCAAAATCCCTCATGAGCACAGATGCAAAAATCTTTAACAAAACATTATCATCTAGAAACATATAAAAAAAAATATGCCGCAATCAACTAGAGTTTATTTCAGGAATTAAAGGTTTGAAATCAGCGTAGTCCAATATATTAACACATTAAGTAGGAAAACTCATGATCATTTCAGTAGACTCAGGGAAAGCACTGACACATCTATTTATGTATTTAACATAACCCAGTTGTGTTACTACACCCATTTATCCTAAAAACTTTCAGCAAACAAGGAATAGCATTTTCTTAGCCTTTAATGCACATCTAGAAAAAATGTATAGCTAAGGGCATTTGACAGTGAAATTTTAAATGTTTTTCCCTTAGGTTGGGAAGACAAAAAAGTCCACTCTCACTATCTTTATTCAACATTGTATTGGAGGTCCCTGCCTGTACAATCAGATAAGCAAGAGAAAAAAAGGTGTACAGATTGGAAAGGAAGAAGTGAAACTCTATTATTCATCATGTGTATGTAAAAAATCTGAAAAAATCTACAAGAAAACTACTAGATCTGACAAATGAATTTAGCGATGTTTCAGAATACAAAATCTATTAGCAATAAAAATTGTTAAAAATGCTTTTTACAAGAGTATGAAAAACATCAAATACATACTTGGGGATAAATTTAACAAAAAACAAGCCAGCTTTTTATACTAAAAACTCTAAAACATTACTGAGTGAATACATAAATGGAGGGATATACCATGCATGCATGAATTGGAAGACTCAACAGTGCTCAGATGTCAATTCTTCCCAAATTGATCTAAAGATTCAATACCATCCAAGTCAAAATCTCAGCAAAGTTTTCTCAAAAGAAAACACATAAAAATACAACTTGAAACAGTCACAGACCTAAACATCAAAGCTAAAAATTGTTATCAGAAACAATGAGAATGCCAACTCTGTAACATTCATTCTTTCTATAACTCACAATTGCAGTCTCATCATGAAAAGAATTTCAGATAAACACATATTGATGGTTATTCTACAAAATTCTTAGAGTAGTCTTCAAAAGTGTCAAGGCTATAAAAGACAAGGGAAGACTGAGGAACTACAACAGATTGGAGGAAACTGAGGAGTTATCACAACCAAATGCAATGTAGTATCCCAGATTGGATCCTGGAATGAAACAGGACATTATGGGGAAAATTGTTGAAATCCAAACAAAGTCTGTAGTTTACTTAATCTACTGTAATGTTCATTTCTTGGTTTTAATAACTGTACCATGGTCATGTAAAATGTTAACATCAAGCGTAGCTGAAGGAAGTGTACGTAGGCACTCAATGTACTATCTTTGCAACTTCCTATAATTTTGAAATTATTTCAAAATAAAAAGCTTTAAAAAGAGTTATTAGAATGAAAGAGACACTTCTTGTAACACAGAAAGGAATAAATGTGAAAGAAAAATTGGACTTCATCACAATTAAAAATATCTGTTCATCAAAGAGTACCATCAAAAGAATAAACAAGTAAGCCACGAAATGAGAGAAAATATTTGCAATACATATATCTGACAAATGACTTGGATCCAGAATATAAAAACCACTCTGGTACTCAATAATAAAAATTAGCAACAACACTATAAAAGATAGGCAAAAGATTTGAAGAAACCCTTCACAAATGAAGATAGCACATGGCCAATAAGCACATGAAAAAGTATTCAACATCTTTCCTATGTAGGAAATACAAATTAAAGCCACAATGAGATACCAACACTCGCTCACTAGAATGAATAAATGAAAAAGACTAACAACACCAACTGTTGATGAGGATATGGAGTAACGATATGGAGTAACTGGAACTCTAAAAAACCGCTGACTAAGTATGTAAGATGGCATAATCCCTTTGGAAAACTCTTTGGGAGTTTCTTTAAAAGTTAAACACAAATCTACTCCATAACCCAGCACTTTCACTCCTAGGGGTTTATACAAAAGAAATCAAACCATGTATCTACAGAAATTCCTATATTACAATATCCACATTCATTTTATTCATAATAACCCCAAACTAGAAATAGCCTGGATTTCCATCAAGGGATCAGCCAACTGCGCTTTATTTATATAGAAGATTACTATTCAGCAATGAAAAAAAGAATTAATGATGCAGACAATGATACTGATGAATCTCCAAAATATTAGTACTGTGCTGGATAAAAAGAAGCCAGAAACTTAAGGCACATACTGTATGACCCCATTCCTACAAAATTATAGTTAAGTAAAGGACAACCTATGGTGACAGTAACCACAGCAAAGCCTGCTTCTGGGGGCCAGGACAGTGACTGGAAAGTGGCATGGGGGAGCTTTTAGGGGTGATGGATATGTTCTGTGTCTTGATATGCATTCATCACAACTGAGTGAAAGGTAAATTTAGTAACTGAACACTTCACTGCATGCAAATTATACCTCAAAGAAAGTAATACCGTTTTCAAGAACTAAAAGAACCATTATAAGATCTTCTCAAGTAAACATTTGAGAAGTGTTTTTTCCTTCATGCCTAGATTCTTTTCTACCTCTGGGGCTAAAATAAACCTCACGGTTCCAGGCCTCCAGCCACTCCTCTGCCAACAGTAGTCTACATCTATTTTCTACCCAGCCTTTTGGAGCTCTCAGCCAGGGAAGGCTGCTGTGTGTCCCTAAAATGCTTCTCGAACGTAGTATACTACATTCATGCTTATGCCATTCGTTCCTAGTGCAGCACCCGGAGTAGCAACCTTATAAATGTTTCTGATTTTACAAACTTTAAAAAAGAATAGTAATTTCTGCCCTATACCACCTTTGGAAGAACTGAAAACTACCATGCCAAATTCATTATGTTTTAAGCTAACTCTTCCTCACCCCACAGGAAGCACAGCAGTACTGAGCTCCATCTCCATTCTAGATAAGATACACCGAGGAAATCTGAAGACAAGGCAGAATTGGGGTTCTCTTTAACCTGGATCTATTCAGACCATACTGCTCAAAGTTCAATGGCTCCTTAGAGAGCTACAAGATTTTGTTCACACAGTGTTGATAAGGTCTGAATCACATTTGTGATGCTTACCACAGTACAGATTGTTAATTTCTACATATTAGCTTTTGATGTTGAAAAGCATACCAAGTAGCTCGAAAGAAAAAGGCTCTGGACTAAAGAATCAGCAAGTATTTTATTTCGTTCACATTCTACCCAAGTACTCTCAAGAGCCACAATTGCAAGCTCTATAAACTTAAGAGTAAACTTATATTTATGCAAAAGGACCAACGAAAGATGATCAGGATCCTCTGACGTCTAGCTGGATGTAGAGTGAGGTCCAATGAATTCACTCAAAAGAAATATAGCACAAAGCAACAATGGTTGTTCAAAATGGCAAATGAACATATTGTTCGTTCTTTTCCAATAAAAATTCAATTTTTCTTTAAGAAAAAAATTCCCAAAATATAAAATTTCTGCATCCTTGGTTTCTTACATTTAAAGAGGCAAAAAAAGAAAAGAGAACATGTTATGGCCTACCGCAATATGTGTGCTCCAAACATATTAAATGTTTGCTGCCTCTAGAGAGTCACGGTGTATAATTCACTTTTAATTTTATAATTATTACAATTAAAATTAAACAAAGGTAAAGAAAAAAATCAATACCTACCTATAAAAGATAGGAAAATCTCACTTTAAGGAATATCTCTGCTTTCTGAGTATAGAATGGACAAGAGAGAATCTGAGCAGATGACTTAATGCAGTCTACTGGGAGTGAACCTTCCTATGAATCGGCCTGCTAGATATGACCCTCAAAGAGGCATCAGACATTTCTCCAACTTAAGCTATTCCCATGTTTATTGTAACATTCCTCCCCTGAGCTCACCTGCCCTGTCCTTTCCAAGTCTCACTGAACAAACTTCGGTGTTCCACACTGGACTGGGGGATTCGGAAAATTTCCCAAAAGATATGATCCCTGTTGTGGGGGGTTAAATTATTTTGGAAAACAAATAAAAAACATACACACAAAGACAACAATGTATATCCTCTCCCTTCATCCAACACAAATCTTAAATATCCTTCAAGGTTCCACTTGTCCATCAGCTCCTTTGAGCTGTTTTCCTAGAGTTCCCAAAGAAATGAACCCTGCTACCCATATTACGATTAGCATCTTTATTATAGCTCCTACTTACAATTCATGTCTGAAATATATGTAGTAGGCTCTAAGTTCCTCTCTAGTCCTCTCAGAATTCTTTCCATGGTGCTTAGCATAGCACCTTGTATGCAGTTAGTGGTCACCAAATAATAGTTGTATTCTCAATCTTTTCATTTAAGTCTGGAGTAGGGAAGAGGGCTGTCATGAGGAGGAGGGTTAAGGAGTGGAAATCCTGCTTCTAATTACCAGCACCATTCTCCAGTCTGTCACATTACTTATAAACTCAAACTTCATTTTACCTTTGCTTACTGCAATGAATTCAACATCGATCTGGAAAAACCGACATCATGAGGTCAATCTATCACGTGCTATGCTGCAGATTTAGGAATTATTAAAATGACATATAGAACCCAAAATGCTACTTAATCAACTTAATTTTCCTGTGTCCATACACACCAAAAATGATTTATTAATTTTTTTTTTTTTTTTGAGGCAGGGTCTCACTCTGTCACCCAGGCTGGAGTGACATGGCTTGATCATGGCTCACTGCAGCCTTGACCTTCCGGGCTCAAGCAGTCCTTCCACCTCAGCCACCTGAATAGCTAGGACCACAGGTGCGCGACATCATGTTCAGCTAATTTTTTACATTTTTTTGTAGAGACAGGGTCTTACTATGTTGCCTAGGATGGTCTCGAACTCCTGGGCTCAAGCAATCCTCCTGCCTCAGACTCCCAAAGTGCTGGGATTACAGGTGTGAGCTACCACACCAGCCCCAAAGGAGAATTTTTATTTTAGAACTACAGCATGAAGTATAAATGACTACGGTTTTATTTTATTATTATTGTACATTTTTTTTCCTTTTGCTCACACTGATTTATTAAAATTTATGTCAGGCTTGACATGGATGATCAATCCTTATTTTTTCAAGCTTACTAAGGATATTTTCCTACAAAATAAGTATATAAATATGTTTATATGCAAGCCCTTCTAAGGAATGATTCTCATCATCACAGATCATGATCTAGGAATTTCTGTCAATTACTCTTGAGCTCTTTGAGGTCAAGGACTACATATTAAAGTCTTTGTACTTTCAGCACATGGCACAGTGCCTGGCACATAGTCGGCACTCAGTGAAAGTTTGTGAAATGAGTGCTCTGCCATGAGTCTTAGGCAGATGAAAGAACAACTCAAAAGTGAAGACAGACAGTATGCTGAACTCTCAGCCTTCTGCCACCACGGAAATATGTCTTTACATGCTTCCACAGGGTTCAAGTCCTGGCCCTCACTGAGGCTGTCTGGGCAGAGCATGCTGTTCAGAAGTCATGTGCAGGTAGAGTGCAGGGATGCTGCATACAAGAACATGATTAAAGACCCAGTCCCTGACATGGGCTCAGCACAGAGGAGACATTCAGTGAATGTTCAATGAAACTGCTTATGTTGTTCTAAAGCCAACAAGTTGAACTTCCATTCCCAGGGAGTTGCTGTACTATCAGGGAATCAACCAAGGTCTCACAACTATGGATCAGGAACCAATAATGTTGGGATATAAGCTGATGTCCCTTGCAACTGTGTAGTCTTTGCAGGCATTTTGATTAATATCTGAAAAAGCTGCTCACAGTTAAATGCAATCATCATTTAGCAAACATGTATTGAGCCCCAATTCAACTATTCAAGGAATTGAGGATACAAAAATAAATAATTTGCAGTCATCAGTACTCATGCAACTCTCAGGCATGGGGTTACAGCTGTAGCATAAACCAATGAGTACGATACCAGAATCTAAATATATATGCCTGGAAAGGAAAGCGAGAGAGCTAGTGAGACTGCAAGTGCAAAGTGCACATACAGGGGTGCAACAGCACAAAAGAAATTTAAGCAGTGCCATTGCTCCCACCTGCCCTTCTCCCCAGTAAGCATGCACACCCGAGTACACTGGAGTGGAAGCCCGGGGCCTGTTACCTCCTACAGTCAGGCACTGGTTCTTTACGCTTCTCATTTCTCTGCACTGAGCTGGATGCTACTGTTTAAAGATACAAATTTTTCATATAACAAAGCCTCCAAACTCAAACCACCTACTTCAGGCATTATTAATTTCTACATACACATTACACATACATACATATAGGACCGGGTAAATTAGAATACGGATTAGCTGTTTTTTGTGAGAGATTTAGGGAGCCTCAGGGACAATTTCAATTGTGATTTCTGCTTCATACTCTGAGTATGAGTCTAATGGTTCTGTGGAACAAGCAAAGTGCTTCAGAAGCATAGGAGCTGGTGCAAGGGGCAAGCCTGCCCTGCCTGGGGGTTACAGAGGATTAAGTATGGTCTGTACTGTCACGATTCAACAACCTCTTAAAAAATACAATATATGCTTAACAAGGCTTCTGTTGACCTCTTTCTGGAAGCCTGATTTCTTTCCTCCACTTATGTTAACAGATTAAAAATTTAAAAAAAAAACATAATTTTTTTAAGTAAACACAATCAGGATTTTGCCCCCAAATGTAAATCTCCAAAAAATCTGAAGTGCGGCATCACAGCCAAGTGATGCCAATCCTGGTCTACTTCTACTGCCCCTCCAACTGAGACCAGCAATCTCACACAGGCTCAGGGCATAAGCTATGTGTAGGGTGGTCCTAGAATTGTTGAGAGCCTGGACTCCTACCTCCTTAAAGGAAAGGATGTGAAAACTGCACTATGGATATCCCCACTCTCATCATGCCCCTACTTGCACAAGCCAAAGCTTGCTTCAAGTCAAAAGCTTAGGAGATGAGCAATTAAACAATTTTCCAAAGGTTTCTAAGTGAGTCAGAAACAATCCAGCCACAGGGCCTCTCCAGGGCACTCTGAAAAGTACTAAGTGTCATGCACACATGTGTCCATTGCAGCACTATTCATAATAGCAAAGACATGGAATCAACCTAAATGCCCATCAATGATAGACTTGATAAAGAAAATGTGGCACATATACACCATGGGATACTATGCAGCTACAAAAAAGAATGAGATCGTGCCCTGTGCAGGAACATGAACGGAGCTGGAGGCCATTATCCTAGGCAAATGAACTCAGGAACAGAAGACCAACTACCACATGTTCTAACTTATAAGTGGGAGCTAAATGATGAGAACACATGGACACATAGAAGGAAACAACACACACTGGGGCCTTTCAGAGGGTAGAGGGCAGAAGAAGGGAGGGGATCAGAAAAAAATAACTAATGATTACTAGGCTTAACACCAGGGTGATTAAATAGTCTGTACAACAGACCCTTAAGATGTAATTTTACCTATGTAACAAACTTGCCCATGTACCCCTGAACTTAAAATAAAAGTTAAAAAAAATTTTTTTAAATACTAAGTGTCCTAATCAGAGAACCATGAATGTACATACTGAGAGGCCCCAGAGCACGTGGGAGACTGATATGGTTTGGGTGGTTTTGTGTCCCCACCCAAATCTCATCTTGTAGCTCCCATAATTCCCACATGTGGTGGGAGGGACCCAGTGGGAGATGACTGAATCACAGGGACAGGTGTTTCCCGTGCTGTTCTCATGATAGTGCATGGGTCTCATGAGATCTGATGGTTTTAAAAATGGGAGTTCCCCTACACAAGCTCTCTCTCTGCCTGCTGCCATCCACATAAGATGTGACTTGCTCCTCCTTGCCTTCCGCCATGATTGTGAGGCCTCCCTAGCCACGTGGAACTGTAAGTCCAATTAAACCTCTTTCGTTTGTAAACTGCCCGGTCTCAGGTATGTCTTTTATCAGCAGCGTGAAAACAGACTTATACAGAGGCTGTTTCATGCTTCAGAGTCTACATAGCTATTGTGGGGCAGATGTACTAATATGGGAAGGGAAATTAAAGTTTAAGACTAAATAACTTCATGAAAATCTCAACGCAGCAGGTAAATGGCATTATGTAAGTTTTTAAAATATATAAAACATTAAGCCAGGGATTCTTCCTTGAATACAAGTTCAAGGAAGCTTGAACTTGTTCCTTGAATACAAGCTCTTTGTCCTCACAGACAACTACAAGGGAAAGCTGATATTTCCAGGTCATCTTCACAGCACATACTCACCTAATTACATTTCTATAACTAGAACAAGTTGTTGTTCTCGTAAACTTTGTTTTCCAGTGTCAGATGGAGCTTGAAAGCTGCCATGGATGAAAGACTCCTTCAAAAGTTCAGTAACTGTATCTGTGTAAACTAAGTTAGGTTCCTCTTTTTATCGTATCACTTCAGTAAATAAGGCCAGTTGTGCTCATTTGTCAACAGGAAACACAGAAAGGAACCAGAAAACAAGATGCAGCCTCCGGAGGCCGGTCTTGGCCATGTGCTGGGTAAGGTAACACCATGGCTGTGTCTTGAGACCACCCCAACCTCAGTTCACTTGAATGAAGAATTTTATAATCTCAACTCTAAGGGACCTGTCAAATTAGTCCAGGGTGAGCTCAGACCCACTCTCTTGAAGTGGCAGCAGCCTTTGATGATAACAACTCTGACCGCACAAACACTACACAGCAGTGTGCGACTCACACATCACAGAAACACCACAGGAGCCACACTTTCAGGTCTAGAAGGAAATACTGTAGATTAAAGTCAACTTTTAAAGAAGTAAAAAAAGAATAATTGACATCAGTTTAATACATTTTGGACAATTATTTAAGAAATGGCATGCGTAAATGAAAGTAAAAACTCAGCAAGGTGAAGTTGGGAGTTTGAGACCAGCCTGACCAACATGGAGAAACCCCGTCTCTACTAAAAATACAAAATTAGCCAAGCATGGTGGCACATGCCTGTAATCCCAGCTACTCGGGAGGCTGAGGCAGGAGAATCGCTTGAACCCAGGAGGCAGAGGTTGTGGTGTGCCAAGACTGCACCATTGCACTCCAGCCTGGGCAACAAGAGCAAAACTCCATCTCAAAAGAATAAATAAATAAAATAAAATAAAAAGGCTTAGCAAGGGTGAGAAAATTCAGACTCATTACGTTACTTAATCAAAATTCATAAAATTAATTTTGGAGCAATTCAGCTCCAGCAACAGAAAGAACCTAATCATCCCTTTCATCAGTAACTGCTTATCTTCTTCATTTTAATTTTATGTTGATGTGCTTATTTATTTTTATTTATTAATGAATCTAGTTTCTTGTTACCCTGGACTTCCCATATTAATAATCTGAATAAACAACCTTATTCAACACATATCTTTTTACCAAAAAATGTCCTCTTAGACAAAGCACACTCTGACATCACGTTGCCTTGCCTTCACTTGATTTAGACTCCAAGTTCACAGTGCAATAAAGTACAAGGCAATTGAGAAATTTTAAAGCAAATGTGTTTTGGGTACAGCATTTTACAACCAAAAGAGCTTTAAAATGGCATTTCTGAACAACTGAAGAGGCTAGAATGCCAACAAATATCTGAAAATGAGCATGACATTAAAATACAGTTTGACATGTTCAGTGAAAGAGAACTGGGGGTAAATGCGCCATTATACATTTTGAATTTTTAGCTTTTTTTTTTTTTAATGAGTATCTGACTTCTTCATGTGTTACAAACTCAGGAAAGCAGACAGTCTTGGGATATTAAAATAGATAAAGTGTTTTCAGGATGAGATGGAGACTGCCACAGAACTGTACACAAGCATCTCTCTAAACTTAAAGAAAACACTGATTCTGGGCTAAGAGAGTGTTTACTGTGTAGATGAGGTCTACAGGATAAACTCAATTTATCCAAATCCTGTGCCTTCCAGCCAAGAAACTATAAAAGAAGACTTTGTAGAATGAAGCAAAAAGTCATACTTCCTTTCCTAAGGATTGCAACCTGTTCACAAGACAGGCAGAGCTGAACAGCTGGTCCCCTTCCAGGGCTCCAAGAAATGTGAATTCCAAGGACAAGGTAGCCCTGAAATGCCTGCCTCATGGGATCCTGCCCTGTCAGTAGTAAGCATCTTCAAAGTGGCTCCTGCAGGTTGGTCTCCTCAATCACAGAGTTCAGACAGAACCCTGACACCAGCCACGTGTACCATGCGGTCAGCCAAATGTGTAAGGAACTTGTTTTGAGAGGAGAGAAGAAAATTCTATAGTAGGCGAGACAGGCTTCTCTCTCCTGCTCCTCCTCCCTTTCTTTTTCTCTCTCTCCTCTTTCTTCCCTCCTTCTCTCCCTCTTTCTCTTTCTCTCACACAGTTCCTACATTTCTGCACTGGGGGACAAACCAGGCTTCTGATCAAAGGCAATCTGAGACTTGGGTTCAAAAGCTTTGATGAAGATTGGTACCTGCTATGCAGATGGGGGGAGGGAAGAAGAGACTAGCCTAGGGGCTTTTATATTTCTTTAAAGCATCAGCCATTAATGGGCTAAGTTTACCACTGGGACCCAGAGAGCTAGTCCCCAAACACAAGCTCAAAATGTATGCATTTTCCAATTCATGGTTTTCAAGGACATGTTCCATTTCTATGAGGCTCTAATGAGATCTGAGAGATGTACATATTTTTTTAAAGTCACACTTACAATGGCTCTCACAGCACATCCGGGAGCAACTCAGTAACTTGTCTAAGCACTTACATACTGAAGTTCCGAGAACCACCAGCTTAAGGTTCAGAATTGAAATTTACAGACCCAGTCTTTGCTTTTTTCAACTCTGTAATCTTGTAGACGGTTCATAGGTTTAAGACATTAAATAACCATGGATTATCATGACTCTAGAATCAGTTGGATTTGTGACAAAAATTAGCAAAATGATGAAATAAATGTAAGGACCCCCTTCCCATCTCATTACTTTGGTTAGTTTATGCCCCAGGTGGGATGGGTCAGGACTTAACAGTCATCCATTCATGGAACAGTTATTGAGCTCAAGCCACTCCCTGGAGATGTCAAGAAAAGTGAGCTGCTTTCTCTGCAGGAAAGCCAAAGAATTAGGCTGGTGCAAAAGTAACTGCAGCGTTGCCATTAAAAGCAATAGCAAAAACAGCAATTTCTCTTGCACAATATATGGATCTTTTATAAGGGAGAAAAAAGGTATTATTGATCGATATGGCTAGAAACAGGCTGGACCTTTGTGGGTATAAACCCAGAAGGGCCCTGGTGTTGAGGTGTTGGAAGAACACTGATGGATTCTTTATTTTTTTCATTAACTACTTAAAACAACAGTTATTGATAGGGTACTGTTTAGAGATCACTACAATTCCTTTGCAGTTATTTGACATATATAAACATACTATAGGCTGGGTGCAGTGGCTCACGCCTGTAATCCCAGCACCTTGGGAGGCTGAGGCGTGTGGATCACCTGAGGTTGGGAGTTTGAGACCAGCCTGGCCAACATGATAGAACCCAGTCTCTACTGAAAATACAAAAATTAGCCAGGCATGGTGGCGGGTTCCTGTAATCCCAGCTACTAAAGAGGCTGAGGCACAAGAATCACTTGAACTCGGGAGGCAGAGGTTGCAGTGAGCCGAAATGGTGCCATTGCACTCCAGTCTGGGTGACAGAGTAAGACTCTGTCTCAACAAAACCCCAAAACCCAACATACTACAAGTGAAAGTAATCTGCATTGTAAGGTTTGTTATGTGCCCTAGTCTGCCCACAGGAACCCTGAAAAACAAAATGTTAAATGGCACAGACTTTTTAACTGCAAATACTAGGTGCATTTACCTTCCTTAATACAGCACTGTGATCACATATATGATGGTATAGATCAAGCTTGTCCAACCTGCAGCCCATGGACGCATGCAGGCCAGGATGGCTTTGAATACGGCCCAATACAAATTTATAAACTTTCTTAAAACATTATGAGATTTTTTTTGCGATTTTTTTTTAGCTCATCAGCTATTGTTAGTGTTAGTTTATTTTATGTGTGGCCCAAGACAATTCTTCTTCTTCCAATGTGGCCCAGGGAAGCCAAAAAACTGGACACTCCTGGTATAGATGGTGTGGCTCATTCTGCTCATCCTTCTTTGAGAAAGCGCATTTCAGAAGCTATTTCTCCTCATTCCAGATTTTATGCTGATTAAAGAAAACAAGATTTGCACACAGAGCATCCTCTAGTTATTTGGGTAACAGACACAGCCATGAGAATGTTCCGCTCCACAGGGGCCATCAGTGCAAATGGCCTTCCCCACACTACATCGACCACTTCCCCACAGCAAGCTTGGCCAGGATCCAGCCAACCAGTGCTGACGTCCTTCGCTCAGGGAGGTGTTGGGCCTTGCACACTATGGCCCCTTACACACTCCATTGCAATTTTGTTCATCTCTGTCCAGCTAAACTGTAGAAACCCGGAGTGTAGGGACTGCGTCTTGAATTCATCTGTGTCTGGCATGTGCAAAATGCTCCACAACATCAGTTTTACACTCTTAGGATAAGAAAATTCATTTTCAAGAGTTTTAATGACTACAGAGAGGTGGCAAGGTAAACAGTTTCCACGTGACCCCATAGACTTCTCCATTAATCATAGTTTCCAATTAACTTTTTTGTTGTGCTACATAGATCTTCTTGTTCTATTCCAGATCATAATGTACAGTTTCAATAATATGTTTTTTTAATTGATGTTAAATATGCTCCTAGAAGCTGCACTGCAACAAAGTAATTTCAGAGAAAGGCAAACTGGATTCAGTTTTCAGATAATAAATATATATGTGCATAATTAAAAGAGATTGATGTTTCCAGAAAGGAGCACAATGGAATGAAGAAGGTGGTGCAGAAAGGCTGAGCCCTGTGCTATTAGTGATGAGTTTCACCGGAGGTCTTTTTTTTTAAATAAAAACTTAATTTCTCTGTCTTTGAATTCTATGAGATCTCTTTCAGACAAACACAACATTCTGAAAATCAAAGACTTGGGGATTACTTGGGAAAAGTTCCTTTGAGAACTCATCAAGAAAGCAAGGGGCTTAAACTTGAGACATAGTATTTAGCTTAAGAATTGGAAAGACTCTTTTTTTTTAAGTTCTGGGACACACGTGCAGAACATGCAGGTTTGTTACATAGGTATACGTGTGCTTTGGTGGTTTGCTGCACCCACCAACCCATCTTCCAGGTTTTAAGCCCTGCATGCATTAGGTATTTCTCCTAATGCTATCCCTCACCTTGCCCCCCACCCCCCGACAGGCCCTGACAGACAGGGTGTGATGTTCCCCTTCCTGTGTCCATGTGTTCTCATTGTTCAGCTCCCACTTATGAGTGAGAACATGCAGTGTTTGGTTTTCTGTTCTTGTGATAGTTTGCTGAGAATGATGGTTTCCAGCTTCATCCATGTCCCTGCAAAGGACATGAACTCATCCTTTTTTATGGCTGCATAGTATTCCATGGTGTATATGTGCCACATTTTCTTTATCCAGTCTATCATTGATGGGCATTAGGATTGGTTCCAAGTCTTTGCTATTGTGAATAGTGCTGCAATAAACATACATGTACATGTGTGAAAGGCTCTTTCAAATACGAGACTTGACATCTGGTAGAACAAATAATTAATGGTGTCCGGAGGTAGTTAAAAAGGGAGGGATGGAAGACAAGCTTCAACTCCAGTGCCAACCCCAACTGAGCACCACGACCATCCCTGGGTCCCCGTAGCTATCACTGCATAATATCCACCATGCATTACAGGCTTTGGAGGTAGCACCAGCATCTCTAGGGCAGCCAGTCATTTCTCTAGAATGGTGTAGAACAACAGCACCAGGAACTGAAAGGAACCTGCAGTACAACACAGCAGGTGAGGAATAGAAAGCCTTGCCCGAATCTCACCACCAGAGGTGCCCTTGGACTGGGACTCAGGTCACTTCTTTCTGCCATGTGCCTGGTGGGAGTAGGATCTAGACAGGGGTATCCAGATGAAGTGTCAGGTCTCCTTTAGTCCTGTGGTTTGACATGTTTAGTTCAATGGTTTCACACTGAACACTGACCCGACAAATGGGCATTTTCATGTGTGGAAGGTGAATGAACATGTTCTGTGAGCTTTCATAAAGTTCTGCTTAAAAAGTTTCCAAGCAGATCCTCCCTGTGGCCCCGCATGTATAGAGCTATAAAGGGAATTCCCTAAAACAACAGACAAACCTCCAGGGCCTCCACGGTGCTGCACACATGTTCTTAAGCATCTCACAAGCAGCCAATGACATGTAAAGCAAATCACCTCTCAAGAACCACAGAAGCAGGGTAAGGAAAGGGAATATCCCACAAAACCTCTAACTACAGGAGCAGAGTAAGGAAAGGGAATATCCCACAAAACCTCTAACTACAATGAGAAAAGCACCCAGTGGGGAAGAACCCTGCCCCCTCAGAAGCCACTGGGAAGGGGCACTTCCACCCTTGCTCAGCCCCTCACTCACAACCCCCTGGGCAGGAGGACCGTCTTCTATTAGTGCCTCTGTCGGGGAGAAGAATGGGTGCACACGGCTCAGCTAGGTCCTTCTGGATCTTCCCAAGGAGAAAGTGAATCTGTGCTGCTCTCCTGCCATGCAGAAAACTTAGCTAGCAGGGTCTGCCCTCAGGAGAAGCTGTGGCTGCTAAGCATCACCTGAGACCAATGTGACTGGGATGTTTAATTCCAGGGAGAAGAAACACAGACTGAAGGTCACCTTCTCTGAACCTACATTTGACTGTCATGTATACCTTATTTCTCAAAAAGTTTTGAATTCAGGAGAGAAAGAAAAGATGTGTGTTTATGAGCCTCTTAAAATCCCAGCACATTCATGTCTGAACATGGGAGGTCATCTAATGTTTCGCATTAGCACAGGGATGGCAAATGTCTACTGCCTTCTCTTGCACATGTGGCATTCTCCAGAGCCATGAAGACCCATCAGAATCCCTGTCAACATGGTATTCATGGCGGGGCAGCTACTTGGTGGCCACCACTGCAACATGAAATATCACCTATTTGTTATGGCTGACCTTTGCCTATGGGACACTGGCCATGTCACTTTCGGAAGAACCCCTTCTTACTGTGCTTAGCCAAACAATTTACCTATAGTCATTATTCTCATTCAGCCATTCTACAAATATTTCATAAGCACTTTATAACTCTTTTAAGGGAGAGGGGAGCAGGTATTTTCTTTAAGGATCTTCTCTGAAATAAGGAAGTACTAAGAACAAAGTACCATGAACCTTACTGAGAAGACACATTCTCACTACAGTAGCATGTACAATTTAGGAAGAAGGGGACTGAAACATTCCAAAGTGTGCAGAGATGGTGGGCCATCCCAATGATGGACTGTGACAATCTTACATTCCATATGATGACTGACAACTTCCTGAGACCTTGGCTCCACCATCAGTGTTTCTAGGACCCCATAAATAGACCATATCAAAGAGCTATTATCTACCTGAATACTCTAGTGCCACTTTTCTATTTTGGCAGGGTCTGCCCTCAAGAGAAGCTGTGGTTGTTGAGCATCACCTGGGCATCCCCTCACAATTTGAATACACTTCAGTTTTTTCCATTCCACTTAAAGGAGCTAGGAGAGTAAGACATCAGAGTCCCCAGCGACATGGAGGAAGGAACTGAGACCGTCTACGTGAAACAATACAACTTCAAATAAAAGGTCTTCCCAGTAAGTAACCCGGTTACTCGTCCTCAGTTAAGGGAGTTTCATGATGAATCACTGAATAAAAGCAGGAGGAGGTAGGAAGTAAGAATATAAATTCAAACATAAATCTTTAAAAAAATCTCCATTATTTGTATTCTAAAATCAGAAGAGGAAGATCACCCATACTAACTGGCTAATCTAACCCTCAGGAACTACAGCCTTTGGGGAAACAGATTTGGGTATTTACGAGCTGGGTATGAATTAGAGGATCTCAGTTGGCTGGTACGGAAAGATTAGCAATCACTAGCCACACAGTCTCAGCTAATCCCCCATCTGAGGCACAGGAGCTGTTACAGCCTGGTGGGGCTATGTGGGCAGGAATCCCCAGGAAATCTGAAGGATCACTTCCTGACAGCTTCGTGTGCTGAGTATCAGCACCTGGCCTGCTTTGATGATGGGTTTTACCCTAATCAGACCACCCAGAAATGAAAGGGACAAGGGAGCCAGCTGAGTTTCAGGGAGATGTCCAAGAAGCAACCAGGAGGATTAGAGAGGAAAGGCGTTCTTGTTATCTGTCAAATCCCCATACGTGCTGACAAGGACGGGAGGAAATGCCGTTTGAGGCTGTGTACTTACACAGTTTACAGGCTGTAACTTCATCTTCTAACCTGTAGGATAAATTACCCAAAACTAAAGGGACAAAATCCAACTTCAAACTCAGAAGACCCCAGGAAGGAAAAGGCAGGAGGGTGCATTCATTTTGTCTGCAGACTCGGGCTCATGGGGAGAAATGACTGGACTTCCGAAGTGCAAACACGCTTGCTAAAAAGGCAAACACACTTGAGAGTTCTAACGACCTTCATCAGGAAAGGGTTCTTCCTTCAGTAAGTATTGTCATGCATTTTTCCCCCCTCAGCTGAGACACCAGCCCAAGGTGGATTTAACTGTGGCACTTTTCATAAGCAGTGTCAACTCAGGACACCTCAGTAAGCACAGCTCTCAGCCTCTCAGGTCTAATCCCAAGACAGCTATGGTTTTTTCATGGGTCCAAAAGCCCAGAATATAACATTCTGAAATGATGATTTATGTTCAGGAAAAGAGAAGCAGGGTAGGACCTATTTCTTGATGGACAGGAACAGGTCCATCTGAAAATGCTGGGACTGGAAGCATTTTGGATTTTGGATTTTTTTTTGAATATTTGCATTATAGAATACCGGTTGAGCATCCCAAATCCATAAATTTGAAGTCCAAAATGTTCCAATGAGAAGTTCCTTTGAGCGCCACGTCAGTGCTCAGAAAGTTGAATTTTGGAGCATTCTGGATTTTGGATTTTCAGATTTGGGATGCTCAACCTGGATAAGAGCCAGTGATGTCCTGGTCTGAAAGGCTGAGAGAGAAGGGAAAAGGTCACTCACAAAGACATTTAGGAGGATATGGAGGAGCTATACATATAAAGGCCATAGAATTTAAATGAATTGAAGGATTTTTTTTTCTTTTTTAAGACGGAGTCTCGCTCTGTTGCCCAGGCTGGAGTGGAGTGAGCGATGTCAGCTCACTGCAACCTACGCCTCCCAGGTTCAAGCGATTCTCCCGCCTCAGCCTCCTGAGTAGCTGGGACTACAGGCGCCTGCTACCACGCCCAGCTAATTTTTGTATTTTTAGTAGAGACGGGGTTTTACCATATTGACCAGGGTGGTCTCGAACTCCTGACCTTGTGATCCGCCCGCCTCGGCCTCCCAAAGTGCTGGGATTACAGGCATAAGCCACCGCGCCCGGCCCTGCATTTGATTTTTAACAGAGAAGATGTAAAAACAGTAATAGAATAACAGACTTTGCTTAAGGATGGTATGTCTAGTGACAACTGGTCAAACATGAGAGTGTTAAGAGAGGGTGGTTATAATTGGGAAGAATGTCCTGGAACATTCAGAATGCACAATCCCTGGATTTAAGGAAAAGGTTATAAAAACCAAGTAACCAGTCGTTGATGTATTTCCAGAGTCACCTATTCTTTAATGTTGCCTTGATTCTTTTAATACTGGTAAATTTTCATAGGCATCTCACAATCACAAAGAGATGAATGTGGATCCTGGCTCCATCATTCAGAGCTCCATGACCTTGCTCAGGTTAGTGGCTTCTCAGAGCCTCAGCTTTCCATCAGTTAAAATACCTACTCTTTAGATACTTTTCAAGATTAGGGTGCTTAACCCGGTCCTAACACACAGTAACTGCTCAAAAAACAGTAACTACCATTAACTCAGTGAACAATTACTGAGCACCTACCAATGAAGAATAACATCAGCCATGTCTTCAAGGAAAATTTATAGGCAAGACGGACATGCGCACAACCAAGTTAGACTAGCTATGGAAACTGTGGGCATGTTATTTGACCCGTCTGACTGCAAACCTATCATCCATAGAATGCATATAGTAAGAGTGTGTACCTGACATGGTTGTGGTAAGGATCCACTGAGTTAATACATGTCAGGTGCTCAAAATAGTACATGACACACAGTCGATGATGATGATGATGATGATGATGATATGATGTAATGGTTAGCTTTATATGTCAACCTAGCTAGGTCACAGTACCCAGACATTTGGTAAATACTAGTCTAGTCATTTCTGTGAAGGCATTTTTTAGATGAGATTGACATCAAAATCAGTAGGCTTTGAGTAAAGCAGATTACTCTGTGTAATGTGGGTGGGCCTCATCCAATTAGTTGGAGGCTTTAAGAGAAAAAGACTGAGGCCCTCAGGGAAGAGGGAATTCTGCCATCAGACAGCCTTTGGATAAGACTGCAACATCAACTCTTCCCTGGGTGTCTAGCCTGCTGGCCATCCCTGCAGATTTGTGACTTGCCAGTCCCCACAATTATGTGAACCAATTCTTTAATATGAGTCTTAGTGTCTTTCTCTGGCTCTCCATGTATATAATATACACTTGTCAGAGACAGAGAGATTCTATGGCCTTTATACATGCAGCCCCTCTGTATACACCTATAGAATTACCTTTTTCCTCTCTCAGCCTTTCCAACCAGGTCATTACTCGCTCTTATATGGCTTGAGCATTCCAAATCCGAAAATCTGAAATGCTCCAAAATTTGAAAGTTTTTGAGTACCAACATGACACTCAAAGGAAGCACTGTTGCTCTCTCTCTCTTGGTCTGACATATCCTATTAATCTAATACAAATGTTATTTTGTTATTTTATTATTTTATGGCTAAGAAAGAAAGGAAGTGTGAGAAATCAATATCACAAACAAGATTTCTGCTTGATCAACTTTTTCTGCGTGGCCCTGGAAGGACTATCCTGTTTCATCTTTGTTCCATAAATCCACTGGCAGAATGCCAAGAGAAGTTACTTAATGCATACCTGGTCATTTGCTTTTTATTAGAAAATAAATACAAATGTTTAATTAAGATAAACTTGGGTAACATTTAACCTTCCTGATGACACCATGGGGCAAAGGTTTTCACACTTAACTCAGTTAATCACATAAACATAACTAAGTTCTCTGATGCAGGAGAGAAAAGGGCCCTGGTGAGTCTCCCTCTTTACTCTCTTAAAGAACACCTAAGCTCCTCTCCTACAGAAGAGCTCATTTCAGTTTAGATTGACACTGTATTTAAGGAACATTTAAATATTTGCAACAAATTGAAATGAATCACCCAAGATGAAAAATCCAACTTCCATACTGCAGCTTTAGAAAGGCTATGATATACTGAAATAGAAACTACTAGTTGTCTTACTCTGAACTCCATACAGGAATGTATATGGCGATTTCCAAAACGAAGCTTCCTGAAGCATCTGATATTCTGACTACTTCTGCTGGATTAGTGGAACACTTTAAATGTAAAAAACGCAATCTGTATTTCTCTCATTATCTGTTTATAGCACTAATAAGAACCACTCTGCTCTACTGTCAGTTTTCCGCTGGGATAGTTTTAAAGTTTTAAGAGTACCTAAAAGCTTTATATTTAAGTCTTGCTCTCAATGATGGGTGTATTGTTCTGGTGGGGCCTATATAGCTTTAGATGATAGTTAGATGTGTTATGCTATAGTCATTTAAAAGTTAATTTTGGGGAAACAAAATTTCTCAATAAATACTAAGATCTTAGACTTTTCAGTAACTTCCACTGCCAAATGCGTATGTCTAATGTGGCAAATGCCCCATGCTATAATCCGAAGTCAGGACACCTGATGCTCCAGGGTTTCCAGACATGTGTGTGTGAGTGTGCACAGGGTCTATGTATGCTGGTACACTTAATCTGCTAGATGGGCTTTCTTCTGGGATTATAAAGTACTTCACACAAATTAAGCCATGAGAATAAGACTTCTCTGAAATGGATAGAATATTCCAGTTCTCCATTTTATCCTCACAGTGTCAGAGGCATTTGAATCAGAGCAACTCCATCTTGAATAGGAGCTGGGTAAAATGAGGCTGAAACCTACTGGGCTGCATTCCCAGATTGTTAGGCATTCTAAGTCACAGGAAGAGACAGGAGGTCAGCACAAGATACAGGTCACGAAGACCTTGCTGCTAAAACAGGCTGCAGTAAAGAAGCAGCCAAATCTCACCAAAACCAAGATGGTGACGAGAGTGACCTCTGGTCGTCCTCACTGCTGCACTCCCACCAGCACCATGACAGTTTACAAATGCCATGGCAATGTCAGGAAGTTACCCTATATGGTCTAATAAGGGGAGGCATGAATAATCCACCCTTGTTTAGCATATCATCAAGAAATAACCAAAAAAATGGGCAACCAGCAGCCCTCAGGGCTGCTCTGTCTATGGAGTAGCCATTCTTTTATCCCTTTACTTTCTTAATAAACTTGCTTTAGCCTTGCACTTGTGGACTCACCCTGAATTCTTTCTTGCATGAGATCCGAGAACCCTCTCCTGGCATCTGGATTGGGACCCCTTTCCTGTTAACAACAGTGTCGAAAACCAAAACCAGAACTAGAACCAGGAGGCAATTCCAGCTCGTGATTTTTTTTCTGTTTGTCATACCCCCACCTGTCTTTGTTTCGTGGCCACCCGCTCCCGGCTCCCACCTGTCTGGTGCAGCACTCTGGGACCACTGGAGAGGAAATCAGAAAAGGCTGACGGAGGCTAAAGACACTGTGGTAGAGCAGGAGCATTCCCAGGCAGCACAGGCTGTGCTTCTGAAGCCCTGAGCAGGGAACGTGAGCTCTTGCTGAGAGCACACCAGGAAAAACTAACCCCTGCCAAGAAGGTGGGTCTGACCAAGGGCCCGTCTCCAGGCCACAGACGGTGACCACAGGGGAGTTTCTCTGGCAAACAGTCAGAGAGAAAAAAAGAAAACAACGATCTCAGCACCACTCTGACCTCATAGGACAGCAGGGATTCTTTAGAGGATTGGGCAGCTCTCACTGCTACTAAAGGCTTCACCTGAAAGAAAAATTGAACAGCCTCGTGGGCAGTTTAATGATGTACCACGCTACTGTTATTTACTGCACTTATTAGAGCAGCCTAGCACACCATAGTAAATCTACTAAAGTTTTACATTACCTTAAGTATATATGGTAGCAGAGTCTGACAGCTGCATATCACGATGATCCATTCTTCCATTCTTCATGACTAACAGCCCCTGAATTTTGTTGGATAAGGCAATGTAACCAACTTAAAAACTACATTTCCTAATTTCCACTGTGACTACACATGGGACTAAATTCTGTTCAATGAGATCAAAGAAGCTCTATCTGGGGGCTTCTTACAAAGCTTCCTAAGTGGGGACTTAGCTAAAACCCCTCTTCTGTCCTTCCTCCTTCTTCCTCCTTCCTATCAGGAATAGAGACACGATGGCTGGAGCCACAGTATCTTGTGACAGTGAAGCAATTTTGAGAATAGAAGTCACACACTAAGGATGACATGATAACGAAAATGAATGAATCTGGGGTGCTGATGACATCACGGAGCCTCTGCTCCACCCCTGCAGTGCCTACCTCTATACTTCATGGTATGTGAAAGAAAACACAAATATCATTTTGTTAAAACCATTGATTTTCAGGTCATTCACAGACAACTGCAATTCCTAACTGAATGAGTGTACACTGAACACACAGATACAACATATATATAAGTGTAAGCAGCCTGCTGAGATCAACCAATCAATCATTGAAAGATTATCTCCCAGGCAGCCGCAGTCATCCCTTTCTCTAGTGAATCGTTCAGCACTTACTGAGTGCCTACTTATCAGCCAAGTGTTGAAGATACGAAGATGGATGAGACACAGCTCACGCCCTCAAGCAAATGACGATCTGCTGGAGGACACACTCAGGAAGTAGTGGTAACTGCTGTATGAACAGTAAGATGCATGCAGTGCATCCATTTAACAGATGTCTGTTACACACCTACTAAGTGGTAGGCAGTCTCCAAGGGCTACGTTCACAAGTCTATATTCTAGATGGCATGGGGCAGAGCAAGTTAGAGGGTGGACAAGAAAAATAATAAAGAAGAAAATGAAGGAACAAGACAACTTCAGAAAATAAGGATGATGTGCTAGTGAGTGACTGCTGGGAGCTATTTTAGACATGGTGACCAGAAAAGGCCTCAATGTAAAGGGTATATTTAAACTAAGATTATGAATTAAGTGGGGGGAGGGGCGGGGGGGGGGTCGCGGCACAGGGAATGGCCTGTGAAGGGCTTGGGGAAGAACATTTTTGGCAGAAGGAAGAGCAAGTAGAAAGGTCCTGAGGCAGGAATAGGTCAGATAGAATGTTAGAGGGTGGTGCTCATGGCTCAGAGAGGAGCTTTGATTGTGGGGAAATGGAGAAGTCAAGGAAAGTTTCCCAAGTTGCCCTTGACTACAACCAAGTCTTCCTCCTCTCTAGAGCCAGGGGATTCCCATCAGAGAAGGAGCACAGCTGCCTGAACCCCACCCTCTCCACCCACCTGGCCTCACAGCTGGCTCAGTGACACCTTTATCTGTGCCTTAATCCCAATATATTTTCCTTCCCTGAAGAGCAATATGGATGCCGTCTCCCTCCAAGTATAAGACTTGGGCTGAGGGGAAAGCAGAAACCCCTCCTTTTCCTTCTGCGTTAGAGAAAACCATTTTTCAGCAGCACTACCACTTCAAAAGCAGCTGTCCTGAATAAGACCCAGGCTGCTTTCAGATCAATGGCCATACGAAAGCTCACTAAAACACCATTCCTGTTCGAGGTTTGCCCAGTACCACAGTTCAAAAGGATCAACCCCATTGTCATGGGTCATAGTCCACACCAGTGTAGAAGAGCAACAGCCCCCAGGATCTACAGCTGCAGAGAGCACCAGGCAGGATAAACTGATGCAACCTGCCCCCTTACTCCAAAATCCTAAGCTGGTCCCATGCGAGGGTCCATGAACAGGCATGACCATGCTGGACAGTGTCTGCAGTCCTAGGTACCCTCAAATAGCTTCATCACAAATACCAAAAAGATGATGACATCCCTAATCTTTTGATTTAGTTACTATTATTTACCCATCAGGAAATGCACTAGGAATGCACTAGTCACAGAATCAACTTTAGAAGACTTCAGGGGTGATACATCTGATTTTCAATGAATGGTGGTGTTATTACATGGACAGTGATTCTTTGATCAGTAAAAGAAAATGTGACACTGCCTTCTTTCCAAACCCTACCTCTTTTCCTCTGAAAACTATGACTTTATCAAGTGACTGAGTTTTTCCCTATTTTAACAAAGACTTTCTATCCTTTCATAGATTCACTGCACTGAATAAATTGTCTGTTTATTACCTGTTGATCTACTTCTAGTGAATTCTGCTTGTTAAAAAAGTGGAATCGTAATTTCTCACTGGTTTTCTATTAAGCCTCCACTCAATGTTCTTGGTCTCCTCTCTAACAATGGAGCTGATGAGTTTAGTGGAGTCTCCCGGTAATTTCCCTCTTGTATTGCATGTTTCTCTCAGATGAATATTTCAGTTAAAACTGAGACTAGTTGATAATTTTTTCCACTGAAGTCTGTATTCCAATTTTTTTTTTTTTGATACAGGGTTTTGCCCAGGCTGGATCACAGTAGCACCACCACGGCTCACAGCCTCGACCTCCTGGGCTCAAGTAATCCTCCTACCTCAGTCTCCCAAGTAGCTGGGACTATAGGCATGCACCACCATGCCTAGGTAGTGATTTCATATTTTTGTAGAGAAAGGGTCTCCCTAAATTACCAAGGCTGGTCTTGAACCCCTGGGCTCAAGCCATCCTCCCGCCTCCGCTTCCCAAAGTGCTGGGATTACAGGCATGAAGCACTGCACCCGGCTCTACTCCTATTTTTGTCTGGTTGTTCATCTGGATCTGACCAAGTACGGCCTATCTGCCTCACCCACTTCTGTCTTCCATAAGCTCTGTTTAATGTCAGATAACATGTATTGACTTTTTGTTCTATCTGCCAAAATTGGGATTGGAGTTGAGTATATTGGGTTGAAGTTGATTATATTCTTTCCATGTTGTCACACTGTGGGTGTTTTTCACTGTAAAATTAGAGCTATTTAAATACATTATCTGCTCACCTACAAAAGCTCTCACTTCTTCAGAAACACAGAGGTTGGTCAATGCTTCCCATTCCACTGAATTCACACACCCTGCTGGGAATCCAGTGATGAATGGAGAATGGGGAGGGTCAGCCTCACCTTCCATGCAGGTCAATATGTTTATTTTTAAAGAAGAGTCAACCTGCTCTACTACTTTTTGTTTTTTTAATTCCTTAGTACTCACACACTATGAACCATGCACGCACATGCTACGAACCATGCTTGGGGAAGGTACAAGAAGGATAAGACAAGGCATTGGGTGACAGAGCTGCCACGGGGCTCGCCTCTAGCCAGAGTGATATATAGTAAAGGGTCCACAGGACCTATGTCCAGAAAGAGTTTTCTTTTTCCAGCAAAACATAATAAACAAAATCTAAAATATATATTGTCTTACACTTGAGAGAAAATATATGAACCATAAGAAGCTAATTATTGGATTTTTTAAAAAACAGACTTAGAGAAAATGCAGTCATAAGGACTTCACGTGAGTCTTTGAGTAGAATTCAACCATTTAAGTACTCCCCACTCATTGGACACCTATGCACGTAGGCACTGTTAGTGCTGGAGTAACAAAGGCATGACCTGCATCCTGCTCTTGGGGAGACCTGGCCCTTAGACATGAGCACATGTATAGAGGTAACTCATGCAGGATGATAAGGCTGGTGGAGAGATGCAAACCGAGCACACAGGAACCGGCAATCAATCAAACAGCCTTTAGCTGGTTGTGGGAAGACCACGTTAGCAAACAGATGCTGAAGTCTTCTTTACACACAGAATTAGCAAAACTAGTAGCAAAACAGATCTTTGACCAGGTAAAGCCAGTAGCCTAACGGGACTCTGAAGTAAGTTTTTACACTTTCCTTGAAGACTCATGGCAAATATGAACCTCCTATTTCTGCTGATGGGGTGAAGAGCTGAGGTCAAAGAGCCTCCCTGGGTCTCCCAGTTCTCATCACACTTTCTCACCTATGAGGGCAGACTGCCCACCCAGGCATCCCAGGGGCTCCCACCCTGGGAGTCATCAGGTTTGGCCCCTTTTCTTCTTTTCATGAAGACAATGAACAGGAAGGAGTTAGTAACAGTTCCTGCTTTCTACTTGCTCAATTTTTACCTCCTGCTATCTAGCAGGGGAAAATGAGAAACTCTCCATCGGCCTCACCCTCACTGGAGAAATTGTATGTGATCCAGGTTATGTAAACAACTCTTCCTTCAAACAGCTTCTTGTGGACTTTATAACCTCGTCTACCAGTATTGTTATAGATGGCTCAGCTCTAAACTCTGAGATGGATAATTGATATAGAAGCCATACTCCCTGAAAGTAAGCCATGCTTATGGAAGATGCTTGGGGTTTAAAAACAAAGGCTGTCAACAAAAGCCCTCCCAGCCACTCGGCACCTATCAGAAAACCTGTGAAGGATGTGACAGAGAGATCCAGCACACCCAGCAGAAGTCTGGATGATGCTCTAAATATAGCTGTTGAATGATTAGTATCAATGACTACGTATGTGCAAAGCCAGTTAACTAAATTTTGACAAATAGAAATTCCTTGGTTAACTATTTCAATGATTTTCTAAACATTTCATAGGAAATGAAATTCAAGAAACATGTATCTTTCATGCAGTCCTCCCCTGGGTTCTACCAGACACAACCCTTACCCCAAAGAGGCAGATTATAAAGAGACCACATAGGCAGTAACAGAGTGGTAAAAAGATGGGGATGGGACAGGGTGTGGTGGCTCATGCCTGTAATCCCAGCACTTTGGGAGGCTGAGGCAGGCGGGTCATTTGAGGTCAGGAGTTTGAAACCAGCTTGGCCAACATGGCGTAAACCCCATCTCTACTAAAAATACAAAAACATAAGCTGGGCATGGGTGGACGCCTGTAATCTCAGCTACTTGGGAGGCTGAGGCAGGAGAATTGCTTGAACCTGGGAGGTGGGGGTTGCAGTGAGCCGCAATCACACCACTGCACTCCAGCCTGGTTGACAGAGTGAGACGCCATCTTAAAAAAAAAAAAAAAAAAAAAAAAAAAAAAAAAAGATGGGGATGGAACACAAGGAAGCTCTGACTTCTGCCGGAGGGTTCAGGATACCCCACTGTCTGCAGAATTTCCCCATACCCCCAAACTCAGACATGGAGCTTCCCTAGCAGACTGACAGTTACCAAAATATAGGAAAGAAAATTAACTTGGGGTACCCTAATTTGAAATCAATAATAAATAGGAATTAGGCCAAAGTTTACGTTTTTTACTACACATATAAAATGGTCTGTTGGAGGAAACAACAGTACCAAGAGTTGTTGTGTAGGATAAGTCATACTTAACCTACTTAGGAGACTGGAGTATCTCAGACATCTCTGCATCCGCAATTATATACAAATAACTAACAAACTAATTACAAACCATTAAGGCAGTGACTATGTCTTTCATTTGTGTGTCACTCAAAGGGCCTTGCCCCCCATTCTAGACAAAATGATCTTTGTTAAAATGTGTCACTTATGGGCTTCTACTTGGCAACATGTTGGTCATCTCCTGCAAGCAGATATATTATTTGATTCGGTCGTTCATTAGGTAAATATTTATTCAATATTTATTATGTCCAAAGCTCTGTATTAAGTGCTATAACTGAATATAAAGGCGCATAACACATCTAAACAAATATACGGGATATAAAGTCAGAAAGTGAACATCCAGCCGGGTGCAGTGGCTCATGCCTGTAATCCTAGCACTTTGGGAGGCTGTGGTGGGCAGATCACTTGAGGTCAGGAGTTCGAGACCAGTCTGGCCAATATGATAAAACCCCGTCTCTACTAAAAATACAAAAAAATTAGCCAAGTGTGGTCACAGACACCTGTAATCCCAGCTACTCCAGAGGCTCAGGCAGGAGAATCACTTGAACCTGGGAGGCAGAGGTTGCAGCGACCCAAGGTCGTGCCATTGCACTCCAGCCTGGGAGACAGAGTGAGACCCCCTCCAAAGATAGAAAGACAGGAAAGACAGGAAAGACAGATAGACAGACAGAAAAAGAAAAAGAAAGAAAGAAAAAGAGAGAGAGAGAAAGAAAGAAAGAAAAAGAGAGAAAGAAAGAGAGAGAAAGAGAAAGAAAGAAAAGAAAAGAAAGAAAGAAAGAAAGAAAGATAGATAGATAGATAGATAGATAGATAGATAGATAGATAGATAGATAGATAGACAGACAGACAGACAGATAGATCGATCCAAACACAGGCACACTGAGTGAATACATTACAGGAAGTGGAGGTGGCATCTGACCAGGGAGATCAGACGGAGGCATTCAGGACTGGCTTGGGGAATGCACATGATTCTGGTGTGTGGAGATAAGAGGGTTGGACACCAGCTCAAGAGAGATGGAAAGCATGGCACGGGGGCCATGGGCAACACTGAGACATTTCTTTTTCTCAGCGCTGGAATAAATGAAGGGCTGGGGTTGAAGGGATGAATCAGAAGAAAACATGGACTCAGCACAGAGCATCCTGCAGCCGAGATCAGGCATCTAGATTTGGCAGTCCAGAGTGAGTGCTTAAAAGCACTGAATGCTTTTAAGCCAAGAAGGTTGTGACAATTGTATTTAAAAGCAATAAAACCAAGTTGCTTCTCCAGTCCTCCATAACTTAGGGGAGCCTCCTTCAGGCTGGCTGACTCCTTTCTCCCACGCGGGTCTGCGCTGATGAGAGGCTGCTGTACAGGTCACCATCTAGGGTGGGACTCGGAGCTCTCTGGTCTGTGGCTGAGGTTCACTGCATGTCATGACTGCCTGTGTCCACCTTTTTTCCCAAGATGGCCTGACTGCTCCCCATCTGCAGTGCTCAGTTCCTGCAAAACTCACCCCTTTATGAAGCTCCAAGTTTTGAAGACTCCTACCCTTAACACATCCTGCAACAACTGCTCATAGTGCCTCGGGTTCCATCTCCCTGCCCCATTACACGTTTTAATATCTGCAGCACAGTCTGAGGGCCCTGGTTGGCTTTATATGCAAATAGCATGAATAATTTTCTTTGATGTTTTATTCTATTGTGTTTCATTTGGAACAGAGAAACTCAAAGGAGGAAGGATGATGAATGAGAAAAGAGGGCAGCAAGCGCCTCCATGTAAGGTGCTCTAACTTAAATCAGCTTTTTGCAGATTCTCTGCTATCCCCAAATCATCCTCCTTGCCTAATTCTCAAAAAGAACAAAACTTCTCCAGACAGAGCCCGCAAGGCCAGAGCAGGACAAGCAGTGTGTGCATCCCCCGCTCATCCCAAATCAGCAGTCCATGTAGAATTAAAACCAGTCTCAAAACACAAGAATAAAACAAAAAAAAATCAGACTAAAAACCCCCAACTGTCTTCTGTATCATGAGCTCACAACAAGATCCAATCTTCCCAATTACAGCAATATGAATACTGGGAAAGAAATGCGTGAAAACCTCCAAAGTATCCTCAATTTACCTCCTCCAAAGTAAATTTCATTTGGGAAAAATAAAGGTAAATACATAACAGAGGGCCTTGTTTAAGTTGACAATAATATTTGGCATAGTGTTTATTTCAGCTAGGAGGTTATGCCAGGGCACAAGGGGTAAATCCATGGATTTGGGGGTCAGAACACCTCGAGATTTAAATCCTAGCTCTGCCACTTTCAAGGGTGACCTTAAGCAAGTAACTTAGGCTTTGGATTCCTCATCTGTAAAATGGAAAAATAATATTACCAACCCAATGGGGCTGTCAAGAATTAAGTGAAATACCTGCATATAAAAGTACTTAACACATCCATTTAGGATATTTTATTGCTTCTAGCATTCATATATCTAAACTGTTTTAACTATTTCTATCTCCTTAAGTAAAATATTTGTTTCTTTTTAGTTCACCTAATGCAGCAGTCCCCAATCTTTTTGGCAGTATAGACCAATTTTGTGGAAGACAATTTTTCCATAAACTGGAGAGCAGGGGGGAGGATGGTTTGGGGATGATTCAAGTGCATTACATTTATTATGTACCTTATTTCTATTATTATTACATTATAATATATAATGAAATAATTATACAACTCACCATAATGTAGAATCAGTGGGAACCCAGAGCTTGTTTTCCTGCAACTAGATGGTCCCATCTGGGGTTGATGGGAGACAGTGGCAGATCATCAGGCATTAGATTCCCATAAGGAGAAATCTAGATCCCTCGCATGTGCAGTTCACAATAGGATTCATGCTTCTATAAGAATCTAATACTGCTGCTAATGTGAGCTCAGGCAGTAATGCCAGCAATGGGGAGCTTCACACAGATGAAGCTTTGCTCACTTGCCAGCTACTCACCTTCTGCTGTGCGGCCCAGTTACTAACAGGCCACTGACCAGTAGCGGTCCGTGGCCCAGGGGTTGGGGACTCTTGCTCTAAAGGCAGAAGAAAAGATAAACTTTAGGGAAATATGTGGATTCCATTTGGTATATGAATGTTCTAAATACTCATAACTCTTATAAATATTTCAAATATCAAATAATGGAATAAAATGTCTTTTCACATCATCACACAATAACCATGAAATGATATCCAGGTACTGAAATCACTCTACTCTTCTATTTTCCCTAGCCACAACAAAGGAATTCTAAAACATCCAATCTCTGACACTAGCTATTTGATTTACAGGAGGCAGGCAACAACACACTACTAACAAAGTGACTTTAGCTAAATCTTACGTACATGTGCCACTGCATCAACTCAGTTTGGACAAATAATTATATAATTAATTGTGCAGAAGCATTAAATGTAACATAATAGTAAGCTTAAATGGATTGTTTCTATACTCTTTTCCTTAGCCAAGTATTTCTGGCTGTGTGGTTGGGATTCTGGTTTTTGTTTCATTTTACTTTAACCTGTCAAAAAATAAGGGAAAAATAAGTTAAAGAAGAGTAAGTATGTGGGTGAATATGTGGTAGAGGTTCTAGGAGAGGAAGAATAAAAATACATGGGTTGAATCTGAACATTCTCTGGTGAAAGGCATATAAAGTCACTGTATTCTGTATACCAGAGCCTGGGTCATGTTTGTTTCCTGCATGAATGATCACAATAATTCATTGCTACTACTAATAATGAAGATCATATGACTGAATGAAAATTTAGAGGGATTTTTCTTCTCTTTCACTAAATTGTCATATCCATGAAATCATTTTATCTTACAACCTCAAAATAAGGACAGATTTAACCATTCCAAATTCATAGATTGAAAATTTATGCATCCATTTAGCAAATATTTCATAAAAACCTACTATACATAATTACAATCAGACTCATATCAATATGTGAATTTTAAACTGTGTATTATTTATGTTTCTTGCCTTACTGTGACAAACTCTTGAGAAGCTGAAAACGTACTTCCTATGACAAATAAAATCCAATTTGTAGACAGAAAACTGAAGTTGAAAAAAATTAAGATAATGAGACTACATATGTCTACATCCAAACACACGTGCCTGTGTGCACACACATACACATATGTCCCTTTATCAAATTTGGTGTCCACAAGGGGCTGCATAATATGAATCCACTGAAAATAGAGGTCATAGTTCTATACTCAATAGTGAAATAAGCCTTTATCTAGTCTAAAGACTAAGAAAAATTTATTCTATAGCTTAACATTTTTAAACATTCTAATTGAAACTATACCTTCACCCTTAAGCAAAGAATGAATCAAGTCATAATTATTTATCAAAATAATTTTTCTGATAAAAATTATGTGGTTTCCCTTGAAAATATCTTTCTGATTTTGTATTCATAAAGAGGATCATTTTTGCAAAAATAACTTACGGTTTCTGCAATTCTTGCAAGAGCTTCTCTTTTTTTAAGATTCCTCCTATGCCATCATCCACTCGATTTTCTCTTTAATTACTAACTTGCCTAACCCTGCCAAATGCTCATTTGCCAGTGGCTCTGCCTGCAATGCAAGCAGGTCTCCAACATCACTTTCACTGACATCATGAAATCCCGTATTTTTGTAAGATTTACACTCATATTTCCAAATTGTATTGTACCTGCAGTTCCTTGAAAGATGTTTACAACAATCTTATTAGTGAAGGACAAGTAGAATGGATGGGTACAAGAGATGACAGGTTAGGAAAGAGGGATGTTTGAGAAGGAACCAGTTTTACAAATGGTCAGTTTATTAGTAAATACTGTCATATTACAATACCTTTTTATTTATTTATTTTGAGATGGAGTTTCACTCTTGTCCCCCAGGCTGGAGTGCAATGGCGCAATCTCGGCTCACTGCAACCTCCGCCTCCCAGGTTCAAGCCATTCTCCTGCCTCAGCCTCCCGAGTAGCTGGGATTACAGGTGTGTGCCACCAGGCCTGGCTAATTTTCATATTTTTAGTAGAGACAGGGTTTTGCCATGTTGGCCAGGCTGGCCTCAAACTCCTGACCTCAGGTGATCCGCCTGCCTTGGCCTCCCATTACAATAACTTTTGATTGTCTTTGCAACCCTGGAACTGACTGAAATCTCTGAGAATAACAGCTTGGAGGACATAAAAAGAAGCGCTAAGCTGCCTTGCTTAGAGAGCAAGAGGTACAGGTTTGGTTACTCTCCCTTTATTTCAGAAAGGCCTTTGTTTTCTAGTATGGTTTGGATCTGTGTCTCCAACCAAGTCTCACGTCGAATTATAATTCCCAATGTTGGAGGTGGGGCCTGATGGGAGGTGACTGGATCATGGGGGCGGATTTGCCCTTTGCTGCTGTTCTTGTGACAGTGAGTGGGTTATTGCAAGATCTAGTTATCTAAAAGCATGTAGCACCTCCTCCAAACCCCTTCCTCCTGCTCTGACCATGTAAGACATGTCAGCTTCCCCTTTGCCTTCCACCATGATGGTAAGTTTCTTGAGGCCTCCCCAGAAGCCATTATGCTTCCTGTACAGCCTGTAGAACTGTAAGCCAATTAAACCTCTTTTCTTTACACATTACCCAGTCTCAGGCATTTCTTTACAGCAATGCGAAAATGGACTAATCCACTTTTCAAGCTCCTAAACCCTCTTGCAGACCCCTCTGTCCCGCTGCCCCCATCATGAAAGCGCCCTGCCTTGGCTGACCTCCCATGACTCGCTTTTCTTCCTTCCATGACTGCCAGTCCTGTGTGTTATTATTTCTAGGCTTTATTAGAAAGATGAATACATCAAAATAGAAATAACTTATATAAAAATTATATTAAAAACTCATCTTAACGATACTATTTATGATGAAAAGGGTGAGCCTGCAGAAGCCCTCTCACATGTCTCATGTGTCATGTTTTCCTTTACAAGGGTCCTTCTGCTCCTTAATCAAAGGACTGACTCACTCAGGCAGGGCACCTGCACCCTCCTGGTCAGGAATGTGAGTGTGGAGGGCAGGCAGCTTGGGTGCAAATCCTGCCTCTCGAACTTACTATGTGACCACAGGTGAGTTGTTGAATCATCCTGTGTTTCAGTTTCCTTACCTGTAAAATGGAGGTAATTACAGTGCTGTACTTACTCCGCTGAGTAAGAGGATTTAAGTGATAAGATAATACATGGAAAGTGCTCCATGGTGCCTGAGGTCCAGTAAGCACCAAGTGCTAGTCTTTACCGGGAACATCAAACACCAACTGGTGCTCAGCAAACACGAAGCCCCACACTAAGGCCTGGGAATACAGAGATCGTATACATGCCTCAGGCCTGAAAAGGGTTCTAAGATTTTAGAATTCCAAAGGTATCCTCACATTCACAAGCTGTGCAATTTGGGGATGGGGGACTGGGACGGACATTCAGTGCCACCTGTGTCTCCTGGCACCTCTACAACTCTAGATTGGGCATCTCTAATGTCTTTAGACTTTCCTCCACTGGAAAAAAAATGGAGACAATACACCTTAATCCACAAGTTCTTTGGAATGAGTATGGCATACAAGACACATTTGAGAAAGCGTCTAGGACAGACTCACCCCAACACTCACAAATGTGCATTTCCCTTCCTTTGTTTTTAAAAGAAGACCATAAACGTAACTTGAAAATACCTAGAAGAAGATGTGCCATTTAAATGAAAGTGATCTGTGATTAATTTTAAATCCTTCTATGTCCAAACTACAAGTCTTAGAAGATTGTGGATCGGTAATAGCTATAACTTCTCAAATTCCTCAAAATTTATTTTTTCATCCTGTACTGAAGTGGCTTACCAATGAACTAAGAAAGTTATATTGTAATACCCATTCTGGGGCTCTGTTTTATATAGAAGATGAGAAAAATAACAGTTTCTAAAAATAGGTAAGAAAATTACGTGAAAATGAGAGGTGAAGTGAGGAATGGCAAGAACTGTAGAACCAAATCAGTGGGCTGGACACATGAGGGACGGTGAGGGATGGTGTGGGAAGAACCCAAGTGGGAAGCTGGGCTTCCACTGCCTTGACCTCCACATCGCCAGGCTTCTCTGGCATGTTCCTTTGATCAATGGTCCAAAGAGGGAGAGACTCAGCTCTCACCCATGCACCTGAGTGAGTGACTGGGGAGACACAGCAAATGCTGAGTAAGCACAGAGAGCCTGTATCTGGTAGGTTTGATTGCTGGACAAGGCCATGGCCTAAGTTGCCTTGTATACTTATTCCAGGGACTTTTTGTCTATGTGTGAATGGAGTGATATGGATCCTTTACCACTACTGGAAACAAATAAGAAACCTCAAAGAATAAGTACTACCAACAGAGGGTCAGTGATGTGTTTTTGTATACCTTTAGCATTATCTAAATGCAGGGACATAAAAATGCATGGTACAAAAAAAAAACCCACTTAATTAACAATTTGCCATTCTGATAATTATACATAGAAGGCATTGTTTGGGTTTTTCTATCTTTGGTCACATCTTAGGGCTATTCTGATTTAAAAGTATAGAGTATAAAAGTCAGTGTGGCAATTTCTCAGGGATCTAGAACTAGAAATACCATTTGACCCAGCCATCCCATTACTGGGTATATACCCAAAGGACTACAAATCATGCTGCTATAAAGACACATGCACACATATGTTTACTGCGGCACTATTCACAATAGCAAAGACTTGGAAACAACCCAAATGTCCAACAATGATAGACTGGATTAAGAAAATGTGGCACATATACACCATGGAATACTATGCAGCCATAAAAAATGATGAGTTCATGTCCTTTGTAGGGGCATGGATGAAATTGGAAATCATCATTCTCAGTAAACTATCGCAAGAACAAAAAACCAAACACCGCATATTCTCACTCATAGGTGGGAACTGAACAATGAGAACACATGGACACAGGAAGGGGAACATCACACTCTGGGGACTGTTGTGGGGTGGGGGGAGGGGGGAGGGATAGCTTTAGGAGATATACCTAAAGCTAAATGACGAGTTAATGGGTGCAGCACACCAGCATGGCACATGTATACATATATAACTAACCTGCGCATTGTGCACATGTACCCTAAAACTTGAAGTATAATAATAATAAAATAAAATAAAGAAAAAAAAAGAAAATATTGCTGGACTTTGGAAACTACAAAAAAAATAAATAAATAAAGAGTGGAGAATAAGAAAGCTGGAAAAAAAAGTATAGAGAGGATAGATTTCATATATTTTTGCAATAAATGGCAACTTCCACATAACACAAATCCTGAAACTTTGTGGAAATGTTAACAAGGTAATTGTATAACATACAAAACACTGTAGGGAAGTATAGTGTTTAGAAATGCTTCAATTATCACCAAGGTGATGTAGTTAAATAAGGATAATAAAATATAATTAAACATTCATTACAGAAACTATCAAAAATAATTGACCTGTACAAAGCACAGCACTCCTATTAAAAGGAAACTGATGGATAATAAAATATATAGAGTATTCTGTCCTCTAGACATAATTATTCCAAGGCAGCAATTAAATTTATAGAAAACTGTTAAGTTTCTTCTGTGACGCTTTACTACTGTGAACTCAAGATGTTTTGAGTGAGAATTGCCTCCAAAAAATTCTTATGATTGTTTAACATCTTAACAAGAAGTACTGCCATAAATTTAAATATGTGTGTTATATACAAAAAAAAGATGAATTTTAAGATGCTTAGGACTCTGCTATATTTGTCATATTTCTGGTGTCCACAGGATTGACTTTTGCTCCAGTTGAAAATGTCTAATTCTTCTATAGCCAAATCTGAGCACAGTCTAATATTGAAGAAAAATTTAATGTTAATGCAAAAATAACATTCTGCAGAAAGAGTGACAGAATATATTTTTATGAATAATTATCAGGCCAAATTTTTTATACAAGTTTGTTTCTTCATCATTTAAGGAAGCGGGACACTGTTCCATGAAATCATTCCAGTGTCTTATGGGAAGCATAATGTCTTTAAAAGGGTACAAAAATCTCTCCTTTTGGCCTTTTTCTAGCATATTCAGAGAGTATTGAGAATTCTCTACATAGAGGCAGTTGTAAACATAAACTTCTTTACACTGCTGCTGGGGGTGAGAGGAGAATAGAATATATTTTTATACTGACAAATGTTTTAACCACTGGAAAATGAACATGACTTTAGTAGGTAAAATTATCATGTACAGGCATCAGAAAGGAAAAATAAAAGCAGAAAAACTGAGAACTGTGTGTGGAGAACAGCCTTCAAAAATCCAATTGTATTTCATCTTCCTCCTCATTTAGTCTTTTTTTTTTTTTGGCTGCAAAGATGCTTTAAAAATATATTGTTTTAGTCCAAAGATACCCCTGGCACAAGCGACAATAATATTACAGGGACATTAAATTAAGGAAAGAACCAACTGATATGTGTCTATGAGAGAAGAGCTACAGGGTGAGGAACTGGGAACAAAGGAGGAAGACACTATTAGCAAGCACTGGGGCCCTCCTTTATTGACGTGGGGGAAAAGTCTGAGTCCCAGAATGAATATTTCCTGAAGCAGAGCTGAAATGGAACTGTGACGGACATGTAATGTAAACCCTGATATCAAAAGCCACTGAAGTTGGAGGGGGGGGCTGTTTGTTACCGAAGCATAACTTAAGCATAAGCTGACTGACACAAAGCCTAACATCCAGTTTTTACAAGCAAGTTATGGTTTAAGGACCTGATTTTAAATGACTAAAAATGTTATCCCTCACCTGCAAAGCCTTGTTTTTACATTAAAATAAATTTAAATGATTTGGCAACATTCCTTAAATATGCCAGATTTTGACAACTCAAAATTATACCACTAAAGAAATTCCAGAGACATGTGTGTTCATCATCCATCTCTATTCATGACAGAACATTTCAGCAATAACTGAGCAAGAGGCAATTTTTTATACCTGGAGTGCAGCACTAGGTAATTCTGGCAAGGAGTTTCTGAGAGAGGAACAGAAAATGGAATAAGGAAGTCATTGATACTATATGGAAATTCACCACTGTTGCTGCCGTGACTGAAGAGGCAACGTGAGTTCTATGCCATAAGAATCATAATGTAAAATAGGTTAAGCATAAAACAAAATAATATAAGCACCTACCCACAAAAATTAAAATTTATGGAAGATTCGGCAGAAACAGCTGAGAGTGGTGCTTAATAAATCCCAGGCCTTGTGCTAAAGCCTTGGGTTATGAAGATAACATACATTCTGTTGCCTGTGAAATCTGAAAGGGGTCTGTAACTGCATGAACTGCAAAGACACCCTCACATTCACAGGCTGTGTGTGGACATACGTGTGTGTGTGTGTGTGCATGTACGTGTGTGTGTGCGTGTGTGTGTGTGCGCGCGCGCGCATTTTTAGGTAGAGACCAATTAGATACCTTATTCAATTCAACATAGACCCCTGAAAATCTGGGAGGTCATTCCCCTGTTATTGTTAAACAATTTATCACTCTTACTGGAAAGGAAGTAATGCTTAACACCTTAGGGTTGCATGCAGAAATCAATTAAAATCTAAAGACAATAATCCAGCATGATATTTCACTTAAATGAACCTCCACAGCCTGTCAAATTAGAAAATTCATTTATGTATGTGTGTGTGCTGTGGAAGGGGGAGAAAACAGAACACAGAGGGAGTCATTGTATTTCTTTACAGAATCAAAATGACACGGTGCAGTCACAAAGACACCGGCCCTTTGGTGTTGGCCTACAGAGCACTCACGAGGCAGCACAGTCTCCAAAGATGGCATGAAGTTTTAAAAGGACCAACTGGCCCATCCAGGTTAGAAAGATCTTTCACTAGTGCTGTCTGTGACAGACAATAAACCACTGTCAGGCTGCGAAGGTCTGTAGAAGACAGAAGTCTGCACATTAAGTCTTTTTTAGAGGGGAGTTCACTGAATGTGTGGAAACAAAGGCTTGGTCTTGTTCTGCCTATGGAACCCTCAGCATCTGAGGCAGAGGAGCAGGGGGTCTCTGGATGGCAGGCCAGGACTTCTAAAGCAGGCAGCAGGCCTGGCCCAGTCACACTCAGTCACTGGGGCTGAGGTCAGTGTGACACGCTTTTTAGATGCTTGAAGAATTCTTGGTAGACCTCACTTTGCCACAGTAATTAAAACGGGATGGTTTTCAAACTCCTGGGCAGTTTTACCCCTAGAATGAGGAAACTGGTCATTGTGATGCATCCTGCCCCAATAAGAACACTGTTTTAAGTTTTAGACACACCTACAAGAGGGACACGATCCAAACAAGACCGAACAGACAGACAGGCTTCAGAAATGTTGATGGGAAACCATAGATGCAAAGCCTGGAAAAATTGATGGAACTGAGTAGTTACCTCAAAAACTGGGGGATACAGGCAGGGCAACAGTGGCTCACGCCTGTAATTCCAGCACTTTGGGAAGCTGAAGTGGGCAGATCACTTAAGGTCGGGAGTTCGAGACTAGCCTGGCCAACATGATGAAACCCCATCTCTACTAAAAATACAAAAATTAGCTGGGCATGGTGGCACACACCTGTAATTTCAGCTACTCGAGAGGCTGAGGCAGGAGAATCACTTGAACCTAGGAGGTGAAGGAGCCGAGATCGTGTCACTGCACTCCAGCCTGGGTGACAGAGCAAGACTCTGTCTCGAAAAAAAAAAAAAAAGGGAGGACACAATGCGACACAATTCAATAAATATTTACTGAGCAACTTCCAGGTGGACGATCCTATGCTAAGCACCGTGATGGGAAATGTAGATAACGATAAGAAACAGCTTCTGTCCTTAGGGAGTCTGCAATCTAAATGGGGGACAGGGGAAGGGGAGGTTGAAAATAAGCAAGTCACAAACACAAAACAGGCCTGAGGAAACACACAGTATTATGACCTATGGGTGGAAAAGACCACGTTTCACTAGAGGACCTTTCTGAGAAACAGATAGGATTTTGGGAGCCAGAGGATTTTTGAGGGGAGGGTAAGGAATAAGAACATTATCAAGGCCGGGTGCGGTGGTTCATACCTGTAATCTCAGCACTTTGGGAGGTTGAGGCAGGAGGATCATTTGGGCCCAGGAGTTCGAGATCAGCCTGGGCAACATAGGGGGGCCCATCTCTATAAAAAATACAAAAATTAGCCAGGCGTGGGTCACAGCTACTTGGGAGGCTAAGGTGGGAGGATCGATTGAGTCCAGGAGTATGAGGCTGCAGTGAGCTGTGATTGCACCACTGCACTCCAGTCTCGGCGACAGAGCGAGACCCTGCCTCTGATAAATAAATAAAGGAGAGGACAGCAAGAGTAGATGCTGAGCAGGCAAAGACCAAATGCTCTTAGGGAAGAAAAAGGAGGTAGCAATTTAATCAGCTTCCTTTCTGTCAAAAGGCTAAGCCCTAAGTAGTTTGAATCCTAATAAAATATTGCTTTTGTTGTTGTTTGTATTAGAGACAGGGTGTTGAGCACCACCATCCATGCCCAGCTAATTTTCGTATTTTTTGTAGCAAGAGTCTGCCAAAAAAAAAAAAAAAAAAAAAAGAACATTATCAAGAATAGGACAAAGAGTCAGAAAACAAAATGTATGCGGCTGGAAAAATATCAAAAATAGTCTAGTTTTGGCTGGAAAATAGGGCTTGACAAGAAAAGGAAGATTAGCACATCTAACACATATTTCCAAGGCATATTTATACTTAAAAATTTTTATCACATTAATATAATGTTCTCATCACAGTTAGGAAAATGAAGCATAAAAAAAATCTTCCTCACAATCCCTCTGTTACACGTAATCCTTTTAGTCCAGCACATTGCAAGCGCTCACAGATTGCCGAGTTGAATGGAAACATGAACTTACATTTTAAAAAATAGTGTATAGCATATATATATATATATATATATATATGCGATTATTGGCATTTTTCCTCCAAAAATCAGTCATGTGTTTCTCCCCTTTCTATCTGCTTGTAAACACAGCCCGCTCTTGCTAAATCCATGTTCACAATATGTTCCCCATTTTAACCCCGTGTTAGCTTCCTCTCTACACCCAGCATAGCCTATGGCTTCCCCCTGCATCAACCAATCACATCTGCACCCAAGCAAAGGACCACAGATATTTTAACAGTAACCTAAAGAGAATAACCAAGGACAGGGATTTGTATGTGTGTTGCTTACTGTTACATTTCCAGTGTCTAAAACAGTAACTGGCACAGAGTGTGTTGATCAATAAATATTTTGTTGTTGAATAAGGTAAACAGATTTGTAAACTTACACAGAATAAGCCAAAATACAATTATGTATTTTATTTGCTTACCTGCTACTTAAGATTATTCATGGTATTAATAGAGTAGCACAATCAAGATTTTACAATAAACGAAATGTGAAAATGTATCTTTTAAAAATCCTTCTTTGATGGGCACTAGTGTTAACATCTGAGTAATTACTCCCCCAGAACTCATCTTTAAATGTTTAATTGTGTTTAAATAATAATAATACGGGTTAGCCTCTACTGTGATTTTTAGACTCAATCTGAACTTTCTGGTCATAAATAACGTCACACATTCTTAACTGTTAAAAAAAAAAAGTACCGTAGTCATTCTGATACTTCATTTAATATTACTATTTACAATTATTTTCTATGTTTACTGAGAAAATGACTAGCACCATATGGACTAACTCAGAGGTATCCTGCTGAGATGCTATGCTTTATCAACAATATGCTAAATGCTGCTCTCCTTATGACAACCCCCAAACACTTTCTCTTCTAACAAGTGCTTTGCTTCACATTACAACCTTTCGTTAAGAAGTCAAGCTTGCTCTCTCCGTCCTCTGCTCTTTCTTCTTTGCCTCCCTCTCCTGTCCTATCCTTTGTGCTTGCTTACATACTAGCTAGGACAGGGGTCCTCCAAATTCAGCCTGGGGCTTGCTGCATTTGGGGAAGAGACATTTGCAGGTTCCAAAATGGCCTGGATGTCAGCAGCAGTGCACATGGAAGAGGAAGGCGTTCCAGGACTCCTAGAGCACTGTGATATGCTAATCAGGACCCAGCCTCCACACTTGCCAACCCCCATGATGTGCGGCTCCTTCTGAGCTGCCCTGATGTAGCTGCCAAACCTGTGACCTACTTTCACACAGCCTTGTGCTCCTGGCTCCCCACAGGCAATGCCCTTCCACAGGGTGGACTTGCTATCTGTTTTCTCAAAACTGGAACTCACATTGAGCCAGCCAGATACCCTTTCAGCCTTTCAGTCCTACTGCCTGTGGAGCTTCAGTCATCATGTGTCAGCATTTTAAAAGCCACTCATTGTCACAGAGTTCTTCCCATCGCTCTTCTCCCACTAACATCTCCCCACCTTGCCTCCCACTCCCCCAGCATATGGTGAAGCAGGGCCAAGACAACTTGGGAAAGGTGTCTTGTTTTAAGATGCTAATCTCCAGCTTTCTGTTCCGTTCTACCAGCTAGAGGCCTCTTTCATGTGAAGATCATATACTTTGGGCATCACAACTGCTGAAAAACTGTGGTTATTAATTGCTCAAGTCAGGCTGGAAGATGTATTGATCTTTCCTCCCTCGGGGGCCCCGGTGTTTCTTGCCCATATCACTCACTTGGCAATTAATCACATTTTGCCTTGAGACATCTGCGGTTTCACTTTTGCCATTTTCCTTAGCTCTTTGTTCCCAACTGGCTGGTCCACTTGATGCACACAGGTTTTAGAGATTATCTGTCTCTGAGTTTTCCACAGTCCTACACAGTCCTACACAAACTGGGTCTCAAAAGTATTTTGGACTGACTTCTTGTCTGGAAAATTTCTTCCTGCTCCTCCCTGCTAAGCACAATGATAAACCCTGAAAATACCACAAGGGGCAGCCAAAGGTTCCATGTGAAAGGTGAAAAGAGTAAGGTAAACTAGTCAGAGACGCTGCCCTGCCAATAGAAGAAGGCAACCCGGACCTGGCATTTCCCAACCCACAGCCTATATACAGCAACAGAAGGCAGTCCCGGTAAGTGCATTCCTTCTGCAAATTGAAAGAGTCTCACCAACAAAACCAGGAGGGGTGGAATCCGCAAGGCGGATAGATCAATCACCCCACTGAAAAAACTTGGCCAGATGAAGCACTCTCCTACCTCTCTAGGCCTCAGATTCTCCTTCCCAACTCAGACCACCATGCAAGGGGGATCACCCAGCCCAGGAAGGGTTCTCCTTCCCTACCAGGCCTCAGAAACATGAGGCAGCTGGGCACACCAGAAAAGGGAATCCCACCATGAAAAGTACCCAGCCCAGGAAGCACTCTTTATCCATTTCCTTCTTATAGGCTACATACTCCACTGCTCCACATAATGCAGTAGGGAACCTGGCCTGACAAAAACTCCTTCCTCCTCCTCAAGCAGCTGCACCAGCAGCGCAAGATAAACCAAGCAGACCAAAGTAGCACTACAAAGGCTCTGAATGTTAAGTCATCCCTACAACTACAGTCCACAAAAGTAGCCTGTGTGCTAAATGTTAAAATGGAGACTCAAAATAATAGCCAGAATGTCAGGAGATGATAAAAAATCACCCATCATACCAAGAACCAGGAAAATCACAACCTGAATGGGAAAATACAATTAGATGATGCCAATGCTGAGATGATCAGTGTTAAAATGATGACACAAGACTTTTAAAGCTGTCATCAAAAAAATACTTCAACAATGAACTATAAACTATCTTGAAACAAATAAAACCAAAATCTCAGCTGAAAGAGAAGTTAGAAAAATGAACAATATTGAAACTGTATAATTAAAAAATACTATAACAGAAATAAAAACTGACTAGATGGGCTCAATAGTAAAGTGGAGATGACAGAGGACAGAATCAGTGAACCTGAAGACATATCAACAGAATTTACTCAATCTAAACAGTAGAGAAAAAATACATCTCATTTGTCTTTTCCGTTTTTTTTAAATATTAGCAACATCCACACTGATATTTAACTTCTTTTTTAATCATTAGAGTACCAAAAGGGAAGAGGAAAGTATGGATGAAAGAGTATTCAAATAATAATAATAATAATAATAATAATAATAATAATAATAATGGCTGAAAATTTCTTAAATTTGGTGAAAGAAATAAACTCACAGATTGACGAAATCCAAATAGGATAAACAAACCCAAGCAAATCCACAACAACACACATCATAATTCAACTTCTAAGACCTCAAGACGAAGAAAAAACCTTAAAAGCAGCCAAAGAGAAAAGGTGCATTACCTCTAGGGGAGTAACAATTCATATGATAGTAGATTTCTTGTCCAAAACCATGGTGGCCAGAAAAAATGTCCCTGACATTTGTCAAATACTGAAAGAAAAGAACTATCAACTGAATTCTATATTTGGTAACAATATTCCTAAAAAATGAAAGGGTAAATAAAGACATTCCTAAATGAAAGAAAAGAGCATTTGTACTAGCAAATCTACCCTTAATAAATGGCTAAAGAAAGTTCTCTAAACAGAAAAGATACACAGAACCAAGTTTGAAACTTCAGGAAAGTAAAAGAACATCAGAATGGCTAAAATTGATGGTTGAAGCAAAAATTATTGCAGCATCTGATGTGGTACACAATGTATATACAGGGAATACTTAAGACAATTACATTTAAAGAGAGGAAAGGATAAAGATACCCAAATGGCAGTCAGGTTTCTACATTCTACACGAGGTTTAACACTCATTCAAAGTGGTAAAACACTGATAGTGGCTGTGATATGTTTTTTATGTGTATTATCATACCTAGAGATACCACTAAGAAAAGTATACAAATAGATGTACTAAAAAACAAAAAAAAACCCCAAAAACAAAAATCACTGAAAACAAATCAACACAGAACCATTTTTTAAATGTTCAAATAACCCACAGACAATTAAGAAAATAGAAACAGAAGAATGAGGAGTCAGAAAAACAATAAAAGACTTAGCCCAAACATATCAATAATTACCTTAAAAGTAAATAGTCTTAACAACCAAATAAAAGACAGAGATTGTCAGAGTGGATAAAATAACATGATCCAATAATATGCTGTCTATTAGAAACTGATTTCACATACAACTTCATATGTAGATTGAAAATAAAAGGATAGAAAAAGATATACCATACAAACAAATAAAAAAAGGCAGAAATGGCTATATTAATATCAGATAAAGTAAACTTAAGAGCAAAGTAAAATACTAAAGACAAAGAAGAATGTGACATGATCATAAAACAATCAATTGACTAGGAAGGTGTAACAATCCTAAAAGTATATGCACCAAACAACAGGGCCTCAAAAATTGATACAGCTGAAATGAGAAACAGATAAATCCATAATTATAGCAGGGGACTTAAATACCCTACTTTCAGTAATAGTCAGAACTACTAGACAGAAAATCAGCAAGGATATAGAAGAAATGTACATCACAATCAACCAAGATATAATTGACATATATTTTAAAACTCTACTCAACAGCAGAATACACATTTTTCAAGTGTTCATGGAACGAATGTTCATCATGATAGAGCATATTCTGTGCTACAGAACAAAATTCTACAAATTTGAAAGAACTAAAATCACACAGAGCATGTTCTCTAGATCATAACAAAATCAAACTAGAAATCAATAACACAAAGACAACAGAACAATCTCCAGATACTTGAAAATTAAACATTCATTTCTAAATACTGAATGGTTCAAAGATGACATCTCAAAAGTTATATTTAAAAATCCATAGAATGTAATAAATATAAAAATACAACACATCAAAATATGTAGCATGCAGCTAAAGTAATGCTGAGCGGGGAATTTACAGTACTAAATGCCTACATTAGAATGAGGAACTTCTAAAGTATTACATGCAAAAATTCTCCATAAAATATTAGCAAATTAAATCTAGCAATGTACAAAAAGAATTATGCACCATGATTTATTTAGGATTTATTCCTAGGACACAAGGGCAACATAAGGGATCTTTGTGGTCATGAAACTCTTCTGTATCCTGACTGTGTTAATGTCAATATGCTCATGATTGTGTTGTAAGATATTAGCACTGGAGGAAAATGGGTGAAGGGTACACAATCTCCTTGTGTTTTTTCTTACAACTGCATGTGACTCTACAATGATCTCAACAATTAAAGCACCTGTGGATGCTGACTATAATTCAACTCAGCCATCAATGTTTAAGCAATGTTATGTTATAGAAGACTGACAGTGTCGTGGTTGTTGATACTCAGGGGTAAGACTCTCCAAAACTAGGATTTGAGATTGTTGTCTGAGATTTCAACTTTATAAACCACGCGAAATGAACAGAAGATGAAATACACAAATTTTCAAAAAAAATCACTATGATCACTATGATTGTTAGACATATAAGACTAGATTATAAGCTGACAGAACCCACCTATTCAAAGAAAGGACATGTGGCTCAGAAGGATGGTTGAAGAAACCATGCTAACAAAGAAACAAAGAAAGTGCACAGCATCCATCCCAACTACTTCCAGGGGAAAAGAAGCCTTAGTCAAATCTATTACTAATACCCTGTTGGTAAGGCATCTGCACCATGGAGGAAGAAACACAAAATTGTATTCATTGGACTTCAATTATTCCAGTCCTGCTCTCTTTCCTGGAGTGCACAGTAGATAAATGAAAATATTTAGAAATCCACATTAAACTTGCATCGGAAAACTGAGAACAATAGCTGAAATTTATGGTTGTACACAGGTCTGCCTTTGCTTTTTTCCTCTAAGCCCGCCAAGATCACAATCCTATATTCTTTCCAAAGCCTTTTAGTCCTTTTCCTGTTTAAATGAATAAATTGACATTCTGGTTTCACATGTTTGTCGTATTAGTTTAGTTTATGTGAATCCACTCTCAAGAGTTTGGTGGCAAAACTAGCCTTCTGAGCCCAAGGCCCAGCCTATGGGCTGTGAGAAATTCACCACTGAAATGGCACCAACCACAGGTGACCCGTTAGAAGTGGGGCGAGCTCTCAAGATGACGGACATTCTTTCTGTTTTGTGGTCCAGTGTGATCTTTCAAACCTACTAGTCATATTTCTGCCAAAACTAGCTAATTAGACATGGTGCTTTGTTCTTTGACTATATATATTAACACAAATGCCTCATGATGAGTAGAAATATACTATACATGAGATTTTTATTTTGACTAGCAAAAAATTTTGCATTTTTGTTTACTTTAAAGCACTACGAAAAATCCAAGATATTAAAATTATTACAATAGACAATGAAATTATTTTCTTCCAATACCAGATTTTGATATAGACTTTTATTAATAAATTTATATTGAGTTTTCCAAACCACATCCATCTTTCTCTGTCAGGACTCCCACCTAGTTTCCTAATGCCCAGTGCTCAAGTAGCCTGTCAGGTAAAAAGCAACTAAATTAGATGGACTTAATAGGTTTGTACTTAAAGATAAAGTAAAACTTACATGGCTGTAATGGCCAAAGATTACAATTTACACAGATGAAATACTGCCTAAAGGGTCATTTGTTATTCATGGACAAAAAATAATAATAATAACCTAGGGAAACTAAACCCAGAAAAGATGGTTTTAAAAGAAAATGAAGAGGCCGGGCGCGGTGGCTCACGCCTGTAATCCCAACACTTTGGGAGGCCGAGGCGGGCGGATCACGAGGTCAGGAGATCGAGACCATCCCGGCTAAAACGGTGAAACCCCGTCTCTACTAAAAATACAAAAAATTAGCCGGGCGTAGTGGCGGGCGCCTGTAGTCCCAGCTACTTGGGAGGCTGAGGCAGGAGAATGGCGTGAACCCGGGAGGCGGAGCTTGCAGTGAGCCGAGATCCCGCCACTGCACTCCAGCCTGGGCGACAGAGCGAGACTCCGTCTCAAAAAAAAAAAAAAAAAAAAAAAAAAAAAAAAAGAAAATGAAGAATGACAGAGGATATAATCAGTAAAATTCAATAGAGATATTATTTTTAAGTCATTGATAAATAAAATCTTTATCATAATATTTATGAGGAAAATAATTGATTCTGATTTAAATAATTTCATTAAGATAAATATGAAAATGGGAAGAAATTGGAAACAGATTAATAGCACTCTATGGAAAATTGATTATGGGAAGGAATTAAATTGGCTTAATGATGTTCCCTCAGGAACTTCATGAAAATTAATTCATGCTGGGCCAGTTCTGATTAAAATGTTTATATTCATAAGTTGGAAGTCAAAACATCCTATGTCCTGATGACATCACTGTGTTTCTTGGACTCTGCTGTCTTCCATACTGCAATTCTGCCTTCTCACAATTCTCACCCCAGCCCTTCCATTGCTCTTTCCCCCAGTCCTTCACTTCTGTGTTTTTCCCCATCTCTTACCCTTATACACAGGTACACAGGTATTCCCCAAGGTTCCATTTTCAGCCCACCTCTGTAAATCCTGTCTCCCTCCCCCTCTTCCTCTCCCAATTTCTCTGCCTCTCTTGACCACCCCCCCGCCCCCAAGCACTTTAATGCTGATGACTTCCATCTTCACATCTTGCCTGATCCTTTCTCCTGAGTGCCAGTTCTAGGCTTCCAATGCCTGCCTGACTCTTTCCTATGGACGTTCCACTGTTGCATTAAATTTGAACCATTCAAAACTGGATTGGCATCTTTCTCTATAACCTACCAGACACAGGGGTATGCTGGAGCTGGCTCAAACCAGCTTGTGAACTGACTGTGTCCATCTCTTCCCACCTCCACATTCAGTGGCACTGTCCTGGGGGCAGACTGAAATGGGCTTTGGTGAGGGCATTTACGCCATGGAAACTGGCAAACACAACAAGTAGAGCCCTTTGTTCACCAGAGAAAAAAGCACACCCTTGCTTATACGGTACCACCATATCCTTAAACAGCAAAGAAACTTGAAGCCATTTCAGGCACCTCACCCACCTTACCCTCCACATTTAATTAATTACCAAGTTATTTGTATTCTACTTCTGAAATGACTCTCACACAGCCACTTTCTTTCCAGAACCAATGCCACTGCCTTAGCCCAAGGTCACCTGTGTGTGCCTACGCTCTTGCAACAGTTTCCTAGCTGGTGTCCCTGACTGCCGTCTTTTATAACACAATCCATCCCTCACACAGCCACAGGATTGTCTCACTTTCAACACAGCCTGCAACATACCATTCTGCTTTAATGTCTCACCATGTTCTAAAGAACAAAGCCCCAAAACATCTCAGCAACAGTAGATCATTCTGTGTTCCCTGACCACAAAAACATGCACCTATACACATCCATCTTTGCCCTGTCCCGAGTTCCCTCATCCTCCTCTCAAGGCCCACTCAGCTGAGAAGCCCCTTCCCAGCTCCCCTCAGTAAGAATGAACTAGTCCCTCCTCTATGCCTACATGACCTTTGTCTTGGTGCCATCCTGTTCTTCTGGCCTCATGCTTTAGTGCCTCCCACTTGCTCAACTTGGTCAGCAACTGACTTCATTTCCTTCCATTTTTAAAACATACTTTTGCCCTTAAGTGGATTCTATTTTCCTCTCAACCATGTATTTTCTTCATTTTGCTTCCCTAACCCAATTGCAATTATCCCCAAACCATAAGCATCTACAGAGTTAAGGATGCCTACTCTGTCTGTCACAATCATGCAAGATGAAAGGATGTTTAACCCCAGGCTGGGTGTTCCAAGTGGCTGCAATTAAAGCAAATCTTTTTTTTCTCCACTTTGGTTGACTCTATGATTAAAAAAGAAAATGATTTCATTAAAGATAATTTAGTTGACATTTCTGCTTTGGTACAACTAGGAGTTGAGATGGCTTTCACTGCCCTGAAATAATTTAGCATGCAGGAACATCAAGAAACAAGGAGCAGGAGTGCCATCAACATAGACGAGAAACGAGAAACACAAAGGGAGCCACAGGGGACAAATGGCCCATGGTTAAGTTTGGTTTGTCATAAAAGGCATGGGCAGCCACAACAGCTTCCGGCTAGAAGGTGCATTGGCAACCTTCCTCCTGCCTTTCCCTTTATAAGTTTCACCTCCCTCTACCTCTCTTTGCTCCCCACTTCTTAAGCAACTGAAGAGACATCTTCTTCATCATGTGCCAAAATTTAGCAATGTGCCACTGCAAAGAAAGAGAACCACAGGCTCCAGGGTCCTAAGTGAGATGAGATGAAAAAGCAGCAAGAGGGAGTGTGGCTGCAGAAAGAGCACAGCAGGCTCTGGAGTCGGGCGGAACAAACTGACTTCTGCCCCACACTCCTGCTGTCCTCATAAGATCCAAGAAGAAGCAATGGAGTGTGGGAGCAGTTTTCTGGCTTCTTTCTCTCCATTGCTTGGGTATAAGGGAGAGGAGAAGATGGAGGTGCACTGCCCCAGCACATATTCCGCCTCTCTTGTTAATGACTCCCCATGGGTGTCAGGCCACAGCATCACTCCATTTCTACCCTCAGAGGTGACACACAACTTCATGTTCTCTTTGGGTGACTAGTGACCTCAGTTCACTTTGAACAAAACGTACTCACTGGTATGAAGATCCATGTTTGGACAACTCCTCTCACATATGGGATGGAGTAAACTCCTTTGTCTATGAAGACAGATTATTTCTTATTAATGGAAAGTTATTAACCTGAAAATCTGCACCATATCTACCAGATCATTTAGACACAAATTTTATTTTATTTTCATTTATTTATTTATTTATTTATTTTTTGAGACAGAGTTTCACTCTTGTTGCCCAGGCTGGAGTGCAATGGCACAATCTCAGCTCACTGCAACCTCCGCCTCCCAGGCTCAAAAGATTCTCCTGCCTCAGCCTCCCTAGTAGCTTGGATTACAGGTGCCTGCCACCCCACCCAGGTTTTGTTGTTGTTGTTGTTGTTGTTGTTTTAGTAGAGATGGGGTTTCACCATGTTGGCCAGACTGGTCTCTACCTCCTGACCTCAGGTGATCCACCCGCCTTGGCCTCCTGAAGTGCTGGGATTACAGGTGTGAGCCACTATGCCTGGCCAAATCTAGATACAAATTTTAAAATTAACACCTACCAATACAAATAATTTTTAGTATTTCTAAGTCTGAATATCCATTTAGTATCTTTTATAATTAGAACTTATGAAATTTTACACAGAATTATCAGAAAAGTGTCCCACATTTGTATAATGTTCTCCTCTTGCAGGCATTCTCTGTCTCAGTCTCATAGCAGTTCTCTGTGCTGCTCTCCGAATGCTGCAGGAGAAGAAACAACATATCGCATAATAGCAGACGAATGGTGATCTGCTCTGTGAGAGGTAAAGACATTTTCTGATAAGGGATAAAGGAAGAAAATGGCAAAAAGCACAGACGCAAAAAGATGTGCTCTCTAGTTTTTCTTTAGGGCATTTACTCGATAGCTAACAACAGACTGGGGTTGTCCGTGTACCGTCCTGAAGGGAGAGGTGTCCCCATCTTCTCCACCTGTGACCCAGAGACGTTCCTTCTCTTTCCAGATCATCATCCTGACCCTCTCCCCTGACCATCCTTTCTCCCCTTCTGCTTTCAAACAATCACAGATCTTCTACAGCTTGAAACAGCCACTGATTAGTGCTGCTGCTTTTCTAGAAAACATCTCCCTCCCTCACCTCCCGTTTCCTTTCTTCATTACTAAGTTTGGTTTAGAATCAATATCTCTATTTCATCATCACCCACCCACACACTTTGACTTCCTTCATGAGCTGGCTCAAATTCTTTATTAAACTATTTTTATTGCTTGCATAAAAGTCAACGACAAGCTTCCCTTCACCACAGAAACGAGCCTTCCTCATAGCCTCTCCAGGCATGGGACAGTTTCCCCTGCCCCACTCCTTCCGGACATGCTCCCCTTCCTGCACGTCCAAGCCTCTAACCCTCCTTCTCCTCCCTTTCCTATTGGGGTCTACCGTTGCCCCTAGTGACGCAGGGGCTTTGACGTGGAGTTCTTAGCCTCCTGCTCTTTCTTCTCTATGTCTCCTTCCTGAAGAGCCTGAACCACTGTGCGGATGAAGACATGGGGGAGGCGTGTCTCACGCACCTTTGCTCTACCTCCCGGGCTTCCTCAGCACTCACTGCTTGAGATCCTCAACCGTCAACCTGGCTTCTCCATGCTCACAAGGCTTGCACTCCCTAAGTTTCCTAAGTGTCTACGTCTATAATACGAGCATTGAAATATCTTTCCTGCCTGATCCAGAGGGTGGTTGGAATAATGGAATGGTTTTTAAATCTTCATAAACACCTACAGTATTGGCATATCAATTATCCTACCAACCCCCTGACTCTAAATAACTCTTTTTATTAAGCCACAAGATCTAAATCCTCTCCAATTTGTTCTCCCTTCACCTCGGTGGGATGGTGAATCTCCAGGTCCTAGGGTTTTCCTCTGATGTGTCTCACAAGCCCATTCTTGCCCGTCCAGTTCCTCTTTCCTCACTCTTTCTGCCCAGGTCTCCGTCCGCCAGGACTTGCTGCCTGCAATAGTTGCCTAATTCACACATTTCCAATTTTCCCTCTTTGATCCATTCTGCTACCCCCAGAATAATCTTCCTAAACCTTAATTTCTACCACATCTCATCCCATTCCCTAAAATGATTATAGTTCCCACTATGGCCAGGAAAATATCCAAACTCTTCTGGCTGACTCTCAAATTCTCTACAATATAACCTTTTCTCTCCAGCCAAAATTATTTCCAAGTCATTCCAAAGCCACAACCCACAACCCACTACTCCTAAATGTAAATGTCATAACTCCCTTTGCAGCTCCATGTGTGTGCCTGTGTCTACGTTTTAAATTTATTTTGCATAATTCACACTGTGCAGTCCACTGTTGACTGAGCATGTAGTTTTGATCCACTTTGTATTGAAAACTCTAAGCAGGGTAATATGATCATAAAATATAATTTGAAGGGCATTTTGGTTTAAATAATGACTCACCATCGAGCCCTCCATTGGGGAGTCAGGCCCAGAGCCAAACCAAAAAAAATGAGCGACAAGAGTCAATGCATTAGTTAGAGGCTTCAGCTCAGTATGACTGATCTGGAAACATATCCTGATGCCTGGTTAAGAAAGCTTTATGGCAGAAAAAAAAGAAAAATTTGAACTGATGTCCTCTGTCTAAATCATGAATAGGAAAGCAAAAAAGCTTGATGTGTCTGTTTTAAAAATAAAAGAAGGCTAAATCCATTAACAGGTGAAACAACTGACAACGGACCCACATCAAGCCAGAGTCCTTCTCAGCATCACAGAAATCTCCTTACCTAGGGCCAGCTGACCATCTGCCAGATGGCTAGTGGTTCTAAGAAATCCACCAGGGACCAAAAGCAGGGGACTATAAGATTAGGCATCACACAAATGTATTCCAAATCCTGGAGCTGGGGTCACTGATAGTCTACTACAGAAATCAAAAGAGGTGCCTCAGAAGACACAGGCTGGCTTCACAGTCATCCATGTGTCTACCCTGAGATCTCAGAGGTCACAGGAAGACCCAAAGATCTATCCAGCAGAAACATTTGGACAGAAGCAAGTCCAAGAGAATTCTTTATATTCACAGCTGCTACAGTTGGTCAACTCTTGATTCAGGCAGGTTTCAAGCAAGTCCTTCTTCCCTCCCTGGTCTGCACAGGGGTGATTTTAGGGAATCATAAGGGAAGAAGGGGACGTTTAGAAAAAGACAAAGAGTGACACCACACACAGAGTTTCATGGAATGTCCATATTGCTTGCCTTTTCATCACAGATAGTATTTTACCTCATTAGTTCATTCATTTGACACACAGTTATTGGGCCTTTATGGTATGCTAGGCATTTTTAGGTGCCAAGGATATAGCAATAAACAAGACAGACACAGCCCTTAGTTTGTTAAGGAAGCAGGCAATAAGTCAGCAAATGAATAAGATAATTGCAGACAGTGCTAAGTGATATGAAGAATCTGTAAGTCTACAAAGAATGGAGAGTGACTGTAGAGTGGTCGGGAACTTTAAGCATGGTCAAGGAAGGAACAGGAAGGAGGCAAAGATATGCCCCCAACTCCTCGCTCAACTCCCAGAGATGAGAGGTGCCTCTTGGCTCCAGCTCTGCAGCCACTTCTGCTCAAAAGGTACGCTGCGTTGCTTTCTTTATTCCTTTGTTAAACCTGGCACCAGCAAAACAGGCACCTCAACACCTATAAATGGTTAGGAATAGATGGGCATGCAAGCTTTTCTCCTCTACTGATTTTACTGGGCATAATAGTAGGCTTTTTGATATACTTGATCTGATCAGAAATAAACCCGAAAACAACACATGATACCTGTAATTGTTTTCCCTGGTTTACCTTGTGTCATTTCTAAGGCTTAGATTCCCATGACCCCCAGCTGTTCTCCACTGAGTGCTCACTGTAGAGAAAGTTGCTCTTCTTTTTCTTCCTGTTCTCTAGACGCACTTACCTCTCTAACTCTGGTCTACGCCTCCTTATCAAGGCACAGATGCAGCTAAAAAGCATTCCACCTGCTCCCTAGCAAAGGACTTCTTTGTTAAGCTTTGACATAAGGAGGGAAAACAGAGACCTCAGGACTTCTACTGTGTTGACATTGTTTTAAGCAAGGTGGGAAAAGAGAACAGATAAGCAAGTCGTTCTACTGGCTCCACTTTCCCACCACCTAAGTCAATTCAGAGTATTTCCCGAACATTTTTTACCCATAGATTCAGATTACCCCTAAGACAGATGGTTATGGTTTATTCCGTTTTGTGCACACAGGGGTAAAAGTCACTTAAAATTGGACTCAAATTACTTCAAAGTTTGATACCTGCCAATCACCATTTCATCTTGGGTATACAAAACCATACTGCATAAGCTCCAATTGCCTGATTCTAATTTTCAATGTTTTCCCCTTTTTAGGTAAATACCATCTTCAGTTTTTTTTTCCTTTTTTTTTTAATGAGCAGTTTAATGGAAAATAATTGCTCCAGGTACAGGTCTTCTAGGCACATTTTGTCTCTGCAGCTATTGTTTTAATTAGTGGGCCTGCTTGTTCGCTGTCCCTTTGTTGTGGCCCGCTCTGGGGCAGGGGTGCCCGGGGAGGGTTCCTCTTGTGGAACGCAGGCGTTAATGAGCCATTTCAGTAATAAGAGTCCTGCCTTGAGCCAGAAGTCAGAGCACCCAAGACACCCCAAGCAGCAGAAATGCTCATGAATTTCTGAAACTGCCTTTCTAATTTGCATTTAAACATAACTTCCAAAGAACAATTTCACCTGTGATTTTCTGAGCTGGAAAGGTAAGGGACTTTAGATGTTGAATATGTACAAATTATGTTAATATAACGGAGGTAAATGAAAGTCAAATGCATTGTCATGTAAAATGTAGACGTCTTTTCTAAATGTCTATTTTCTACCAAGGCTTGTTTTATTTTCCCCCTAAGTGAAATGTGATAATTTTTTTTAATTAAGTGAATCTCTATAATAATTCCTATTTGATTGAAACTGATTATTCCTCATTTTCCTGTAACCTAGACTTCGGAAACCTCAGCAAGAGGAGGCTTAGTTGGTGCCTGGTGACTTCCTACAATGGATTGAAACCAATCTAATTTAACACCTGTGTGCTCATCAATAAGTGTACTCAAGCACAAAAGTGAGCACAGTGTTGAGCGATTCTGACACTGACTGCATGACAACCACAGACTCTGTATCCAAACACTCGCAGACAAGAAGCTAATTGCAGTGATGAAAGGCACACCACTAAAAGCATGAGTAATCGCTGCAGTGATGCACAGATAACCCTCTCTCCTTTACTACCAGGGTGCTGCGGCATTTATCTCAAACCTGTCTCTACCCAATCTGACAACCTTTTGTCTCTCTGACCAATGGAAAATGGAAATGATTTTTCACTACTGTTCCCGCAGCAGTGAAGGGTCTCTTCTGAGTGTGGAGATTTAGTTCAACAGTTGAGTATAAAACAAATGCAAAAGCTGACATTTGTCATCCATGGCAGAAATAAAAGGCTAATTAATGAGATCTGTTGGAGTCCCTTCTCCCAGTGCACCCACTGGTGCCCATGGAGAATGCACACTGCCTTCCCAAATTGTGACACGTGTGACAAACTCTACCAGAGTGAATGATGGTCTGGGAAAGGTATGGCAGTGCAGCTCCGTGGCATGGTGAAAGGAAGAAAACATCATCAGGTTTCAATTCAAGGCAGTGGTAGTTAATAATGGACTTCCTGAAACCTGTAGCTCAATCACTAAGGGAATATTAAGATTTTCCACTTGAAATAACCAGGATTATGTGGGCCATCCTAGAAGCCTGCTGAACTGGAATGCATTCATACCCTGGTAATCATATTAACTTACTGTTAGGCCAAGGTCAACTTGATTTTGTGTTTCACCAAAGCTCACTGGGTCTTTTCTCTTGACAGCCATTGGGCAAGTGAGGGATACACGGTTGACTTGAAGCTGGAATCCACCCAGACCCAATGAATCACTGACCTCTCATTTTTAACCCTAATGAATTGGGGTAGAATTAGATATTTTGAATTATCATACAAAGCAGAGTAAACCCAACAATCTATCAAAATTATCTAACTATCTAGACTGAACAATTTTACTTGGAAAGGATATACCTGCTTATGAAATACTAATGATGACAGCAAGAAAGTCTGATTTCAAATCTATGGGTGCCAACATTCTATGTATGGTCATGGAAATACATATGTAAACTTGATACACTGACAAGTCATTTCCTATGACATTTTGCCAATCAAAATAAAGTAAAATGAAGAAAATTGTTTAGAAAATCTGGATCTTGTTTCCTTAAGGTGTATGTAGGAGGAAGCAGTAGGAGGCAGGAGGCATTTTCATTTTTATTTTACTGCACCAGTGTTTGGAGCTCAGCAGCTGAGATGGGGTGAGTAACACATGAGCTTTGATGAGCAATTGTGGACACAGCCCTTTTTGCCAACATCTCACTCATTACCTTTTCCCTCCACTTTTTTTTTTTTTTTTTTTTGCCAAACCACCCTACTAGATTATAACAGTCTGCATCAAGAAACATTTCATTTAATTCTGGAAAGGCACAGCCATGGAAATAGAAGATTAAAATGAAAAAAAAAAAAAAGAAAAAAGAAAAAGAGAAAACCCACACAAAAAAAATGAAACTAAGAGATTCTGAAAGCAGCATTTCCTAATTAAGAAGGCCCAAGAAGGTGACAGATGTACCCAGGTCCCCACAACCAGCCAGTGGCAGAACCACCAGAAGAGCTCATTTTCCTAGTGCCTGCCCAGGTTTTTTCTACAATGCTCACAGCATTGCAAGGAGGAGTTAACGCCAATTCTTATTCAAAATTAAATTCTATTAGATATTAAGGATTTCTGGTGGGAATACTTCAGAAATGAAAAAGTATTTTCAATTTAAATTAAATTAAATTTCCAATTAAGTCACAGAGAACTGTACTTCAACAGGAATCTCTTTTACTCTACCCCTTTACAAAAGAAATATTTCACTTTTTTTCTTTCTGGTCATCAATTAAGAGTTTTATGTAAAATGTGTCACTTTCATCTCTGATTAAAACGCATCCTATTTTAGGTTTTGAGATTAGAAGCTGAGGCCCAAGGACTCAATGAAATTGTATGGCATCGTTCCCGCAGATATACATACATATGCTCCTAGGAAAAAGGTTCGTAGCATTTATCAGATTTTCAACTGGATCTATAACTCTTCCAAAAGATTAATAAGTTCTGTTCCAGATAGAGCTGAGGTTTTGGCAAAGGTAAGGAATCCTTACTAAAGAATCTTGTTTCTCTCAATAGCCCCTAAATCTCTTCAACTCACATAATTGCTTTTAAATTCACAAAGGAAATCCACAAGGCCTACAAGGAAAAGCAAATTCCAGCCCCCACTAAAACGGGAATGGACAGCAACTGATTAATTCTGCAGTAATGAAAATTTAATATAAAACCTTTAATTTCATTTCAGGTAGCCTGAACTTCAGATTGGACATTTTCAGTAGAAAACCCATTTCTTTTTGTTCCTGTTTTTTTTTTTTTTTCCTAAAAAAGGCTTATATTTACTTGATTTGAATTTTGCTAGCATGCTTTTTCTTCTGAATTCAAGTGACTAGAACTGAAATTATTCCACCTGGGGAGAAGAGACAGCTGAAAGCCAATTTAGTATTGGTTTTCAAATACATGAAGGGTACTCAGAGAGAGGATGATTGCCAAAGAAAATGGTCTTTGAACCATAGAAAGAATCTGAGCTTGCTCTAAAGTTAAATTTCCTGACTTACAGAGTTTATGACATTAAACTGAGAGACCAAGGGATCCTTTTTGGAGACTTCAAAAATAGGATAGATCCTTAAATGCCTGAGATGGCTTGGATGTGGCTTTGTCTGAAGTCAGGAGGATAAATCTTACCACTGATGGTCCCTTCAGGCGTGTGAATCTATGGGTTTGACTGGCATGTCAGAAGCTAGAATGCCAGCCCAGGACATCTAGAGAGTCATCTCTCCAATGCTGGGTAGCAGTCTATCAATCGCTCTCACTGCCTCAACATCTCTCAGCTCGCCTCCACCACCATAGGGAACCCAAGGCCTGCTCCTGTCTGAGGCTGATTTCCAACGTGGCAGAGAACTCTGCTCCCTCACTGTACCACAGCCTCCACCAATCCCTCGGAGAGCCTAAGTTTTTGAGAAAAACAAAAAGAAGTCTCATCTGTGGTAGTAGAAATTGTGTGAATGCCAATTTTTTTTAAAAATCAGTATTTAACTTTGTAGCACTCCTTTTTCCTTCTTGAGGAAAGCTAATAGCCCAGCTCTGCTTCCAAAACAAACGTCTCTAAGATTGGACCAGTCTTTGCTTTTCTTTTTGCTGGACAACCTTGTCCCAACTTAGAAATGGAGGAGATATCCATAGCCTTAGACCTTCAGATTGGGCTCAAGAGCCTTTGTGTGGACCCAAAAGGGGAACCCTAGGGGACACACAAGGAGCTGGAAGTTCAACTCCCCCTTCATCTCACCTGTTGTGGCCTTACAGGCTTAGAAGTGCAGAGTTCTTCAGGGATCCTGGAAAACCTCTGGTCAAACCTCATCTGCAATGCATGCCCCTTAGTCAAAGCTCCCAGTATTTGCCCAGCTCCTGCTGGAGCTCCTCCAGAAAGAACTCCATACTCACAATCAGCCCATCCCAACACTGTCCTGCTCTAAGGAGGAGAAGAGCTCAGCTGAAACCTGCCTCTTCCTCTTGTCCTTACATGTCCACTCCACACTAGTCTGTAAAACTCCTGAAGATCTAAATGCAGAGAACGTTCACCTGGGCAGTAAAGTTCAAAGAGAGCTGTACCATCTGCTGCCTCTGAGGTTCAGGAGGAGAATTCCTATTAGGTTAATGCCATTTCCCCTTTTAAAATGAAACAAAATCATCTGAAAAGCATGTCTGAACATGCTTTATAAGTTAAGACTGCTCACAGAACTCTGACTCCCAGGAACTACAAATCTAAATAGGATAAACATGTTTATATGTGAGTGCCTGTTGTAAAGCTAAAAACCCAGCAGATACCAAAAGATGCTAATAAGCTCAATATGGAAAAATTACTTAGAAAAGGTTTATGTTATGGTCTTAACATTGCCAATGCCTAAATTATTTATTGGTCAATAAAAAAACCCAATGCATCAATAAGAGTAATATTAAAGTGGAAGTTATTAGCAACTTCTAAGACAGGCCCAGCAGCTGACATGACAAATACAAAAGCTGGACACCATCGGGATAACGGGAACATCATTCTCCCCCCAGACAAACCCAAGGTGCCACGTGTGTGCATGGCATGGCAGGGAAGAGATGAACAACCACTATAATCTCACTATCTGTGTCCCCACAAAATTCTCATGTTGAATATCATAACCCCCAAGGTGATGATATCAAGAAGAGGGGCCTTTGGAAGGTGACTAGATCATAAGGGCAGAGCCAGTTGAGAATGGTGCCCTTATAAAAGAGACCCCAGAGAACTGCCTTACCCTCCCACCACGTGAGGATACAGCAATAAGATGTTATCTATGCGGGCAGGCCCTCACCAGATAACGAATCTGCCACCACCTTGATCTTGGACTTCTCTGCCTCTAGAATGAGAGAAATAAATGTTTATTGTTTACACATCACACATACTCAGTGTATGGTATTTTTGTTACAGCAGCCCACATAAACTAAGACAGCAACTAACAGGATCAAAGGCAGGTGGTGGAAGGACTGACTACATGGGCTCTTCAACTGAAGAGATCAACGCAATGATCTCTTCAATAGAATAGTCTGTTGAAGATCTGGAAGTATATAAATAGGGCATATTGTATTAATAGATATATTTGCTTGCCTCCCTAGTATCCTCAAAAGATGAGGACCGGGACTAAGTTGTTCTTGTATCGTGCAAAGACCCTGCAGTGTGTTATATACAGTGTGGGTTTACAGCAAAGATTTATACTGAACTCCACTGCTTTTTTTCCCAAGGGAAAAATCAGTGCCTAAGAACTAGCTCATCTTAGTGAGAGGCAGCCTGTGAGATGGGCTCTTGAAGAAAAGGGGTAAGAAGGCTGATCCAAAGCTCAGAACAGCTATGGCTCTGAGGCTGAGAATATTTAGATTCAAGGAGAAGTCTCATAAACCATGAGAAAGGACTATTCAGATTCCATGAAAAGGAGAATAAACAGCTCCCCATCTTTAGAAATTTTTTTAAATTCTTTATCTCTTTTTTTTTTTTAAGTTAGAAACAGGCAGGCTGGAGTGCAGTGGTATAATCACAGTTCACTGCAACCTTGAAATCCTGGTGTCAAGTGATCCTCCTGTTTCAGCCTTCTGAGTTGCTGGGATTACAGACATGCACCACCACGACCAGCTAATTTTTAAATTTTAACTTTTGTAGAGATGGGGTCTCTTTATGTTGGCCAGGCTGTCTCAAACTCCTGGCCTCAAGCAATTCCCCCTCTTGGGCCTCCCAAAGCACTGGGATTATAGGCATGAGCCACTGCACCCGGCCTATTCTGTTCTTTACCTTTTATTTTTAAAAAATCATTCCCTAGTTCTACTATCTCTATATTCAAAATCCTCTTTCCCACTATAAATCCACTATCTGAACTCCAAATATCACCAAGAACCAGAATTCCATAAAGTACAGGCAATGTAGATACGCAAACATGGCTCTGAGAATCTTACTGCCTGTATTTCTCACTCTCTATGGTTTTCAGCTACACCCCTCTTGCCATAATTGTGTGCCCTTAATTAAATCTAAGTTTCCAGCCATTTTTTTTAATGTGAAAACTCATAACAATGTCCTTGGGTTTATAGCACCACTATTGTCATAGCATGTTATTCAACCTCAGCTAGTGCTTGACTTAACAGAAAATTCTGAGTTTCATATTCATTGTAGTAACATCAGTTGTGGAAACAAATATTGTGCTATTTGCCTTTCCCCTGCTGTTCCTCGATCTCTTTTCAGCCTCAAAGGCTGTCTGGTACACTTGGTTCTTGTGCCAGGATGGAAGACACAAGATGAGTCCTCAGAGACGTGGTGTCAAGGAGTCCATGTTTTCTTTCCTCTAAGTGCAGACAGAATGACTCTCTGGAAGGAGCATACATGAGCTGGCAGTTAGAGACAGCACAGCTCAGAAACAACTGTGCTGGAGGGACATGAAGAAAGGCAATGATTTCTCTTTCCCAATATGTGGCAATTTTCAGATGTCAAAGGAATAACAGACAGATATACCCTATGAAAGGATTTGATTTGTGGCAACTGCTTTTCTTTTCCTGATTCCATTAATGCCAGGTTTCTTGGCCTTAAGCAGAGAGCCAGGTATTTTCTTTTTATTTAGTGCTCCCTGGGCAGTTATTATCTGTATCAATTTTCCTTTATCCAGGTTAATTCTCTTAAAAATACATGCCTTTCAGTCACTGTATTGTATTTAACCAAAATATCTGTTGGTACAACATGCTCTTGTAGTTCATCTAAGGCACCTTTAAGTCACAGAGTTATTTTTAAAGTATATGAGTTACTTCTGATTATAAAAGTAATTCAGGTTCACTGTAACAATTGGAAAAGAGCAAAAAGAAATGAATAGCTCATAATGCCACCAATCAAGATAAGCTCTAGTAACAGACTGCATATTTATAAAATTGGGATCATCCTCTATATATTGTTTTTATATACTTGTTTTTCAGTTAACATATGAAAATTTTCTTATGACATTAACTCCTCTTCAGAACTATGTGGTTTTTTGTTTTGTTTTGTTTGAGACGGAGTTTCACTCTTGTTGCCCAGGCTGGAGTGCAATGGCGTGATCTCGGCTCACTGCTGCAACCTCCACCTCCCAGGTTCAAGCGATTCTCCTGCCTCAGCCTCCCAAGTAGCTGGGATTACAGGCATGCACCACCATGCCCGGCTAATTTTGTATTTTTAGTAGAGATAGGGTTTCTCCATGTTGGGGAGGCTGGTCTTGAACTCCCAACCTCAGGTGATCCGCCCACCTCAGCCTCCCAAAGTGCTGGGATTACAGGCATGAGCCACCGTGCCCGGCCCAAAATCATGTTTTAATATCACATTAGGGCATAGAGATTTTTTCCAATTCCTTGAAGTGTTTAATGAAACTATGATACATATTCATGCACCCAATCTTTTAATTGTCTTCACTCATATTCCAAATTGCTCTTCATAAAGTTAACAACTATTTAAACTTCTAGAAGGATACTAGAAGTTTAGATTAGAATCTTGGTTCCCAATCCTTCACTTTTTCAAGTGAAGGATTTCAAGTTTTGCCAGTTTGCTAGATAACACATTATGACAATGATATTTTTATTTGCATGTCTTCATATTCATTTTCCTACATGTTTTTGAATATCTGGAATCTTCTTTTGTGAATTGTCTGCTCAGGACCTTTCCCTATTGTTTTTAGAGCACTGGGGCTTTTTCTAATTGATATATAAGAGTACTTCATATCTTAAGGATATTAACAAACTGTCTGCAATGTTTTCCCAATTTGTCATCTGCCTTTGAATTTGAGATCATGTTTTTAAAAATGCAAACAAATAGGAACTTAGTATTTCTCACATGAGCTTCAAAATGCCACTTACAATAATCAGATGCATGTTATGTTCTTGTCCATGGACTGTTAACTACTAGAGTCTTTTTTAAAAAAGAGAGCCCTGAATTGTCAACTGTGGGAAGACAAAAGAAGCCAGTACCTTCTGTTGCTTTTTTGCCATTCATAGTGCCAGGACCTGGCAATGCCTCAAAGCTGCTATTCCTGCACAGGGCTCTTCCTCAGCCTGGAGAAGACACACACAAGCAAGCGAAGGTGGGTGGGACCAAACTACCACCTTCTGGAATTCAGTTTGGCCTTCCAAGGTGACTGATATGGTTTGGCTGTGTCCCCACCCAAATCTCATGTTGTAGATTCCATAATTTCCATGTGTTGTGGGACAGACCAGGTGGGAGATGACTGAATTATGGGGGCAGGTCTTTCCCGTGCCGTTCTCGTGATAGTGCATGGGTCTCACGAGATCTGATGGTTTTAAAAATGGGAGATTCCCTGCACAAGCTCTCTCTTTGCCTGCTGCCATCCACGTAAGATGTGACTTGCTCCTTCTTGCCTTGCCTTCCGCCATGATTGTGAGGCCTCCCCAGCCATGCGGACCTGTAAGTCTATTAAACCTCTTCGTTTTTGGAAATTGCCCAGTCTTGGGTATGTCTTTATCAGTACCATGAAAACAAACTAATACAGTGACCAAACCAAAAGAACATAAACATAACAGAAAAATGCAATCCAGCTTAGGAGCTTAGGCAACCACAGACACTAAGTTACCTGAATTTCCAAGTTTCATTCTGGCATGCTCACTACTGGAAACATTCCTTATGACTCTCGAGGTCTCAGTTTCCAACTCCCCTCATGCTATGGACCCAGGATACTGAATCGACTAGACATTTGTAGAAAACTTTAAATGTGGAGTTTTTAACTCATAATGAAACTAAAAACCAGGCAATCAAGAAAGGAATTATGATTTAAAAAAATACAGAAAATCAGAACAGAAAAAAATTCCAAATTAAAGATGGGAAAGTTCAACAGTGGAGGAAACAGAACATTATGCTTTATGACTTAGGTTCGCTCACCTATAATGACCCAGGTAATTGCCATATATGGGTAACCCCTGAGGAACAGGATGTAATCTTAGTCACAATTTGTAAGTACTCATTCATACTTCAAGTACATAATCAGGCATACAGAGTATAATCCATACATAGTTTAATAAAGACAAAAGTCTCAGCCCCTTAAAGAACTATCCAGGTGTCTGTGGCTGATTGGAACTCAAGCGTAAGAGATTAGAAATGTATTAAATGAAATCTAACTTCTGCTTAATCAGAAGAGCCTGGTACAAGTATGTGATTAATTCAAAGTTTTCCTTGAAGAGGATGGTCTCGTCAAGTCATCAGCTACCAGCTATCCAATGGCAGAGGTGGCAGAGCTGACTGAAGCCTATTCTTCATCTAGCCCATTTGCTCCATCCTGCTTTGAATGGTTTACAACATTCCAATCCTTCAGGTAAAGGCTGTTCCCCAATAGATCTTGATCCTATCTCTGTTTTTTTTTGTTAATCCAAGATGATTCAATTCTTTTTCTGTGTGCACTACTTCTGAATTATTTGTCAATGTCTTTGTGATTACTATTATAATTATTGTTATTAATATAGCCTGGAATAATATCAAATACTTGACAACATCTCTGCTAACCAGGCAGCGACTTGACCTTCAAGGGTCTGCTGTTGTTTGCCATCTGAGGGGAGAACCTCAAGGGCAACAGGACCAGTCTCCTTTTATCTACTGACTTCAGAAAGGCTGGAAGGCAAAAAACATAATGATCTGGGCAATCTAGGTGAGAAAAATTCACTTTTCCCTGAATTCTCTGTGTAAAGAGGCTTTAATGGACTGAGTTACTCAGGTAATTGTTCTGCATTGGTCTGAGTTTAATCAAAAGAAGAAAGAGGATAATGCTGTCAGGGAAGCAGTTTTCAGAAGGTTTAGAGTTTTGCAATTGTACTACAGAGCTCCGAAAAGTGCCAGCAGAGCAGAAAAATTAATGTAAATAACATTAGTTTTAATTTCATTCATTTTGGAAAAAAAAAGCAACTTCAAAAAGGTTTTTATAAAACTCTGGTTTTCAAGCATGAGAAAGAAAAGCTATTTTACATAAAACAAAAAATAAAATAAAAAAGCTCTTTTAAAAAAACAAAAAGATCTTTTACATAAAATGAAACAAAATATAGAAGGGTTTTGCCCCCAGATTGTAAGAATAAGCTTTGTTTTTGCATTTGTTTTAGTCTTTTATTTTTTAATTTCACAACATAGTGTAAATTAAAATTTAAAATGTGAAACTTCAAGTGTTAAGGCAATTGTGGCTAGAGCTGAACATAATATGGACAGTGAAGAAATACACAATGTATCCAAGATTGATATGTAGGTATCAATTGCTTCCAGTGAAACAGTTCATTGACTTCTCTACAGGAAAGGAATCTATGAGCTTCTAAATCCAGTCCTGAGTAGAAAATTATAACAGTGAAAGAGATCACTTTCACTCAGCTTCCATTTCCAGTTTTATGCGAAGTCCTTACTTTAGTATGCTAGGAAACATATTGAGAGGAAATAAATATAGTCCCCTTCTGTGGCAGCCTGGACCAAGTATTAAGGTTGCTTAAGAACTAACCTGAAAGATCATCTAAATGTGTTTTTGCTTTGTTTGGGTAACCTATAGGATCAAAAACATGCTACAGCTCTAAGAACGTAAAAATAATGGAATAGAAATGGAAAGATGCATATTAAAAATCTACAAATCTAAAGACAAAATAGTGTATTAATACCATCTGTTCCAGTTCTATATGGTCCAAGTCTGCCCACCCCACCAACCCCCCAACCCCATCACAAGGATCTAGTTAATTCACAGGAACTGCTTGCTGCCTGAAATTCTTGCCAGAACACTTAACAGCCCCCTCATTTGTTGGGTGGTTTTATAGGTCTCTGGTGCTGAGCTGAGGTAGGACAGCTTGCAGTGTGTGAGGAGGACAGATAAAACCACCCTGCTGTGTAGATTTAGTCCATTTGCACTGGCTCTCAGACAGAAAACAAATTGCAACCTCTCACAAAGCAGCCCCGTTCTGCACTAGCAAGCCTGAAAAATGCAGGCAAAAATGAGTAAATCAGGCAACTTCACATCAGGAGGAAAAAAAATGGCTACCACTCTAACAGCTGCTCTCGTAATTAAGAACAGATTTCATCACTAAACTCTTCCTGGTTATGTCTGCAGCAAAACAAATACACAGATGTGAGGCATTTGCATACTGGAAATTGTGTACTGGATAACCAAACCAAATTTACTTTTTCTGCTTTAAAATATTCCCTTAAAAATATCCAGTCAATAATAAAGTATAAGGCAATGTCCAAACCTAAGTACAACTATATTTCTGTCATCATCTTGCAACTAAATTTATTTTGGCATTCTACCAAATTCACTTTCTTTTTACATATTCGAAATTGCAATGGACTGCCATGAACATGACCTCCTTTGAATAATGAAAATGTGCTACCCATTTCTTTTACTCATAAAATTTGCTAAATTTATTGCTGCCTCATTTATCTATGTTTTAAAAGGCTGCATGGCACATGCAGTAAAAGGAATCGCATTTGACCTTTTTAAAGGTAAATTGGTGTGGAGTTAGATCAGAGAAATAAAACTAATGAAATGATAAAATTACAGCAAAAAGTGAGAGGTAAGGATAAATTAATGGAACCACCCCACTACCATGAGAAAGAACAATTTAAAATTCACACAACAACATGGATGAACCCCACAAACAAAATGCTAAGCAAAAAGGCCAATAATATACAGCACAAAAATGAGCAAAAGTAATTGTATCATTAGAAGTCAGGATAGTGGCCACCCTTGGGTGGGTAGGGCCATCACAAGGAGGGGGCACAGGAGAGCTTCTTCAGGTCTGGTCATACTCCATTTCTTCACCTGAGTGATGGTTATACAGGTGTGTGCAGTTTGTAAAAATTCTTCAAGTTGTATACTTAGGATTACTTTTCTATATAGAAATTGTACTTTCATAAGAAGAAAAAAAATAAAAAGGTGGGCCAGGCGCAGTGGCTCACGCCTGTAATCCCAGCACTTTGGGAGGCCGAGGTGGGCGGATCACGAGGTCAGGAGACCGAGACCATCCTGGCTAACATGGTGAAACCCCGTCTCTGCTAAAAATACAAAAAAATTAGTCAGGCGTGGTGGTGGGTGCCTATAGTCCCAGCTATTCAGGATGCTGAAGCAGGAGAATGGTGTGAACCCAGGAGGCGGAGCTTGCCGTGAGCTGGGGTCATGACACTGCACTCCAGCCTGGGCGACAGAGCGAGACTTCATCTCAAATAATAATAATAATAATAATAATAATAATAATAATAATAATAATAATAATGTAGGACATGCACTGTGTTTTCTGATTTTCAGTGTCAACCATAGCGTTTACTCACCACTTTTAGCCACAACCTCTTCAAGCGGCAAAATCCATCCTGCGTTTACACACCTTTATGACACTGTAATAGCAGTGTCCTTATTAGCCATTTTTATCAAGTCATAAGTTTCACTTTTTAAATGAATAAACTGGCCAAATGCTGAAGCTTAAGTAGCACAATGTTCTAACAGAGTCCCTTATTTAGTACTTTAAACTGATTTTCCTCCCCAAAGGTGCAAATGCTACATAATTTTCTATTGTGAACTGTATTATTAGTACTATATTTAAAGCAAAGAAGCTGTTTTAAACCTGTAATTTTCAGTCAAATGTGGTTCTAAGTGCATTTTAAAAATGACTTATTATACTGTTTTACCTAAAGAACAATAATTCATACAGAAATCCATAGATGTAAATAAGCTGATACAAAAGTAGAAAAGGAAGATCATGCCTATTCAAGATGACCTAGTATGTTCTAAGACCCTGAATTAAAATGACATTTCAGTAGGGTTGACTGGGAGTTTAAATAGTAGAGCTTTTCATTCAGAATTGTACTTTTCCAAGTTGAAATTATGCTGTGGAGTAACTAGGAAGGCATTAGAGGGCCTAGAGAAGTAAACTTAGGAAACAAGTGGTGGTTGTTAATGATGAGGGTGGTGATAAAACATGCAGGGTGCTCTACAGGCTCTTTCATCCTAGTTAGGTCTTTGGTGAACGAAAAGGCCGATCGTTACAAACGTAATCACACACACTTTGCTCTAAGTGGCTTCCCAGCTGCACTTCTCAATTGGTGACCATCAATGCATGAACCAGGGGTCAAAGGCATAAAGAGACTTTCTTTCCCCTAAAAGGAGGGTCTCTCTGACCTCACCCTTTGGGTTTGTTCATCTATTTCAATATTGTTGCAAAGGCTGAAGTCATTAGTGTTTAAACCATTAAACCTAAAAGACAGGGGTACGGAGAACTTTATCCACATTCTTTCCATTCATCAATCTGGGGTCCTCATTTATAAGCGAAAGTCATAGACGATGTGTACCTAGCACAATGAAGCACTCCACAGATGAGTGTTCAGCTCTCAACTGCAATGACTGCAGAAATCAGACCCTATACTCTGGGCTGGTGCATTAAGCTAACGTTAGTTTAGATCCATCCACAGACCCTCCTGTAATGCCAGTCTGAGATCTAGCTGGGGGCCAAGGGCAGTGCCACAGCTCATTTAATTGTATTTATTCTCAACTTTAGCTGAAATAAGCAATGCTACCTGGACTTCCCCTTATGCCTGGCTGGGGGCATTTGTTTTCAAGCACTTTTTCTGTAGCCACAATTTGAAAAAACTAGGTCTGCATCCTTAATGAAATTATAAGATTTAAGATTCCCATTCATTCTTACAGTGTGTACACTCTCCTACCTATCATCTGCTACCCCAAAGGAAGGTTCACCTGTGAGCCTACTCTTCCAATGCCCATGTTTTAAAAATGTATTCTATGCTGTTTAAGAAGTTAATGTCCAGGCAGAACTCTGACAGAATGTAAGAAATAAAGTGTATTATTTTCTCAATCTCCAGCCTCAGATAATGCTTGCTTATAAAACACTATGAACCTGTTATGAAAAAGAACTGCTCTGTGATTTTTAAAGCTTTTTTATTTAATTCAACATTAATTTATGAAGCACCTGCATGTTAAGCACTGTACTCAGTGCCAAGGATATAAAGATGAATAAGAGAGCATGCCAGCCCTCCAGGAGCACGCAGAACAATAAAAGAGGCAGCTATGTGAGCCGACTGAAAATATAATATGATGGATGGATGAATGGATGGGAGGAAGGAAAGAAGGAACAAAGGGATGAAGGATGATAGATAGATGGTAGACAACAGAGAAGCCAGGGAGTGAAGGCAGGGGGAGAAGTGCTATGAAGGAACATAGAAAGCAACTCATTCCATGAGGAGTAGAAAAGCCTTCTTGGAGGCAATGATAAAGAAGATTTAGTGCCAGCTTGACTTCATCAGGCAGGGTGAGTAGATGCATATTTCTGGTATGGAGAAATTCACGCTAAAAGCATGGAGGCCTGCAAAGTGCACAGCATGTTAGGGGGACAACAGTCAAGCTCTGAGTAGCTAAAGTATAGTGTACCTGGCACAGCATCCTGAGGTTAAAGCTGGAGGGGTGAGGTGATGTAAAGGGTCCTGTATGCCGGACCCACAACTCCAGCTTTTTCTCTTCTAGGTTAGTGTTTTCTAGCATAAGTTTCCCAGAATACTAATTCTATGGGTTGCTTTGCAAAAGCAAAAACAAAAAACCATTTTGTGGCCAAGTACATTTGGGAAATGCTGCCTCCTACAATCTCCTTTCAGAGATTAGTAACATATATTTGGTCTCGAGGGGGCTGATAAGCGTGGCAGGAAAGAAATCAGTTTAACTTGGACACCATTTTTGCAGAACTCCTGACATCCCTCGGCACTGGGTTCTGTAGAACACATGGGGGACACTGAACACTGCCCTAGGAAAGAGAGGACAAAAGGAGCTATTGGAGCATGAATGTAACATGATCTGATTTATTTTTTCCTTTTCCTTACTACAGAAAAATATTTATTTGGCAGTCTATGTCTGGTAATGATATGGAGGTTGAACTAAGTTTGGAAGAGATTAATGGCAAGAAGCCAGGTGGTGATTAAATGCAGAAGTGAGAGAGCCCACTCAAGAGACTTTCTAGGATAAAATTAAAAGGAATTCACAACGGATTAGATATGGAATGATGGGAGCAAACCAAAGAGTAACTTCAAAGGTTCTAGCTTAGGAGCCAGGTGGAAGACTCTCCTTTAACTAACAGAATTACAGAGGAGAAGCCTGCTCTACAGAAAAGGTAGTATGGTCAGTGCTGGTCATTTTAAGTATGGAATGTTGCAAAAATATCCACATAGGCAAATCAAGATAGCAGTTAGAAATATGGCTCCTCAGCTTACAAGGAAGGTCAGGACAAGAGATACACACTGTAATCACAGAGCCCACAGAAGAAGTCATCTGAATAAAGTCCTTCCAGGAAAACACACAGGACAAAAGAATCCAGAATCCAGGATACCCACATTTCAACATATAAAATACAAAGTTAATCCATCAGCTTTATGGACATACAACATCCATTAACACTGCAGTCCTAGATCTGTGTTTACCTTATCCAGAACAGAATACAGGGCTGAGCCCGACAATGGTTTATATTTTTAATATTTGTCATCAGTATATAGTATAAAGGAATCAAAATATGTTTGGAATAGAATAGGATCTAATTAAATACACCTGAAGGCCAGAGCAATTAAGAGAATTGACCAAAGCCTTATAGCTAGTCTCATTTGCAACTAGTTCAACAATGATTTTTTTAAAAAAAGAAAGCGTGAATCATGGGCTCAGGTTTGAAAAGGACCCTGAGAGGTCCATCTGTGAATTTTCATCAAAATTGTATTTTTAATTCTATGAAAAAAGGTTGAAAATTAATTCAAAATATGATATTCTCTTTCATTTTACTTGTTTCTAAGGCATTTGAGGATGCAAATAAAATCAGATAATTCACTTGAAAGTAAGATCATTATCAGGTATTAGAAAAGCATTTTGCTGCTTTCCCACGTTATCTTTTTATTTTTAATTGCTATGATAGAAGAGTGCTAACAATATTAGCTGTTTTTTATTGATGTAATTGAGTTGTGTTTCATCAGAATATCATGGGAATTAGCCTGTATTCTTGTAAGGGTGGTCAAGAAAAGCTGTATTCTAGATCAACAATGATCTTATCAGCTCACGCAGCCACTCAACAGACATTATCAAGGGCCTTACATGAGTGAGGCACAGTCCTTACTCACAGAGGAGACATCCAGGAAAAGGATGAGGAAGTAGCCCACTCACAACTGAGTTCGAGGAGGTTTCCGTTGGCCACTACTTAATTGAATATAATGCATTCAGTGACCAGTATGAAGTCCTTAAACACTTCAGTATACATACTTACAATCCTGCATTAAATGTAACAGGATTTACAAGTCTCTTTTGTGAGGAATAAAACCAAAAACCCAAGAATTATGAAGTTTTTTTGCACAACAATGTGAACAGAGTGAACACGATCTAATTGTTCACTTTAAATAGTTAAGATGGTAAATTTTATGCTGTGTGTACACATAGCATAAAATTTAACATCTTAATCATTTTCATACAACTAAAAATTTTTTATATTATGAAATTAAAATATCTTTAAATAACTGACGTTTGTCCATAAATTGTTTGTTCTACATCCTGCAAGGATTGGGAGCTTGTCAATTTTTTTGAGCTGAGGAAGAAAGAGGTGAAACTGGATCTTTAGGAGGATTCACCAGATAATGCTACTCAGGGTTTATGAAAGAGAAATTGAATCAGTGGACACTCAGAAGTTAGGAAAGCCAGCATGAAAGTGAAATATTTAAATAGGAAGGTAGCAGTAAAATTTGGAAGAATATGAGAGACCTTCGAGAAGAGCAATCAACAAGGTGTGGATATGGTATGGATACGGAAAAAGAATCCAAGACGATTCCAGGATGTCGGATTTCAGCAAGAACATGGTATTTATTGTTACTGTCAACCTGAGTTGAAACCAAGAAAATGAAAATGCCCAGGGCGCAGCTGGAAAAAGGAGACCACAGTTTAGATGCTGAACCACCATGGACCCCAAAGATACCAATCTGTGGTGTGTACCAGAACCACAGGCTCAAATGAGGCCCCGCTGCATCCAACCTTCACGAACCTTTATCTTTACCCGTGGAACCATCATGTTCTCCCAAAGATACCATGCTGCTCACCTGCCCCTACCCAGTCTTCACCTGAGGTTTACCCAAGCAGGGAGAAGGGATTAACAGAGAAAGGTAAAAATAATTTCACTTCAAATTTGATGAGACTAAAGAAATTTCTGGAGGGCCAGATCTCTTCTGAAAATTTCCCTGGCTCTAGGGAGACAGAAGAGTCAAGCCTTTCACACACTTAACGCTCTTCAAGATTCTGACAACTGTTGATCTTCTTGCCATGTTTGGGTCTTAGCACTGCAGGAAACTCAGAAACTCTCTTGTAATCTGCGCAGAAGGTCATTTGGTGTATCCCGATCCATCTCTGCCGTGTTCCTCTCGATAAAACAGCAGATTAAATTAATCCTTGCTGTTCAACATTCACAAGACTTGCAAGTGTCTCCTCTCTGTTGCCAGACTTAGAGGGAAAAAAGCTGAGTCAGAATGTCATGATTTGAAGTTGGAGAATCTTATTGTGATGTATAAGGAGATGAAGAAAAAGAAAACTGTTTTTAACTAAAACCTTCAGAACCTTATCACAAAATGGGCCGGGCGCAGGGGCTCATGCCTGTAATCTCAGCACTTTGGGAGGCAAAGGCGGGCGGATAATTTGAGGTCAGGAGTTCGAGAGCAGCCTGGCCAACATGGTGAAACCCCGTGTCTACTAAAAATACAAAAATTAGCCAGGCGTGGTGGCGCATACCTGTAACCCTCGCTACTCAGGAGGCTGAGGCAGGAGAATTGCTTGAACCTGGGAGGTGGAGGTTGCAGGGAGCCGAGATTGCGACACTGCACTACAGCCTGGGCAACAGAGCAAGATTTTGTCTCAAAAACAAAAACAAAAACAAAAAAACCCAAAAAACCTTATCATAAAAAGTCAGTCTTGACAGATTAAATGGAACTTTTCCACTTACAAGAAGCATAGCCAATTTCAAAGATTAAAAAAAAAAGGAACTTGGAAAAGTGAATTTATTTTCACTAGAATGTATACATTTAGAGTATCTTCCCTATCTCTGTCCTTTAAATTTAAGCTTAAACATTTATTTTTTATTAAAAAGTAGGCATCCTTTAATTTCTAATCTAAGGAAAGAATGGTTTAATTAAAATTTTATTTATTTTTTTTACTTCTGCTAGCTATTTAATCTAGGAAATACAGCTCAGAAAAAAAATGCAGTCATAAAACCTGTTGGTATAAAGATAAGCAGTTTATTTAATATCTAATTAAATGTGGTCACCAGAGAAATCACAGCTTATGAAACTTTATCAGAAAAAGATTAATCCATTTCAGGCTTAACCCAAATGTCATAAGAGAACTCATGAATTTAGATAGGAATCCACTTATTATCCAAAGACGTTTTCATATCAAGTTAGGTGAGCCTATATTACTAGCTATATTTATACTTACTTCAATCAAATTTATATACTTTGTAGCTATCACTGATGTGGGGCACAATTATCGAACCAGAATAAGATAATAGGGAGCCTTTCTGTCTTTATCAAAAATTTCTAGAATGTTCTAAAACACTTGGAGTTTATAGATCCCACTCTTTCAGAAATTAAAAAAATTAGACTGTCATTTTAACTGAAAAGCAATTCCACAACTAACTACTAAACACCTATTAGATCTTGGGCTCAGGTGTTAAGAAAATGAGGATGGAGAAAATGATTCCTTCCTTTGAAGGGCTCAGAAAGTCGTAAGTGAGATAAACCCTTAAATAACCACTGATATAAAATAATGACAACTGTAAGGCAGGGGTTGCTTGTTTCTCTCCAATGCCTAGTCTGGACACATGGTGACCCAGCTTAAAGACCTCATGTCCCAGCCTAAAGCTATAGCCAGGTGATCTCTGGCCAGTACGGTGTGAGAAAAAGTGGTTCCTGCTCTTCCAGACTGCACCTCTATGGGCAGGATATGCCCTCCCCTTTCTGTTCCTTCTTCCTGATGGCTGGAAGGGAATATGGACCATCTTGGATCATGTGGATAAGACTAACACTCCTATAGGTGGCAGAGCAACAGAATAAAGGGAGTCCAATGTCACAGAGCAGAACTAGCACACTGCCTCAGATTGACAATGATAGAAAAATAAGCTCTTGTCTTGTATTTAAGCCACTGTTATTTGGAATCTATCCCATGAAACAGCCCCATGCTCTAATTAATATGTAACGGAGATGCTTCTTTTTCTAAGGATTTTTGGTTCTGAAAAATGCCGCCTTAAAAGAAAGAACCAAAATTGAATAGTATAAGCAAAGAAAAGTTTAATTTCTAACTTTTTCATGAAAAATAACACCTTTAATTATGACAATCAATCTTATAAATAACAAAATAGAGATTATAATTAAAATCTTGTAAATTCTCAGAAAAGAATAATTTAAGTAATCATTGGGGGGCATAAGTTTAAAAATAAAATTATATAACCACATGCTGGAACTAATTTTAAAAATTAGAAAACTAAAAACTAAAGATAAAACTAATATATAAAAACTAAAGATAAAAATAATATACAAAAACGAGAGAGAGTTGGAAACAAAATGGACACTTCAAAATACAAGAAAGGCTTAGGAAAATAACAGTGAATGTAGCTAAAAATACAGATCAAAGCAATTAGAGAGAAACTAATAGATATGAAAGAAAGACAAAAATGATTAAGCATAAGGACAGTTTCAGTAAGGGACAAATCAAAAACAGTTTGTGCAAGTAATGTGTACAAACACTTTATCTTTTTTTTTTTTTTTTTTTTTTTTTTTTTTGAGACGGAGTTTCAATCTTGTTGCCCAGGCTGGAGTGCAATGGTGTGATCTCGGCTCATTGCAACCTCCACCTCCTGGGTTCAAGCAATTCTCCTGCCTCAGCCTCCTGAGCAGTGGGGATTACAGGCGCCCACCACCATGCCCGGCTAATTTTTGTATTTTTAGTAGAGATGGGGTTTCACCGTGTTGGCCAGGCTGGTCTTGAACTCCTGACCTCAGGTGATCCACCCGCCTCAGCCTCCCAAAGTGCCGGGATTACAGGAGTGAGCCACTGCTCCCAGCCAAACTTAATCTTTTTTAAAAAAAAATTCCCTGAGCTAGAACAAACTGATACGCAGACTGAAAGAACACTCCATGTTTCAGGAAATGCATAATACTGAGACATATTTTGGTTAAGCTTCAGAAATCCCAATAATACTTTAGGGACTCAAATAGAAAGAACGAATGATCTATAAGAGCAAACAGAGTGGGCATCTTAAAAGACATCAAAGCTCAAGAGAGGCTCCAAATTCGATGAAACCAAAGAAACAGAAAGAGAGAGGTAAAAAAAGTGAGACACTGTCATCTCTGAAATGAAGCTCAATTCATGTTTGTTAGTTTTTTTTCCAGATGGTGGGATTTGAGTTGATTTTTAAACTTCATTTTTCTTCATTATCCAAATTATCTAAATGAGCATGTAACCTGTCAATATAAACAATTAGAAATTAGACAGAAAAATATCAAAAATAAGATGGAATGCAAATATCCCAATGACCAATTTCCAAAGATTATTATCATTTTTTAATAAGAGGAACGGGCCTTGAAGGAATAATCTGGTGGGAAAACTAGAAAAGGATATTACTCCAGGCATACGCAAAGACAGAAAGGTATGAAAGAAAATGATGGTTTAAGGGAATGGCAAGAGGTCTGATAAGTGGATGGAGATCAAGCCTGGGTCAGATTATATGCTATGCTTGAACTCATTCTAGTGTTATTCTTTATTTTTGTCACTGATCTGCCTGACATCATTTGAACCAGTGAAAGTAGGGTTCACCCTATATTTGAGGTACAGAAACTCAAGTCCAGACATCAGGGACAAAATTATTAGAGCTGGAGTACCAGCTCTAATAGGACCCCATCCTAGAAGATGACAGCCCAAAGACAAGTGAGAAGGGAACTGTCCTCAGAAAATTTGTGAGATCAGATGACACCAAATAAAAATAAATAATAATGTATGGTAATTTAACACATGTGGACACTACAGGAATTGAGAAGAAAGGAAGGGGCACTTTGGTGGCTGGAGCAGGTGGGGGAAGTGGTAAGACTTGCACTAGGTCTTGAAGGAAGGACAGAGCATTTTAACTTAAGATTTCCAGTTTCACAAGAAATTGTCTTCATAGGTGACTCCTACCTGTGGCTATAATTCCATAAAAAGAAAGCATTTTTTCTTGCTGAAATTATAGAAAAAGGATGGACTAATAAGTCAATTATGCTGGGATTTGACTATTTAAAAATTAAATAACTAAAGCCTCATCTTACGTCAAAACAAATTCCAGATGATAACTTTTCATCTATTCCTTTTTTTTTTTGAGACGGAGTCTTGCTCTGTCACCCAGGCTAGAGTGCAGTGGTGCGATCTCAGCTCACTGCAAGCTCCGCCTCCCGGGTTCACGCCATTCTCCTGCCTCAACTTCCCGAGTAGCTGGGACTACAGGCGACTGCCACCATGCCTGGCAAATTTTTTGTACTTTTAGTAGAGATGGGGTTTCACCATGTTAGCCAGGATGGTCTCAATCTCCTGACCTCATGACCCACCCACCTCGGCCTCCCAAAGTGCTGGGATTACACCACGCCTGGCCCATCTATTTCTTTTATAGTGTCCTATGTTAGATTTAACTCTAATCTTTGGTAACAGTCTTTGTAACCATACTAACAAAGGAAGAGAGAGAGATACAAAATTTAATTTGTCCACTAAGAACAAAGGTTAATCAACAAACTGGAAAAACTGTTTACAATGTAATTAGGAAAGATTGATTTTCTTAATATTTAAACAACTCTTTTAACTCAATGAGAAAAAATATATATAAACACTTCAACAGAAAAATGGGTAAAGGATATGAACAAAAAATGCACAAAGGTTTATATATGAGAATTGTTTGCTCATTTTGGAATTATAAATTGGATGTCTAAGAATTTTTCTTAGGAACAAATCACATATATATACAAAATTTACTTAGTCACTCATTGCAGAATAATTTGTAATACTGAAAAAACCTAAAACAGCTTAGATAACCAACAAAAGGATTATACAAATAAATTATAGGATAAAATCACTGAAGTTGTCCAAATAAATGAGATGCTGAACCACTAAAGACCAAGTATTGAATGTTACCAAAAACTGTATAACGACATGGGAAAGTGGTTACAATAAGTAAGGAAAATAAATTAGATAACAATCAAATATAATAGCTTTAATCCCAATTTAATCAGAAAGATGAAGTACAGAAAAAAGACCAGAAGGATCTGCTCTTTAACCAAAACATTAACTGTGATTATTTCCAGATTATAGAACCACAGGTGATTTTTTTCTTCTTTATGTTTTTGTTGTAGTTGTTGTTGTTGTTTTGAGATGGAGTCTCACTCCGTTGCCCAGGCTGGAGTGCAGCGGCGCCATCTCGGCTCATGAGTAGTTGGGACTACAGGCACCTGCCACCACGCCCGGCTAATTTTTTTTTTTTTTTTTTTTTTTTTTGTATTTTTAGTAGAGACGGGGTTTTGCCATGTTAGCCAGGATGGTCTCGATCTCCTGACCTTGTGATCCGCCCGCCTCAGCCTCCCAAAGTGCTGGGATTACGGGCGTGAGCCACCGCGCCCAGCCCTTCTTTATGTTCTTAATGTTATCTAAATTTTTATAACGAAGACCTGTTACTTACAAATTCTTTGCTGTCCTTTGCAGCAAAACTTCCAGAAAGACTGTATGTAATGTCTCTAATTCCTCTTCTTGCTTCTTTCTCAAACCCAAGTAGACGTTGGCCCCAAAAACTCTCATCAAGGGAAATGCTGACCTCCATGTTACTAAGCCTAACACAGCAGAGGTGACACTGGTAATAACTCCCTTCCCTTCTTGAGATCCCCTTTCCTCGTGGCTTCCCGAAGCTATACTCTACGTTTTCTTCCTACCTACTGATCCCTTCTTCTCTTTTCTGCTGGTTCCTTCTCATCAGACTGACCCCTTTAGGTAGGGATACACCACAGGTCAGCCCTCGTCACCTGCCCTCACTCCCTGGGTTATGACATCCAGGTTCAAGGCATTAGATGTCACGTGTATGCTCACAACTCCCAAATCTACACCTCCAGCCCAGATACAGATTTCGTTCTCCAAACTCCAGACTTGTGGGTCACCTCCACTTGGATGTCTAAGAGACAACTCAAACTCAATAAGCCCAAGTGAGTAAGTAAACTCTTGCTCTTGCCCCCAAAACCTGCCTCACACATAGTTTTCCTCATCTCAGTTGATAGTAACTTCTTCCTTTCATTTGCTCAGAACAAATATCTGTCCTCAGTTCCTCTGTCTGCCAACCAAGCTGTCAGCCAATCTTACTGGCTCTCCTTCAAAATATATAGAGAATCCAATCTTACCATCTTTGCTGTCCCCATGGTCCCAGCAACTATCACCCCCCCCCCAGATTAGCACAATAACCTGCCAAGCCATGTTCCACTTCTCCCCTGACCCATTACAGCTCATTCTCAGTGCAACAGCCAAACCCATCATTTTCATACCTACGTCAGATCATGACACTCCTCTGCTCCAAACCCTTCAATGGCTCCCAATTCTCACAGTAAAGCCACAGTCCTTACTGAGGCTTGGCAGGCCTTGCAAGACGTGGCCTCCCCTGCCACTTCTCCCATCCCATGTACACCACTGCAGCATGCTGTCTTGTTGCTATCCCAGGCGAGGAGGCACATTCCCACTCAGCCTTCACTCCAGCTTTCCATCCTACTCCACCTGGCATGTGCCTTCTCCCTGCCATGTCTTCCTGGCTAACTCTACCACGTCCCAGCCTCACTGTTCTCCTGCTCACATCTCAATGTCTCAGTGCAGTGACCCAGCCACCCTCTTGATGCTGCACCCAGCTCCCACCCTCCACCCCCATGGGCATCCCCAGCCCTCTTTCCCCTGCTCTGCTTTTTCCTCTCTCTGTACCACTTACTGTCAACTGCCAAAAGGTTAAAAATCAAAATTCTAACAGGAATTTAGGTAGGCTATGGTGACACAGGAAGGCTCCTCTGACTTTCAGGTCTGTCTGGTAAAGGGTGGCATGACCCTGTGTGAGGTACTGTCCTGAGGGACACAGTAAGGACCTCGTAGGTACGAATCAGTCATCAAAGATGGATGAAAATGAAATCGCCAGCAATTAAGAAATCCCAGGGGCATGACCAAAGCTAAGAAGCGTTAAGTTATAGATGGGTTGATTTGTTCATCAGCATAAGGGTCAGAGTTGCCCAAAGATGAAAAGGGCACCCCAGGAGGGCACCATCCCCTTCTGCTGGGGGGTTTCAACATGAAAGTGGGGGGTTTCAGCATGTAGCAGCATGAGCCTCAGCAGGGATGCCACAGAGAGCATAGAGCATCCCTCGGGGGATGGAGGAGGTCTTCATCGCTGATGGAGATATCCAAGAATGGGGGAGAGGTGGGCAGAGGGCCTGTCTATACCTTTTGTCAGGGCTTATAGAGAGAAATAGCTGAATGCATACATTTTTCTATTTTCTGCTGTTAATCCTTTTGTTACACACATAAGGGGTCAACCGTTTAGTGTGTATTAAAAACATGCCAAGGCCTATATGGACACAGATGCTATTCCTGAAGGTTATGTCTGTCAGATAACAAATACACAGAGCTCAGGAGACATACACGGCTTATGTTCACCTAAATTATGAAACAATGCAGCATTCCCATGAATAACTGAACGAGGAATCGTGACAGAAACAGGATTGGTAAAGTACTAAATGGCATGCAGAGAAAAAGGCTGAGAGACATTCTGGGAAACAGCACCCCATGGGGCCAATGGGTGTTTCTAAGAACTCTGCATATTTTAGGTCTTTCGTACATTAAAACCTAGTTCATGTGGCAGAGACGCTGGAAATGTGGGCTCCCTCCTATATTGCTCTGTTCCCCTCATCACCCTCCTTATTCCCACATCATCTTGTGGCCACAGAACACGACCATCTGTGGGAGCACACGCACAGCACACCCGCACACACTACCCCCGGGGAAGGACTTCTGCTCATGAAAATCAAACAAAGGAGAACAAGGAAAAAGAGGCAGAGAACACAGCGTCCCACTCAGAGCACTGCCTGTTAAGTGTTTGTTTCTGAGGCCAGCATCTAGCTCTATGATTTATTTTATATGTGCTGTGTTTACATACATCAGTAAATACGGTTTCCATTTCGCTTTGTAACAGCAGCTATAAATTATATGTTGGAAGTGTTTGGCTCCTCTCTTCCCATAAAGGTCTGGCAGGGATTACGGAGGCCCCAACACGGGAAGGCCCAGGATTGGTGGGGAGCACCTTCTTTCATCCATATCCTTAAATTAATTAACTCACCCAATAAGTATCTATTGAGCACAAACTATGTGCCAGGAACCATTAGAGATGCTTCAGTAAGCAGTACCATGAAAATGGGACAAAATAAACAAAAATCCCTGGTTTTGTGGAACTTATAATCTAGTGAAATTCATCCACCTCTCTTCAATTTCTACATTCAGAGCTGTCAACCCATCTGGGGTTGGACACATGAGCAGGTAAATGCAAAGCAAATAGGGCCACTATAAATAACTATAGGAATTATTATGAGTGTGAATTGTTTCTGAGGGCTATGTGCCAGCCACCGTGCTAAGCACTGTAAGTACTAACTCATCTAACAGTCATAAAAATGCTATCAGGAGGTTCTACCATGATTCTGTCACAGATGAGGCAACTGAGGCACCAGGCCATCTGGCCAGCAAATGGAGTGAAGAAACTCAGACATTCCAGCTCTAGAACCCACACTCCTCGCTCTGCTCTAGAACCGGGCCAATTACAGCAGAGAGAGGGGTCCCAGTCAGTATCACTTCCAGAGGCATCTCTTGGTCCCACAGCCCACCCTTTGGTCAGAACAGCAACAGGAGTGTCCAGGCATGGTCAACGGGTGCTTGCCACATGAGTAGCTATGGAATGGGATCTGCAAACAGCACCAGGGAGACTCCATTTTCATCTACTGTAAATGTATTGCTAATGCTGGTTAATCATGTGGAGATAAGTGATTCTACTGCTCAGCCCAATTAAACACACTATTTAATACACTGTGGCTTCAGACAGATCTGTCTCAACAAGTCATTCTAAATGCTTACTATGTGAACATTTTAATACTTGTCCTCAGCTCAAATCTTGTTGATTTAGTATTTCATTTAATTGGGAATAAAGCTCTCATGTGATAGGTTCCACTATAGATAATAATAGCTCAGAAAAAACAAATACGCAGAAAAAGAGAGAAAAGGTGATCTCAGACTTGAAAATAAAATCTCAGGAGGGGGCTAGCATCAAATAAGGAAGAATTACGCTCACTACTCAGGATTTGTGATATTAATCCAGGATAATCTTGGTTTTCAAGATTTCAGTTATTTCTAATACAAAGGAACTTGTAGAATTTCATCTCTCTCTAGCACGCGCGCACACACACACACACACACATACACAAACATAAAATCACTCTCAACAATATACTCGCTTTTCTATTTTGTTTGCTTTTGTTTCAAAGGTGTTTAAATAACAGAAATGTAGCCAATATTTGCCAAATGCTTAGTATATTGTCACTGTGCTAAGCATATTACATACGTCTCATTCACTCCCCGCTGCTGCAATAACTCTGCCAAGCAGGTATCATTATCATGTTCTCCACCTCACACATAAGGAAACTGAGGCCCTGAGGAATTAAACCACTTGCTCCCCGTCACACGGCTGACAGGTGGCAGGCCCAGTTCTTGCTGGTCTCCATAGCTGCACCCATTCCACAGCATTCTACCTCTTCCCTGTATATCTGAAAGACTGCACAAGATTTCTGACCAAAGAAAGGATGAAAGACACAAGCTTTTCTCACGAAACTGGAAGAGTGACACCTCCTTTCTGGGTGGAATAAACACGGGATCACACATCACTTTCAACCAACTCCAAACACAGAAGCCCGGGGGTTCTTGAGCAGCCCCAGGTGCGGAGCTCAGGCCCTGGAGGCTGCAGCTGAAGGGAAAGCAGCCCTGTAATCTGTTCAGACGCATTCCGGGGGAGAAAGCTTTACGAGAACTGAGAAAGTATGGAAAATAAAGTGGGCTTGCTAATAATCTCCCTCCAGGTCCCACCCTCCACGCTTTCTGGTCAGTGGTAGTTTCCCACCCTTGAGGCTAGAAAACTTGGCTTAATGATATAAGTCTGAAGGAGCCCAGAGAGGAAAGAGAAAGCAAAAAGTCTCTAGCACCTTCACACACACGATACATTTTAACGCACTTTCTTCAAATTTCTCATCACAAGACTATAGAAACTGAAACTGAAGTTTTTTCATGTTAAATGCCTTACCTTTTTTTCTGTTTTGTTTTTTGGTTTTTGGTTTTTTTGAGACGGAGTCTCACTCTGTCGCCCAGACTGGACTGCAGTGGCATGATCTCGTCTCACCGCAATTTCTGCATCCCGAGTTCAGGCAATTCTTCTGCCTCAGCCTCCTGAGTAGCTGGGATTACAGGCATGCGCCACCACGCCCAGCTAATTTTTGTATTTTTAGTAGACACGAGGTTTACCGTGTTGGCCAGGATGGTCTCCATCTCCTGACCTCGTGATCCACCCGCCTTGGCCTCCCAAAGTGCAGGGATTACAGGCGTTAAGCCACTGCGCCCAGCCCAAGTGCTTCACCTTTTAAGACCCCAATGGCCAAACATAAAAGGACTGGAAAATATGGAAATATTTCCACTTGCCAGTCTTCATTACGACCTTCAGAACGACCCATCTAAACTACAGAAACCAAGTGCTTCCCTCCAGCATCTGAGATCAAGGTTTGGGTCTCCACTCTTTCGGGTATACGCAGTACAGGCACTCCACGTTCTAAGCGGACGGAAGCTGCCCATCGAGCAGACAGGAGGAAGCGCAGAGCGTAACCATCCGTGCTGTTGCTATGCCACGCTGTCCTGAGGGACGTGGCCTCCGACTGCCATGGGTGAGCGAGGGTGATGGGAAAGATGACACCACGACAGGTGGGGAAACTGAGTCTCCAGGCTTGCCACACACCCTCATTTCTCCCAGGAGCAATCAGATAGCAAACTTCAATTTGAAAACATTATACATCTCAAATGTAATTAAGAAATTCGACTGGCATGAATATGTAATGTACACATTGCTTTACAGATGCCTTTTTTGCCCGACAGGCTGGTGCCGACTTTCATTTGGAAGAAATCCATTTTCATACAAAGGTAACCAAGAGTGACAGGAAATAGGAAGCCTACATCATTTATCTTCTGTGAACTTTAGAAAAAATCAGTTAATTGCTTTTCTAGGAAGCTATTTTATGGAATCGCAGTGCTTCATCTTTCTATTCTTTTTCATGGCATAAACGGCAATTTTAAAATGCCCTTCATGAAAATTCTATGATTAATCAATACATCTTAGACTATTTAATTACTTATTTTAACAAATAAAATTCTGATCAACCATAAATGGTTTCTCTGTTCTTATAGATGAATTATCAACCACTACGAAAACATCTAGGATACCACAGTCTATTGATTGATATCCAAATTCAGGTGTCTCTTTCCTTACCACTGACTAAGCTATGGGCACCAGCTCCTGGCTTCCTCTGCTCTCCTGGCTTATCAAATGAATTCTGTTCCCAGCCACTGGAGCCCTCTGCAACAGCAGTTTCAAACTATCACTACTTATTAAATTGCAAACAGAAAACTATAAATGTGTAGGTTTTGGAATACACTGCTGAAGCTGTAACTTGTCAAACCACCAACTGCAAAAGGCCCAGGACACTCCTGTGTTGTCTCAATGGCTCTGCATGTTAGGTTTTTCACACCACTGTCCTATTTTGTGCCCTGCCCCCATCACCTAACATATACATACGTATTTTTAAATTCTACCAAGTTTAGGCTAATGTAACTTTTTTCAAATCCAAAATGATCATCTTAGTAATGATTTTATATTATTCCATGAGCCAAAGACAGATACACTATGAAGTTAATGATGCTTAAGCTTCAGGGTCTCTAAGGCTCTGGGGAGTTGGGGGTCGGGGGGGTGGGGGTGGTACTGTGTTAACACAGTTATATGTCTTTGAAATAATGGCAAAGGTGAGATATTTTCTATTCCTTCATTTCTAAAGAAGATCCCCAAGACTGCAAATTTGAGGTCCCACAAAACTGTATCTGCCTCTCTAGGTTAACAGTCCCCAATGTTTGAATCTGGAATTACATGCTGAGCACAAAATATTAATTTGCGTGTGTGTGTGAACAAAAAATAATTCACTTCAGTCAGAAATAAAATTCAGTGTGCTGTGCCCTAGAACATTCTAGAGGGCATGCTTTGGCTATTCGTTAGTCCCTGGTCTCTCACCCAACCATAGACAGCTTTCCAAGGGGCACTCCCAGGGAGGCTCACTTAATGAGGAGTGGTGTTCAGAATAAAAGACTCAGCTACAACAACAAAAATATGTTTTTCATTAAACACAAAACTGAGTCGGAAAAAGCCAGCCAAGAAGCAGGTGTAAGAGTTAAAGAATTCTCTTGAGGTCTTTAACTTCTACATCAAATTGCACTGGATTTTTCTGCACTAATTACCTATTATTGAAGTCTCAGGAATTACTGCAAATAATTTGCCATAGCAGCAGGTAGGGTGCAGATGTTGTAAGGGAAAGAATGAAGAGTTTATGAAGTGTAAAACCAGGCAAAGGGATTCAAAATTTCCAAATTTTTAAAAATAATACAGAATTGTTTTTCTACTACAAGGGTGATGAAGGTGAGGGAATTTTCCTAGGGCTAAAAGGCCAATTTTAAACTTAATTTGGACTGTAAATGAGAGAAACTGCAAATTAAAAGCTATGTGCTGCAGTCTAATTTATTCAGTTAATGTAAATTTCTTGGAGGCAGAGATTACATCTTACACTAAAAAAAAAAAAAAATTCTCTCATTGCATTGCACCTAGTTATTAATCTGATTTTCTTATGAGGAATGTACCTATACGATGCCAAACAGCTATTTTTGTATGGCCCTCCTTGTTTTTATGTCATTTTTACCTAACCCTTCCAGCCCCCAAATTCTTCACACTGTGATAAGTCTTGCTCTGTAGCTAACATCCTCAAAAACCATAGTCAAGTAATAACCTTGCAGGTTATTTTCTTTGGAAATTTCCCTAAAAAACCCTTCTCTACCTCACTGGAAGTTAATGTCTGTACTATTGAGAGGACATTTTCATACCAGCAGTATCTTTATTTTTAAAAATATTGGCATGAATATTTTTGAAATTGTCACATTAAATCGTTTTACCTCTTTCAAAAAATAAAAATATTTATTCCCTCAAAAGTAAAATCTGGTTGATAAAATTCTTCAGCTTCTATGTTATGATTGTGAATTTTATTTTTTTATTTATTTTTTGTAGAGATGGGATCTCACTATGTTGCCCAGGCTGGTCTTGAACTCTGGCCTCAAGCAATCCTCCCACCTCAGCCTCCCAAAGTACTGGGATTACAGGAATGAGCCACTGTGCCTGGCCTGATTGCGGATTTTATTGGAATAGCCTATAAATATTGAACAATGCACCTGCGAAAGAGTATGTCTTAATCTTCTCTTGGAATACTGTCAACAAAGATCTCTGAGTTTGAAGGGTAGAAGTAACTCACTACTTGGCTGCTGACTGTGAAATTTAGTCATGTTTTTATTGTGGGAGTGGACTGATTAAACAGACAAGTGTTATAAGGTTCAAATTACAACATTTCTCCTAATATGCAGTGCTTTTAACTATGATAAACACTGCACCCCCCTTCACAAAAAAAAAAAGAACCCACCCACCAATTTTTAACTTTCTTCTACAAACACCTCTTATCTCTTCTCTATCAAAGCATGACTGGCCTTTTTGAAATATTCAGGACAAAAAGTTAGGAAGAGGGCAGGCTCGCTAGTTCAATGTCACTACATATAGGGGAAATGGAACACTTCCCATAGAAAGCTCTGATTTCTCTCAGCGTGAGTCTCTGTCTGAGGCATCCCCCTCTCTCTCTGCTAACCAGACACCATACACAGCATGTTCTTTCCAATCTGAGTCCTCAAAGGGCATCCTGAAAGTGTCCAGGTTATTAATGACATACCCAAAAGCCTCATAAAAACTGCACAGTTATCTGCTTAAGGCTTTACTGGCAATCAAAAATTCATCTTTTTTTGTTTTAACTAGAGTTTTATGAACTCACTGAATTCCAAAATAAACAAACATGTAAATTATTACCTAATAAATCTGAAGTTTCTTTGGTAGATAAAAACCATTTTAACAAGAAGTCAATTGAGATTGAAATAATGAAGGGGTTCCTGGTGGTTGTAAAAGTCAGTCACCACTGCTCAAAGATATGCCGGAATTTATTTGCTGCTACCAGTCATTTGATGATGACGAATCAAACAGCCTGATGAATTCAGTTTTGTAAGATGGTACCTACGTGTGTCTCCTACAAACTTTTAAAAACGTAAATGCCTATAGAAATTACATTTTGCTTCCATTAGTTTCTAGTGAACATTTTCTAGAATCTATCATAAACGTGTAATCAAAAAAAGTTACGGTATACCTGTCACTTGATCTTCTCTACAAAACCAGTGTAAACATCTCATAGATTAAAAAAGAAGTCTTTTCTAAACGGTGATATGTTGATATCCCTATCAGTCCGTGGTGATCTCTGAGATGATAGTTCAGAAATGTTTAAGCTCAGCCTTGTCAAAAATGCAACAACAAATGTCAAATCATTGCTTTCATTTGGTTATTAAATCAAATTAAGATACAAAGAATATTCTGGCCACACTGTTACTCAGTCTTTAAAGAATATGTTAAAAAGAGAAAAAACTGAACAGTTCCTAAGTATAATGTTCTAGAACTCACATTTAATTTTAGTTAGTATACAATATCACAGCAAAAAATATGTATGCATGGTCATATTTTTTTCTTCATGTACTCTTCACAACCATCATCAATTTGGAATATGGTCTGAGACAGGACAGGATTTCCAAAACATTTGAATAGTTCACCATATTCAAAGTTGAATAATTTAAACAATTAATTTAAAAACTATTATGAGGTTTATTTGGTAAAGTTTGTGTTAAAATATTTCAAAACACGAAAATGTTAAGAGTTTTGGAACTCTTTTACATAAAAATTTACCTTAAATAGGTAAATAGATACTGAAATTATAGCCTTTAAGTGCTTTTCTTACTTCTGAATCACTTATTCACTTATTTCTTAATTTTATTTATACCCTCAGTGAACACTAGCTATTCAGAAGAAAATTCTCAAACTATAGTGAAGGGGACATTCCTTCCCTAACTAATACATACACACACAACTGCATTTGCTGGAACTCTAAAAATTCAAATTATAATAAATTTGAGATTTTAAGAAATCACTATTTAAGTCTGCCTCCCCTTTCAGTGACTGCTACAAATCCTACCACATGAAGTTAACCACATCACTGAAAAAAAAGAAACATGGAAACTGAATTCACGAGGGTCAAATTGTCACTTGTAACTATGCAGTTGCATGTGAACGGTGCTGATAAAGACTCACCTCCCCCTGCTTGGGGATGCTGAACTTGGAGAGCTTGGCCTTGGCTCTGGCAGGCTCCGGCTTGCTGGCAGGGACTCCCCTGTATGATGTGCAGTGCACGCTGGTTTCCGAAGACGACTTCAGCTTAGGAGACTCATCAGGGGCCTGATCTTGGCCGTCCATTGGCCTCACATACGCGGTCGGTTTCTGCTGGACCAGGCTGGGTTTTGAAGCTAGGGATGGAGGAAAGTTCTGAACACAGTGTCCGCTGCTGCTGTGCTTGGCCGCCATGGCAGGTGGCCTCTCCTGGGTCTGAAGGCCCACCTCCACATTGCACACTTGTTTGGCCCGAGGCTGCTGTCTGCCAACACCATCTCCAAGCAAGGTCCTGAGAGAGCCCTGTTGTGCTGAGTTGGAAGAAGAAGAAGAGGAAGATAAGGATGAGGGGGGTCGACACATAGGGATTTTCTTTTTTCATTATAGTTCTCTGGGTTTTAGCAGATTTGTGCAAATCAAGCAACCTGTGCCTGTGCTTACTTGCTCTCTGTTGGCCGTCAGAGGGTGGGTGCCCAGCCTTCTGCCAGCCCATAGTGCCTCTCTTACTCTGCTGCACGGGGACAGCTGCTGGTGTGGAAGTTGTAGTGCTACAGATAGACGAGGGCTGGTTCTGGGCTCTTGAATCTGCAACAAAATGTTCATCGATCTTGTTCACAGGAGTCTGAGGAACCCCAGGTTTGGGAACTCCAACGAGATGACTCTGATTGGATCTATCAGTTAAAAAGTCTTTCATTTCATCATAATTGCCTAAAGTGTTCTGGATCCGGTTGGAGAGTTCATCCCCCTTGTTAGTCTGGAGAAAGAAAAACACATCCACGCTATTGTTAGAGACAACAGAAACACCGGAGATAATCAACAGGTGCCCTTATCAATCACAGAGCCAGGGTTGTCACATGCAGAATGAGAGCTGAGAGATGAAATCGAAATCCTTATCGTCTCTGAAGATGTCTGTCAGCACTTGGTGATGCACCAGAACAGGAAGCCTGTAATGGCCTTGGGGTGCATAAAAAGGGATCTATCCGGCCGGGCGCGGTGGCTGGCTCATGCCTGGAATCCCAGCACTTTGGGAGGCCGAGGTGGGCGGAACACCTGAGGTCAGGTGTTTGAGATCAGCCTGACCAACACGGCAAAACCCTGTCTCTACTAAAAATACAAAAATTAGTGGGGTGTGGTGTCGGGCTGCTGTAGTCCCAGCTACTCAGGAGGCTGAGGCAGGAGAATCACTTGAACCTGGGAGGCAGAGGTTGCAGTGAGCCAAGATCACGCCACTGCACTCCAGCCTGGGTGACAGAAGGAGACTCTGTCTCAAAAAATAAAAAGGAGCAGGGGGATCTATCCTTGGTACTGTGTGTGTTGCAGCTAAAACAGATTACCTGGAAATCAGGAAAATTAACTATTGCAACTTTAAAAAATGAACTGGATTAAGTCTTTCTATGATTGGATTGTCCTGTAATTGTAGTCCCGTTAGAAGCTTTACTTGAAAATTCAGATTTGGCTCGGGATTAGTCTAAATATCATTCTTGCCAGAAATCCAGAGTGACAGGCAAGAGATGTCAATGTGAAGCTTAAAGGAACATGGGGCTAAATGTGCAGGAAGCTGGAATGACCCAGAGCTCCATGCCGCCTAAGGTATTTGTGAAATCTGGGATGACATTTCATTTTGGAAGCAAGGTTATATTTCTGGCCTTTGGTAAAAATGAGAAATAATCTTAGACTTTCTTTCTCATTAGCCCTAACAGGTACTCTAATCCTAGCGTGATCCATGTACGACAAATATGTAACACAACCTCCTTCTAATAGTGTTTGTTTCCTACGATCTGAGAAAACATAACAAATGGGATTGACCTTATAATATGTCAACGCGGAGATGAAGTCTGTATTATTGATAAAAATCACAGCAAGCAGATCTCAATAGTAAACAAAAGTTGCATGTTACTGAGGGAGTGGCCAGTAAAGCCATGTGAACCACACACCTCAATTTCTGGGGGAAGACCCCGTACTTGGTGGCTGAGCTGTCTTCCCTGGGCTGAACAGACAGAAGATGCAGTCAAGTTTGGTCGGCCAATTCTTTTAGTCAAGGCCACCGTCACAGGGAGTGAGAGAAACAAGTGAGAGGTAGAGATGAACAACTGAAAACCATCTACCTTGTAGGGCTCACTGAAGAGAGAGTAACTAGAATTAAACGTGCCATCATCCTGTTGAGTTTCTTGATTTCTTCTTTCTCGTTCTTTCCTCCGTAATGCATTTCTATCTGGTTCATAGACACTGCATCAGGAAAAAGAAGAGAGAACAACCACACACACAAATTAAACTGTAAAGCCCAATGTAACACTTGTGTGAGTGCAGAAGTCTGGTTCGTGGACAAATGGTGATGACAACAAGAACATGGATGAGACAAAAGCCAGAGTCATCAGGCAGTGTGCTGGGGTGTCTAACAATTACATTCTTTGGGGGGAAAAGAATCCTTAGGACCAGTTCCAACCAGTACTAGGTTTCTCTTCCTGGTATGTGAAAGAGGAACTGTTTAAGCAACTTTGACAGGAGAAGACTGAAAGTAATCTTAAGGCAGACGGTAATTACAGTGATGTGTAAATAGAAATTATGAGCATATTTTCTCTATGACAGAGCTTCTGAGTGTTATATGGGAATGCTCCTGTTCTTTTTTTTTTTTTCCTTTTTGCATGGCTGTGTTTCTGCAGTGATTCTTTCATTAACTAGCTCCCTAAAGAGCTGTTAAAACTGCATGCTGCAGTGGTTTTCACAGTTATGAGCCTTCTTCTGATCTCTGTTAATCAGTCAAGTCGTCAAACGACTACTGAATCAATTCTTCCTTCTGATATATTTGACACTATCACTCCTCCTAACTATGAAAAATGTGCCAGGAGGAAGGGGTGCAGGCAATGAGGGGAGAGAACGGAAATTGAATTATGTTGTGTCATCAAGGAACTCCGCCTTTTGTTGAAGAAAATTAATATCTATTCTCTCAAAATACAATTATGAAGTGGCCAGGCACCAGACAACTGGAAGAAATGAGGAAGAAATAAAGTGTTCCTTCCCCCTAATAAGGAGAAAACAAAGGGGCTAATTCAACTAGTGATGAGGAAGTGACCTGTTTACTGAAGGAAGGAAATGCACTTGTTTTTCTGGCTCCCTGGATAAAGAAATCTGGCCTCCGTGTAGACAACAGAACCAACACTACCAATCAAAAAGAGCTTACAGATCCCTTAAGATGAGCTCTGTCCTCCTTTCCCAGCAGAAGCAGGTGGGTTCAGTGACCTGGCCATCATTCTGCTTCCAGCTCCCACTTGGTCTAGTGGGCAGATGCTGAGCTGGGAGTTGGCACACTCACCTGCGAAATGTGGTTCTCCCCAAATCAGCGACATGGGGATGGAAAAGCCACTCGGTCTCTCTACGCCTTAATGACTTCATTACAAAGCAGGGGCGTTTCATGGCACTGTTATAAGGCTTAAATGTGAAGGTAATCTATAAAATGGCTTTGGAGTAGCTTTAGGTGCCACAAAATCCAACATATTGCTAATAAAATATTGTTAATAATAAAAGGATCTGTGGGTTCAAAGGAACTTATAAAAATTGTGATTTTTAAAAGCTAAATAACTATCTTTAGTAAAACAGAAAGTATATGTATCATGTAGCTGTAGGGGGACACACAAATTATTGTAAAATAAATATTGCTTATCCTAGCTCTGCCCGTGTGGCTGGGGTACAGTTTAAATTTGCTGTCTAAGGGGTGATGCGATACTAAACATGCTTCTGGCAAGGCTGCTGCAGCACCTAAGGCATTTAATTTAAATTTAAGGTTAGGGAATGTAAAGATATCCAGAACATGGAGCCTATTAGCATTTTAATTCATCCTTAGTATATTACCCACAGTTATTAGATTTGGGAGTCCAACCAGTGACCTTCATATAACGGGGACTGCAGCCTCTAGAATCTTCTACCAACTGAGAGGCTCACAGCGCTAACATCACGATCACTGATCACTAAGAACTCTCTGGGGTGGCTGTGGTGACAGTGACCAGCCTAAGGAAAGCAGGAGATGGGAAAGACACTCTTATTCACAGAACCAGACTTCCAGTTCCCAGTAGAGGGTATGATGGTCCTGCCCTGCTTGTGGACATTTGTAATATGAAACCCCGGCTTTCAGGAACATTCCATGGATTTAAAATGGAGACTGCTCTGAGGATATATGACCCACACTGCAGATGGATATGAAGTAGCCTTTAATCAACAGGAGAATTCTAGTTTCATTATGCACTTCTAGCTTTTGGAACAATATTGACACCTGCAGTTAGAAAACAAAAAGCAGCCGGGCGCTGTGGCTCATGCCTGTAATCCCAGCACTTTGGGAGGCCGAGATGGGTGGATCACGAGGTCAGGAGATCGAGGCCATCCTGGCTAACACGGTGAAACCCCATTTCTACTAAAAATACAAAAAATTAGCCAGGGGCGGTGGTGGGCACCTGTAGTCCCAGCTACTCGGGAGGCTGAGGCAGGAGAACGGCACGAACCCGGGAGGCGGAGCTTGCAGTGAGCCGAGATTGCGCCACTGCACTCCAGCCTGGGCGACAAAGCGAGACTCCCTCTCAAAAGAAAAAAAAGCTTGCACAGCATGCATCATAACTCTCCCCTTTTCCCATACATAGCAGGGACTCCCACACACATGCTTGCTGCCCTCAGTCAGGTCAACCCAACCAGACACACAAGACTGGTGTGATGCACGAAGTGGCCTCATGTAAGATGGAGCAGGCAGGTGGTCATTGAGAATGATTTCTGGGCTTCTCAGAAGGCCCCCATGCCCAAAATAATACCTCCTGCATCTGCTGGCTGATGACTGAAATTCCACAACTAGAGAGTCATTCCTCTGGTTTAAGATGTCTTCACCCCTGCAAGAAATATAAACACCACAAGAAGCTGAAACACTTTAAACCTGATTAGCCTTGAGTATCTTAGCGTGCATGAGTCTGTCAGCATATTTTCCAGAAGCCGAGGGGAAAGAATCCAAGATCCCGGAGGGTCAGAACGGGAGGCAAGCTGAACAAAGGAAGGGACAACAGTAGATGCAGCCATGAAAACAGATTCATAAACTCCACTTATTTTTCAGTGTGGCTTAAATGTTTAAGACAAAGGCAATAGGATAAAAACCAAAATTAATTAGGCAGATATCAGACCCAATACATTTCCAGGGTCTGGGAGTTATGAGTCATGTCCTACTCTGAAAATGTTGGAGGTGAGAGAAAAGATGCTCCTCTTTAACTAAACCTGCCTCATCCCCCAACCCCTTTAAGCTGAAGGATACCCCAAAGCACTCCAAGATGCTTTATAAAGCATCCAGATTGCTAGATAAAATCCACTAATGAAGTTCTACCCGCATAACCAGCCTACAGCTCCTACTACCAAGAAGGAGTGAACACCCTCAGGACCACTTACTCATAATCTTCTAATAGAAATCCACTAGTCGTCTTTTCAGGGGCCTGCCATCATGCTCGTGCCATGCTTCCACACCATAAGATGAACCCAGAATGACTCAAAATGGCAACGTCCCCACTTCTTCAAAGGAGAGGAAAGGAAACTCAAAAAGAAAGGCAATGCCTTCCCTTTGGTTTCTCTCCTCCTTCCTTGGTGGGTAGCTCTGTAGCCTCCACTGAGCTGCTTCTTAAAACTAACCTACCCATTCCTTCTCTTTAACTAGAAGCACAAGCCCCCCACCACATATCATTTCATGGCTAGGGAGCTAAAATGTCACTTGCTTAAAGCAGATGTCACTGTAAGAGAAAGGCTGGGCTTCCCACCCCCTGTATCTCCCTAAGTGTCTGAACTCTCACCTTTCTACCAATACTAAATGTTTTGACTCATAAAGACAGTAGCTTCTCGACAGTGAGCCCCCATCCCACTAATTACAAGTGAAAATTGTGCCGGTGCTCACCAGCCTGCAGAGTGCCTTTCTCTTCATCTCTTGCCATGAAAGCTTAGCCCTCTTCGTCCCCCTGCCATTTGAGCAATGTGAAGATCATGCTTTAAAAGCAAAGAAAGCTTTCGCCTGACAAGCTGAAAGTCAGGTCAGCTTCCCCTGGGATGGCTGACTTAGGTCTAAGAGAATTCCAATTCCCGGCATGCCAACATATACATTAAACTCAAAATGTGTTGCACGTTATGAGTTATGTTTCTTTGTTACTAGCAGATGGTAAAAATTTCTATCATCTGCAAAGTTGCTCCTATTTCCATAAAAATTACAAAAATCACATTCCTCAAATGTATGTCACCAAATGTATTTATTTATTTTGCATGAAAGTGGAGGTAGCCAACTGCTTCAATATTATTTATCATTTGTTGCAGATGCATAACATTCCCAGAAAATAAACCTTTTTAATCAACTCCTTTTAAAGGGCCTATTTATTTTTAGAATTAAAAAAAATAGCAAATAAAAAATGTAGTGAAAACATTTTTGATCATTTCTCACTTATTTGTTTTTAATCTATAAATTGCGGTATCTTGTAGAGCTCCAGCCAAGGCCAATTATGGTGGTTAAGTAGAAATAGACGTCTAAACATGAAACTGTCATCATTTCCAAAATTCATCTATTCTTGATCATACGGTAACAGCATGAAACTAAATAAAAGTAACATCTATGAGCCCGATGGCTTTTCTCTTCCATTGAGCTCAAAACATTTCACCTATATGTCCCTTAATTATCCTCACAATGCCCCTTGGAGAAAGACACTGATGGTGAATATTATGACTAGGTTAACTCTTTTAAAGATCAAGAAACTTAGGATAAGAGTTTGATCATCAAAACAATGTCATAAAGACACACTGTGTAAAAGGAACAGCAATGTCCAAAGTACCTTACTCAGCTCTGCCCAGAGAACAGGAGCTATCCTGGAGCCAAGAAGTGGTGGCACCTCTTAAACCCTGATGTCTGACAAGCCCAGTAGTGAGAAGTAGTTAACATGAGCCCCAGAGGCAAAACAGGAATAAATGAAATAAGGCAAGCTATTTCCCAGTCAGACAGAGAGAACCATAAGGAGAATTCTGGAATAAAGTCTCAGCTGTTATAATTTTTTACAGCCCCCAACTGACAAAGGATAGAAATCAGTCTCTTTCCACAGCTCACACACAAAGCAGACCTATGTAACCTAGAATTGTGGAATGGAAGATAGAGAAGTGAATAAAAAAATAAAAAATGATAAGATTCTAAAGTTGCCCAGCGAGGGCTACTGATGTCACTATTTTTATCAAGTGCTACCCATTCATTAGCCTGCTCCAATCTCTCCCTAGGCTGCCCTACTGGTGAGAAAGGTGCTGGAGCCAGGACAGCCTGCCCTCTGGCTGAGTCACAGGTTGATTCAGCAGACCCAGCCAGCCAGGGGGGGATGACCTCCTTCCCACTGCACTCATCCACATGCAGCCTGATGAAATCTGATGAAATGCAGTTTGCTTGGAGCACTCGCTCCAAGCAAACTGCATTTCCCATGGAGGAGACTTTTAGGCAAGGGTATATGAAGCCAATTGTATCCCTTGACTAGAATCATCAAAATGTTTTATTCTTATTTTTAAAAAACTATCCAAACTACTGATATGTCTCCAGGGTTGTGGGGAGTCTAAGAAATAAGCAAATTCAAGGAGAAGAGAATGAACCACCTCTCACCTATCTTTTGGAAAAAGTTATCATGTTTTGCATGTTTTTAAAATACAGTCCTTTTCAAATAACAAAAACACAATTCACTTTCGTCCAAAAGCATTTTCTGAATACCACTGTGTCAGATACTAGGGAGACAGGGTCGTGATTGAGCCATCCTGCTGATGAGAAGACAACAGTCTGGGGCAAGGAGAATGGGGAAAAGGAAGAAGGGCACCAATTCACAATCAAACAATGTGAGCAGCCTGTGGTCAGGGCACTGGCAGGGGTAGCACAAGGAATCAGCATTGTTTCCTGCAGGAGACCAGCTTTGAGCTTGAGAAAACGGCAGGTTAAGGAGATGGAAAAGAAGAAGGGCTTAGAGGTACAAAATACATGGATTACTAGTAAGTGGCCTTTGGGAGTATATTCAGAGGCGGTTATGTTACTCTCTCCATACCTCCATACCACCTTGCTTCCTTTTTTTTTTTTTTTTTTTAGACGGAGTCTCACTCTGTTGCCCAGGCTGGAGTGCAGCAGGGTGATCTCAGCTCACTGCAACCTCCGCCTCCCAGGTTCAAGTGATTCTTTTGCCTCAGCCTCCCGAGTAGCTGGGACTACAGGCATGTGCCACCACACCCAGCCAGCTAATTTTTTTTTTTTTTTTTTTTTTTGTATATTTAGTAGAGACAGGGTTTCAGGACGTTAGCCAGGATGGTCTCGATCTCCTGACCTCATGATCCGCCTGCCTTGGCCCCCCAAAGTGCTGGAATTACAGGCGTGAGCCACTGTGCCTGGCCCACCTTACTTCTTTAACAAGGTGGAATTCCTCATTTAAAGTTTCATTTATGTGGTTTACCCACTGCTAACCTATCATTGCTACCTCACTCTAAACAGGTTCGTCTGATCCCTTCCTAAGAGCAGATTTGGTTTGGAGCAAATGCATGAAGAGTGGATGCAGAGGACACAGAGAAACACTCTCCCCCTTTTTACAGTTTATATCAGGCTGCCTCTAAGCAGCCTGGCCACAGAGAAGACAATCTTTTCAGATACTTTGAGACCTGACAACATGCTAACATGCTCCCTGGGCATGGACCTGGAGCCATGAGGGTGAGGAGGAAGAAGAAAAGGCATAAGGAGGAGAGAAGAACGTTCCCCAGAAACTCCCCTGCTCTCCAGAGCAGCAGCGTAAGCACTGTGTATAATTAAGGAAATTTAATCAAACACTCCAAATTTATAACAATTGTTTTAAATTTAATGAGTCAAACTAATTAACATCTCTTGTTATTTATAAAGCAAATGATAAAAATTAAAAATTGTTTTTTAAATTAGAGTAAAGCAAGGTTGCTGAAGTGTACTTGCAAATTCCCTTCTTAATCTATAGACATAGCTGGTGGACTGAAAGGCAGAAAGACAGTGAGCATGGGACAGAGGCAACTCAGACAGAGAAGGTGAGGCTGAAGGTAGAACGTGGTAAAAAGGCAAGAATCTCCCAACTGGAGTCTTTTGAAGCTCTGAGTTGTTGTGGTTGTGATGCTATAGGTGCGATGGTGGTGATAGTGGTGGTGGTGGTGATAGTGGCAGCAGAAGTACTGGCAGTAGTGTTGGTGGTAGTGATGGTGATGATGGTTATGATGGTGGTGGTGGTGGTGATGGTGATGATGATGGTGGTTATGGTAGCAATGGTGACAGTAGTGGCAGTGAAGGTGTTGTGGTAGTGGTGGTGGTGGTGGTGATGGTGATGATTGTGATAATGGTGGTGATGACAGTGATGGTGATGGTGGTGGTAGTGGTAGTGATGGTGGTGGTGGTAGCAATGGTGATGGTGGTGGTGATGGTGGTGGTGGTAGAGGTGCTGGTGGTGGTGGTAGTTGTGGCGATGCTGATAATGATTGTGGTTGTGATAATGGCAATGGTAGTGGCGGTGATGGTGGTGGGGGTGATGGCAGTGGTAGTGGTGGCGGTGGCAGTGGTAGTGGGGGTGATGATGGTGGTGGCAGCGATGGTGACAGTGGTAGTGAACATGTTAGTGGTAGTGATAGTGATGGTGATGGTGGTAGTGATGGTGATGGTGGTGGTTGTGATAATGGTGATGGCAGCGATGGTCATGGTGGTAGTGGTGGCAGTGGTGGTGATGTGGTGGTGGAGATGGTGATGGTGGTGGTAATGGTGTTGGTGATGAAAGTGGTGATGGTACTGGTGGTGATAGTGGTGGTGGCGGTAGTGGTGGTGATGGTGGTAGCGATGGTGATAGTATTGGTGGTGAACATGTTAGTGACAGTAGTGATGGTGGTGGTGGTAGTGGTGGTAATGGTGATGGTGGTGGTGGTGATGGTGGTGGTAATGGTGTTGGTGATGAAAGTGGTGATGGTACTGGCAGTGATGGTGGTGGTGGCGGTAGTGGCGGTGATGGTGGTAGCGATGGTGATAGTATTGGTGGTGAACATGTTAGTGACAGTAGTAGTGATGGTGGTGGTGGTAGTGGTGGTAATGGTGATGGCAGTGATGCTGATGGTGGTGGTGGTGATGGTGGTAATGGTGGTGGTGATGAAGGTGGTGATCGTGCTGGTGGTACTGATGGTGATGGTGGTGGTGGTGATGATATGGTGGTGATTGTTATGATAATGGTGATGACGGTAGTGAAGTTGATGGTGGTGATGATGGTGGTAGTGGTGGTAATGGTAATGATGGTGGTGGTTGTGATAATGGTGGTGACAGTAGTGATGGTGGTGGTGATGATGACGATGCTGGTGGTGGTGGTAATGGTGTTGGTGGTGGTGAAAGTGGTAGTGAAGGTGCTAGTGGTTAAAAATCTGTTGAGGAGTGAGAAACAGTCAACAGTGCATATAACAAATTCTTAAATCCTAAAGAACATGACTATGCCCCGGCTCACTTATCCTGGATTTTCCTTATGAGCCAAGTAATTTCAGTTCTCATGAATGTTCACTCTACTTTCCCCCAACAGCACTATAACATTGGCTCACCAGCACTCCTTTCACCCACAGTGTATTATTTCTACCATGGACTCCTCAAAAATATCGGTCCCCTTTTACTTGTTTGTCTCTGACCACAAACAAGTAAAGGTTATCTCAATCTTAATTCAATCTTGAAAATATTTTCTGGGAGCATTTCTAGATCTCTACTTTAGCTATGCTGACCTGTTCTACCAGAGCAGGAATGAGATTGAGGGTGGTCTGTGCCATAACCACTTCTGTACTCTATCTTTTGAGAAACTATGACATTAAAGGGAGTCACAAAGTCACAAAGACCCATAGACAAGTTTAAACCACAGTCACCCCAAATAATTTTCTGGGTCTATGTCATCCTCCCAGGCCCATCTGGCCCATGTTAAATGTTGCTAGTAACAACTACTCTACATGGACTTTACATGAATTACTGCATTTAAAACCCCAAGAGGCATTCTCCCTATTTACAGTGGAGAAACAAGAGGCTCTGAGGTTAACTAACTTGTCCAAGTCCCATAACCAGTAAGCGACATCACTTAGATGTGAAGCCAGGCAGTCTGGCACCAGAGACCAAATTCTTAGACTCTGCTCCACTGCCTCCCTGGGGAACTGCTCACTGACAAGCTTTGACAAATGGTACCTTCATCCTTTGTTAGTAAATGCTAGGCAAAAGGGTATTAATTTACAGATCATGCCTGTTTCAGTTCATTCTTCCAAGATCTGCTATGCCTCCTTGGTTGATATGTGTGTGTGTGTGTGTGTGTATATATATATATAGGCTAATTTTAAGAATTCTTCTAAAACCTATAAAATATAACTGGAATATGCAATTCAAATGACACAGCACTAGCAGTGAACTAATACTCTAGTCCCTACATTTTTTCAAACAGAAGATTTCAGAAGCTGTAAGGTAAACAGACTCGCCCATTTTACCGATTTTTTAGTGTGAATTCTGCATACTGAATTCCTTAAGAAATACAGAATGCCATGGTAAGTTCATTTTATGACAGAGCTAGCACAGTTGAGTTGCTGCAAACTGGTATTGGACACTCATCAGTTTTTTACTGATCATTTACTGAGTCCCAACTCCATTTCTAGTTCAGTGGAACGATGACTGTTTCAAATCTCTCTCGTAAATATACTCCAGTGGGTTTTCGAGAGATGACAGATAAATGACAGCTTTGCATTTCCAAGGGTTAAATGCTTTTCCTGAGGGATCCTAAGTCTTGGTGCCATGAGAACAAGTGTCAGGCTCTAATGGAATTGTTCCATGATAAATAAACTGCCAGGCTGTATGACAAGCAGCTTTCAGAGTCTTTCTATATAGTATAAACAGCAGAAGTTAATTTGAGTTTCTTAACAGGACCTTTTTCCTTTACAATATAAAAGTGCCTTGGGATGAAGCAATTACTCTGATTTACCATCTTCTCCTTGGTAGAATATAAAGATGCAGCAGAGCCTCACAAAGGCAGTAACTTAACCAAATGAGACCCACTTGCAAAGTCCCTACTATGCTATTTCAAAGAGCTCCCTTCCCGGCAGCAGCACAGGGCCGTCATCAATCACAGGTGTCTGCGATGAGAAGGATGCTGACTCTCAGGGCTTTTCATGGGAGAGCCAATAAACTATTTTTCCTCCAACAAATGCTCAGTTAAATTTCATTTTCACTTTACAGCACCAGTTTCTGAACTTCAGCTCCTAGGAATTTTAAAAGCTATCTACACAATGAGTCATATTTTATAACATGCTTATGTTTTAACCATGATGCCCTTCCCTGCAATCCTTGCTGTGGCCACTCAGGCTCATGGGCTGGTGCCTGAAGTCAGAAGGGAGAAGGGTGTCTGAGTCCTCTCATCCAATCCCCATACTTCAGGTTGGTCAGTCTCACGGACCCAGAAAGCCCAGAGACCCTCAACGTTAGCCGTAAAAAAAGGCTCATGCTCTTCCCGAATCCAACTCGACTTCTTTTTCTCCCAGGACTACTAAGGAGATAGGCTGTGGTTGAAATGGGGTTTCTGAAAAGGACTAAGAGTCACCTTGAACTACTGCTATCCATTGAACTGAATCAACTTACCTGTGAGGTAGAGAACAAGCCCTAGGCTAGAAAGAAGATAAATGGAACCGACTTTTCAAAAAGGAAGAATTAAAAGGAGATGTATGGCCCCAAATGCCTCATGATAGCTAATCACCCTGACAGGCCAACCATCACGGTTCTCCACGGAGACAACACAGGTGGAAACCAACAGAATAAGCTCACTAATGTACCTGAGAGGAAAGGACACCCTGTGTGAAGAGAGAATGACCTGTTTTGGTACAGGCAGTTTGTCAGCTTAGCTGGAAGTCTCAGCGGGTCAAGAGGACACAGAAGAGAGAAGTAAGACAATAAAAATATCAGAATCTGGAAGAGAACACAGAGCAGCCCCTGTGGTCACCACAAAAGCAGAATCGGGATGTGAGGTCAGGGGCTCGGTTCCGCAGTCAGCAGTGGTCAGATGCGCCTCAATTTCCCTCCTCCAACCTTCCCTCACCTCAGTCTTCACGCCCTTTCCTCCTCTCTGGGGGGAGCCCTTTCTCCTCCCCAGGCTAACTCTCCCACCTGGGCTCTGAGGCCTATCCCCCCAACCCCACCTTCCCATAGATGCCACTTTCTCGTGTTTGCTCTTGGTCTCAATTGGCTTTTTTGAATCAGCAAATAAACCTGGTCAAGGCCTCTCTGTATTTAGAAAAAGAGAATGATAGGCCCTCCCTGACCCTCTTTCTTGCCATTACACCTTCTCTTATCAGCCACAGTTTTCTGCAAAGCTGTCTATACTTGCTGTCTCTCTCCAATTCCTGGTTTCCCTAAACATGCAATCTGGTTCTCCTGTTCACGGCCAGGCTTCAACTTCCTCATGGGGCAATCCGTGGATGCTTTTCACTCCCCTATCTCCCCTTGGCTAGCACTGCCCTTCAGAGGTCTCCTTCCCTGGCCCTCTGGTACCATGAGATTGTGGTCTCCCTCTTGTCTCTTTGGCTGCTCCTCAGTCTGCTTGCCATTTTTCCCTCCTGTGACACTCCAGGCTCTGTGCAAAACCTGGTCTCTTCTCAAGTGACAGTCTTTATGGGAGATGTCATTCATTCCTTGCTTTCAGGTGCCATCTTTATGTTGATGTTGTACAACTCTCCAAGACTCACTCAAATCTCTCTTCTCAGCTACCAATTATCCAACTCCCTATGTGGCCTTCTCAAGTCAGGTTTCTCATAGACAGCCTGCATGTCCAGACTTAGCTCACCACCACACCGACCCCAACCCCAGCCTCTACTTGTTGCCTGTGTCAGCAGACCGCAGCACTACCCACCTAGTTGCCTGAGTCAGAAACCTGGGCATCATCTGGACTGTGTGATTTCCCATGCCCCCCATATCCAATCAACCCTCTCTAGACCTGTCAACTCTACTACCTGAAGACTGCTCATACTTGTCCAACTCTCTCCTTCTGCACTGCCAACTCCTTGGCCCAGGCCACCATGGGCTCCCTTCCAGCCCCCTGCAGAGCCTCCTAAAATGTATCTCCCGGCTGCTCTTCCTACCCCAGCCCATTCGCTCCTACCCCAGCCCAATCGTTCCTCCCCCGTCAAGCCAGGGTGGTGTTTCTTTAAAAAAGAGCAGTTTGGTCATGCCACTGCCCTGCCCTCAGGATAGCATCTCAATCTGGTAGCCCTGCTCATCTGCTCAAGGTCAGCTCCCAATCTTCCCAGTTTCTATGTTATGGCTCCTTCCTGTGCCTTGAACACCTCTGCTGTCCACCTGCCCTCTTCCTCCTGATCCTGAAGGTCTCACTTTAGTGATTTTTCCCTCTTGGGAACATTCCCAGACTCCCCTCACCAAATCCCGGGGCCCTATATAAGTCGTACGTAGAACCCTCCACTCTCCCCGATAATGGCACTTCTTATGCTAATTATCTGAATCCTTTATTAAACCATACCATAAGAAGAAAGTCTACATCTAGTTTCTATCAAACTGTATCCTCAGCACATAGAAGAGTGCCTGGCACTCTAATTCCTGGTTTCCTGAAACACGCAACCTGGTTCTCCTTTTACACACTGGCACAGAGTGGGCACTGAATAAAACAGTATAAGATACATTAAAAATATGTGGTAAATGAACGTTTGTTTCATGCTTTTTCCTTCCTTTTCAAAATTTAGGCTGTATGCATATCACCATTTGAACACACAGAACTAAACCCCATTCAGATCCTGAGTCCTACATTTTATTTATGGTTATAGAATTTAGTAATAGTGGGAATCATAATAACAGTAATATTGAGCAACTGCCTGGTGCTGGAAAGCTTGTAAAGAAAGTTTATATTTGTTATTTTATTTACCCCTCAACAAACCTCCTTATTTATACAAAACACAAACTTTTAATAAAAGGATATAAATCTAAAAATGATACAAGATCTGTGCCATAAACATTATTATGCTCATTTTATAGATAAAGGCCTTTCATCAATGAAAAAAGTGGGGCTTAGAAAATTTAAACAGTTTGCAAAAGTCACACAATAAGTATTAGAATCGGGATTCTAAGTTGCATGGAAACTGTGGATATTAAAAACAATTTAAGTTCTAAAAAGTTTATGCTTTTCAATTTAAAAAATATTATTTAATGCTCATTATACACAAAGTACCAGCTACACAGGACAAAAAATGTCTGTGACCACAACTTCCACACAAGTACTGCGGAGGACATTTCTGTAACTTCCTTTGGTGAAAACTCTGTAGTCAATCAAGCTTGACTCAGAGGAAGACATTAAGAATTATGAATTATTTGAATTCCACAGTTCTATAATTCATTCTGTGCTAGTGACACTAAAGACGATTAATTCTAAATATCCATATAACAATGTCAGAAAACCAAGGGGTCTTCCTATAGCTGTGGCATCACTCACAAGTTCCCAATTTCAGTTAGACACCTAATCTATCATACAAATATTTTACTTGATTCCCTAGAACATTAGGAATGTTATATATCATGGGGCTGCCTAAGCATGATAATTATCACAAATCTTTAAGAAATGTTGCAAAGAGGACATGAAGTCTACTCTAACAATGTGTTTGTTTCCTCTTACCTTAAAATGTTTCCCTTTTTTTCTTTTCCTCCCTTCCCCACTTTTTTTTCGGGGGAGACAGAGTCTCACTCTATCCCCCCGGCTGGAGTGCAGTGGTGTGATCTCGGCTCACTGTGACCTCCGCCTTCCGGGTTCAAGAGATTCTCATGTCTCAGCCTCCCAAGTAGCTGGGATTACAGGCATGCGCCACCATGCCTGGCCAATTTTTTTTATTTTTAGTAGAGATGGGGTTTTGCCATGTTAGCCAGGCTGGTCTTGAACTCCTGACCACAAGTGATCCGCCTGCCTTGGCCTCCCAAAGTGCTAAGATTACAGGCATGAGCCACTGCGCCTGGCCCTGTCTCTTTTTATGTTTCCCATATACACCCACATACAACACAGCAAGTCCAATGCCACAGGCAATACAGGCAGCTAGCTCTGTGATATGGAGATAAATTTATTAATGTGAAGAGAGCCCATGAAGACGGCTCTTCTTCCTCGAAACACTGCACAGAACAACAGACAAGCTAGGGTAGGTGGGGTTGGGCATTTAGTTGTATACACAGGAAGAGATAGGGGGAGACACTTCACATTTCTCCCCATCCTTGATCTCTGCCAACTCAACATCAATTAGTCCTCTGCCGAGTTAGCAGGCCTCCATTCTGTGGGCCTCCATCTGGGTTTCCCAGCTGTCTGGGCCCTTTGGGGTCTCCATCCACTGGACTTCAGAGAACACACCTCTCAGCTTAGCTGAGAACAAGCCCTGGCTCCCCGTAAGCACTCAATTACCATTTGTAGAATGGATGGATGAATAAGTATCTGGTGTTCCTTCTCACTGAAGCCCTCCCTTCACTGAGCCAGTAAGGATAAACAATACGTGAGATTTGCCTGGTCTTCCAGGACAGTTAAGCGCATACTATAATACATAAAGCTGCTTCAGGTACATTCTGGAAGCAGCAGCCTCAAGGAGTAGATCAAGCTAGCTTTTACCAAATTTTGTTTATGACTGGCACAAAGAAACATGGAAGTGTCAACATTGTCCTTTTGGAATTAAAATTCTACATGCATTAACAGAAGATACTACATAATTTCTGGGAAACATACTAGAAAATTACTAAACTTGAAGATGTCTTCAACAAGAAGCAAATGATTCCAGATCATCTTAGAATTACAGAAGAGGGAGAAACAGCAAGGCCTCCCATTAAACAAGAAGAATACTTCCTATCACTGAACGCATAGTTTCCAAGGAGCCCCCTCTACCTCCAAAGATATTAACATTGTGCCAGAAATGAGAAGATTCAGCTAAGGTCCAAGCAGAGACAAGTCAGGACTCTGTGCCTTACCCCCTCATCTCAAGCAGGGTTAAGAAACCAATCCATACATTGTGATCAGTGGTTGGCAATGTTAAAGTGCTCTGCCAAGGTAAAATATCATCAATACCTAAATGAAAGACGACTAACATAGCCACCATTCAGAAAGAAACACTATTTCTCCATCTCAGACAGGTGGCCTGGGTAGGCTGTCATTAAACACTGACTTCGAACCAGCAATAGCATATTTAGGAATATACTATTCATATTTAGAATTTCACTACAGAGGCCGGGCACGGTGGCTCATGCCTGTAATCCCAGCACTTTGGGAGGCCGAGGCGGGCGGATCACGAGGTCAGGAGATTGAGACCATCCTGGCTAACACGGTGAAACCCTGACTCTACTAAGAACACCAAAAATTAGCCGGGCGTGGTGGCGGGCGCCTGTAGTCCCAGCTACTCGGGAGGCTGAGGCAGGAGAATGGCGTGAACCCGGGAGGCGGAGCTTGCAGTGAGCCGAGATCGCGCCACTGCACTCCAGCCTGGGCGACAGAGCAAGACTCCGTCTCAAAAAAAAAAAAAAAAAAAAAAAAAGAATTTCACTACAGAATTATTTATAATTATAAAACAGGCCGGGCAGGGTGGCTCATGCTTGTAATCCCAGCACTTTGGGAGGCTAAGGCGGGTGGATCACCTGAGGTCGGGAGTTCGAGATGGATCACCTGAGGTCAGGAGTTCAAGATCAGCCTGACCAACATGGAGAAACCCCGTCTCTACTAACAAAAAAAATACAAAATTAGCCGGGCATGGTGGCGAACGCCTGTAATCCCAGCTACTCGGGAGTCTGAGGCAGGAGAATTGCCTGAACCCAGGAGGCGGAGGTTGCGGTGAGCCAAGATCATGCCACTGCACTCCAGCCTGGGCAACAAGAGTGAAACTCCGTCTCAAAAATAATAATAATTATTATTATTATTATAAAACAAAAATAATTGTAAAACCAATGAAATATCCATTCTTAGGAGACTGGTTAGTAAATTATAGCACTTCGTACAATAGAAGACTGTAGACATTGCACTGGATGGAGTGGATTTAAATGTATAGATATGGGGAATATCCAAGATACAAATATTAAGTGAAAAGAATAATTTGTAGAAAAGCATGGATTATATAATCTCTTGTACATAAAATGTGTGTGCATTTATAGACACATGAAAATTTTAAAATAGTTATCTTGAGGTGAAGGATAGAGTGGTGAGGAGTGGGGAAGAATTTATATTCTTCTGCTTTAGTTGGGGGTTTTACTGCAAATATTACTTTTTAAATACAAAGCATTATGTTTTAAAAATATCGACAGTGTAAGTTTTAATTTGTTCTTTCCCTTTAAACTATCTATAAACATGAAAAATGTAAAATTAAGGTAGTAACTATCAAATACAGCACAGGATTATGTGCTACACTATACCAGGATCCTGGCTTTCCCTACCAGGCTAGGCCTATTTTCTTCATTCTTCTTCCTTCCTAACCAACCCCTTCCTTCCTCACTCCCCAAAAATGAACTAGACCATTCAGTAGCTCTCCTATACACCAACAGCCACCAAGCAGACAGTCAAATCAGGAACTCAACCTCTTTTACAATAGCTGCAAAAAAAAAGTAAAATACTTAGGAATATACCTAACCAAGGAGGCTAAAGACCTCTACAAGGAAAACTACAAAACACTGCTGAAAGAAATCACAGATGACACAAACAAATGGAAACACATCCCATGCTCATGGATGGGTAGCATCAATATTGTTAAAATGACCATACTGCCAAAAGCAATTTACAAATTCAACGCAATCCCCATCAAAATACCACCATCATTCTTCACAGAATTAGAAAAAAAATTCTAAAATTCATATGGAACCAAAAAAGAGCCCACATAGCCAAAGCAAGACTAAGTAAAAAGAACAAATCTGGAGGCATCACACTACCTGATTTCAAACTATACTATAAGGCCGTAGTCACCAAAACAGCATGGTACTGGTATAAAAATAGGCACATAGACCAATGGAACAGAATAGAGAACCCAGAAATAAACCCAAATACTTACAGCCAACTGATCTTCAACAAAGCAAACAAAAACATAAAATGGGGAAAAGACCCCCTTTTCAACAAGTGGTGCTGGGATAACTGGCTAGCCAGATGTAGGAGAATGAAACTGGATCCTCATCTCTCGCCTTATACAAAAATCAACTCAAGATGGATTAAGGACTTAAATCTAAGACCTGAAACTATAAAAATTCTAGAAGACAACATTGGAAAAACCCTTCTAGACATTGGCTTAGGCAAGGATTTCATGAACAAGAACCCAAAAGCAAATGCAATAAAAACAGTGATAAACAGCTGGGACTTAATTAAACTAAAGAGCTTTTGCACGGCAAAAGGAACAGTCGGCACAGTAAACAGACAACCCACAGAGTGGGAGAAAATCTTCACAGTCTATACATCTGACAAAGGATTAATATCTAGAATCTACAACAAACAAACAAATCAGTGAGAAAAAAACAAACAATCCCATAAAAAAGTGGGCTAAGGACATGAATAGACAATTCTCAAAAGATGTTATACAAATGGCCAACAAACATATGAAAAAATGCTCAACATCACTAATGATCAGGGAAATGCAAATCAAAACCACAATGTGATGCTACCTTACTCCTGCAAGAATGGCCATAATCAAAAAATCAAAAAACAGTAGATGTTGGCATGGATGTGGTGATCAGGGAACACTTCCACACTGCTGGTAGGAATGTAAACTGGTACAGCCACTATAGAAAACAGTGTGGAGATTCCTTAAATAACTAAAAGTAGAGCTACTATTTGATCCTGCAATCCCACTACTGGGTATCTACCCAGAGGAAAAGAAGTCGTTATACGAAAAAGATACTTGCACATGCATGTTTATAGCAGCACAATTCACAACTGCAAAATCGTGGAACCAACCCAAATGTCCATCAATCAACAAGTGGATAAAGAAACTGTGATTGATATATATAAATAAATATATATATAAATATATATATATATAATGGAATACTACTCAGCCATAAAAAGGAATGAATTAACGACATTTGCAGTGACCTGGATAAGACTGGGGATTATTGTTCTAAGTGAAGTAACTCAGGAATGGAAAATCAAACACCATATGTTCTCACAGATATGTGGGAGCTAAGCTGTGAGGACAAAAAGGCATAAGAATGATACAATGGACTTTGGGGACTTGGGGGGAAGGGTGGGAGGGTGGCAAGGGATAAAAGACTACAAATAGGGTACTGTGTATACTGCTCAGGTGATGAGTACACAAAATCTCACAAATCACCACTAAAGAACTGACTCATGTAACCAAACACCACCTGTACCCCAATAACCTATGGAAAAATAAAAACAAATAAACAGAGAAAAAAAGTGAACTAGACCAATGTTTCCACAAACCTATCCTATAGGCTTTAATCCCAACCAAACTCCAGGTTGATTAAGGACATTCCAAGTCTCAAAGTAATTCCTCTGTACTCAGGCAGGCGAAAAACAAAAACAAGCTCACTGTATCTATTCTGATAGCACCTAATTTGCATCTGCTCCAGAATAATGGTGGTCTCTGATAAATAAGCTGCATTATTCCCCAGGATACCTCAGAAGATAGCAGGTCTTCTGACACCAGGCCTGGGGGCTTCTCTTTATAAACTCAACTTGTCTCCTTCCAAGAGATACAGGACCTCCAGACTGAACTTGCAGACTGAACTTGGGTACCAAGGCTTCTAGAACTTTTTAATTTATAGATAGATAACAATTTACGGAACTGCCAAGGCCTTCCAGGAAGTCTGAATTCTACTCTCCTGGCTACAGATTTACTAACCGTCTATTCCTCTTCCTTATTCATCCCCCTAACCACATCTCTCCTACCTTTAAAATTTCATCAGTACTCTTCTCAGTTTTTGCATAAAACTGTATCCTTTACTCCTATCTAGTTAAACTTTGCTGTTTGATAAACAAGTTATTATTTCTTCCCAAGTAAGTATGTAATAAAATTAGAACTTTAGATAAAAATGTGTTCCCTGTTCACAAATATTTACATTTTAAGCAGTTTTTTTCTGACTAGTATTTACCAGTCTTACATAGCAAGGAAATCATCATTAATAAATGTAACACCATTTCTTAATATTAATGTTAAGCATATTATATTTTCTTAAACATTAAAGGTTGTTAACTAATAGTATCTCATTACTTTACTATGAAAACATTGGTAATTCTGCAAATTCACTGTCCATTTACAATCCATGTGAATTATTTTAGCAGGCACATTAAATTCACAAAAGAATGATAAATATCTGAAAACTGCATATCCTCATTAATCATCAAGGAAATACAAACCAAATCAAGGTGAAACCATTTTTACCTGCAAAGTTGAAACAGTTTTTTTCAATTAGTTGGAAAGGTAATATTCAATACCAGTGACAGTGGTATTAGGTGACAGTGGTGTCTCCCAGGCAGCTTGAGGAAGTGTAAATCAGAAGAAACTTCCTAAAAACAATTTTGTATTTTGTAGAACATTTTCAGAATCTTTAAAAAGAACACTTTACTTCGATAATGTCCTCCTAGGAATCTGACCAAAGAAAACTGTCAGAAATGCTCAGATTTATGTGTATGAATTTCCATCAGAGAATTGTATGTAAGAGGGGCAAACTAGAAGAAACCTAACATGTAATAATCAGAAAATAATTAAAACATTATGTAGCTATTAATACTCATGTACCTCAATAATATTTAATGACACAGGAAAGGCTCATAATGTAATGTTAAATGGGAAAAATCACATAATAATATAAAATGTTTACATTATATAAATGGATAGTGTGCATATACATATATATATGAATATATCCATAAAATAAAATCTAAAAGACCACTAAGATGTTAACAGTGGCTATTCTTGAGACACAGAAGAAATAAAATTTTATTTTTCCATTTTCTGTTCTTACTATTTTTGAATGTTTTATATTAAACATTTATTATTCCTTATACCTATTAGGATGGCTACTCTCAAAAAACAGAAAATAACAAGCATTGGTGAGGATGTGGAGATATTGCAAAGAAACCCTTGAGCACTGCTGATGGAAATACAAAGTGGGCACAACTACTGTGCAAAACAGCATGGGAGGTTCCTCAAAAAATTAAAAGTAGAATTATAATATGATTCAATAATCCTCCTTCTGGGTATATATCCAAAAGAACTGAGAGCGGGGTCTTGGAGAGATATCTACACCCCCACGTCCACAGCAGCATAACGCACAGTAACCAAGAGGGGGAAACAACTCAAGCGTTTATCAGTGGATGAACAGATTTTTAAAGTGTGCACACTCATAGAATGGAATATTATTCAACCTTAAGAAGAAAGAAAATCCTAATATGTGGTCAATGTGACAGGCTGAACTATGTCCCCTCAAAAGCCATATGTTGAAGCCCTAACCTCCAGTATCTACTGTATTTGGAGACAGGGTCCCTAAAGAGGTGTTTAAGTTAAAATTGGGTCATTAGGGTGGGCCCTAACCCAATCTGACTGGTGTCCTTATAAGAGGAGGAAACTGAGACAGACATAGAGGGGCAACAGGGATGCTTGGGCAGAGGAGAAAGGTCACATGAAAAGGCAGCAAGAGGCCATCTGCAGCCAGGGACAGAGGCCTCAGAGAAAACTGGCCACCACCTTGATCATGGAATTCCAGCCTCCAGAATGGTGAGAAGATAAGTTTCTGCTGTCTAAGCCACCCGGTCGGTGGCATTTTGTGAGGGCATCCCTAGCAACTAACGCATACAACACGGATGGGCCTTCAGGATATGATGCTGAGTGAAATAAGCCAGTCACAAAGAGATAAATGCTGTGTGATTCCACTGGCAAGAGGAACCTAGGGTAGTCAAATTCATTGAGACAGAAAGTAGAAGGACGGCCACTAGGGGATGCAGGGAGTGGGAAAACAGCATTTGTTGTTTAATAGATATAATTTCAGTTTTGCAAAATGAAGAGAGATTGGTTGCACAACAATATGAATGTGCTTAACGCTACTGAACTATATACTTAAAAGTAACTGGTTGGGCACAGTGGCTCATGCCTGTAATCTGAGAACTTTGGGAGACCAAGGCAGGTAGACTGCTTGAGCCTGGGAGTTTCAGACCAGCCTGAGCAACATGGCGAAACGCTGACTCTACTAAAAATACAGAATAATTAGCCAGGCATGGTGGTATGTGCCTGTAGTCCCAGCTACTCAGTAGGCTGAGGTGGGAAGATCACCTGAGCCTGAGTGGTCGAGGCTGCAGTGAGCTGAGATCATGCCACTGCACGCCATCCTGGGCGAGAGAGCAAGACTGTCTCAAAATAATAATAATAATAATAATAATAATAATAATGATAAGATGATAAACTTCTTGTTATATATATTTACCACAATTTTTTAAAAGTAGACTTGAGCCTTAAAAATTGTTTCACAATGATACATGTTGACACATTTCATTAATATTTCAGATAAAACACCATGTAATTTTCCTCACTAGCTATCAGTAGCAAAATGACAGTATTCTAGAAGTTTACCTCAATTTTACAATAAGATTTGTCATTAGGGAGTTGCAAAATAAAACAACGAGATACCGCTACACACCTATTGTGATGGCTAAAATCCAAAAAGCTAATGTACAGCTTTTGGGAAAGATGCAGAGCTGGCTGGAATATAAGCAGCTGGATATGGCGGCTTAGGAAGATAGTTTGGCAAGTTCTTAGAAACTAAACATAGTCCCACCATGCAATCCAGCAATCAAGCTCCTAGATATCTACCCAATTAATCTGAAAATGTACGTCCATATAAAAATCTACATGCAAATGTTTATAGAGATTTATTCATAATCACCAAAATCTGAAAGCAATCAAGATGCACTTCAATAGATGAACCATTGGTGGTATATCCATAATGGAATATTATTCAGCAATGAAAAGAAATGAGGTATCAAGTCACAAAAATACACAGATGAATCCTAAATGCATATTGTTAAATGAAAGAGGCCACCCTGTAAAGCTACATATTGGATGATTCCAATTATACGACATGCTGAGAAAAGCTAAATATAGAGTAGTTTCCAGGTTGGGGACAGGAAGGTAGAGAAGGTTGAATGTAGAGTACAGGAGATTTTTTAGGGCAGTGAAACTATTCTGTATGATACTGTAATGATGAATACAAGAAATTAAGCATTGGTCAAAATTCATAGAACTTTATAAACACAAAGAGTAAACCTTAAATCTCATTCAGGAGATTAGGGAAATCCCAGGAAGAAAAGCAGAATGAGATTATACATATGCATTTTAAATGTATTTTAAAAACCTCACTTAACAGTATGAGGAAATAAAATCCTGACCCAAATAATAACTTTAGAAATAAGTGGAGTCTGTAAAAAAAAGACAAAAGGAACTTCATATAAATATCATACTCTAGTTGATAAAGCTGTTTCCCGATGGAAGTACAGGATGATAATGCTGAAACTGCTATACATGCATACTGGAATTAAAGATGTAAGTAAATAGATGGTGAATAATGGAACCAAGATTTCTCAATGTTGAAGTGGGTGGGATTACACATATGCAACGGAAGGAAGTTAGAATGATCCATGTGATAAATGGATTAGAGCTGGAGACATCAGGATGAACTCAGTAGCATATGTATTAGCTTACTATAGATATAGAGGGTTACATATAGAAATGTATACATACACACAGAGAGATTAGTATACACACATGTATTTCCTTGCCCTGTAGCTGAGTGACCCTACACCCAGTAGCAATGAGTACACCTAGCATCCTGATCTTCATTTCTAATAGAACCAGGGCCACTTGGAAAAATGGCTGATTCTAGGACTGGGGCAAAAAATATACAAAATAGGTCTGAGGCACCTTGTAGTGCAGAAAGCAAGAAAATGCTCACAACAACAATAACACAATAATGGGTATGTATCAAAGGGTTACAGGAGGCAATTGAAAGAGTTTCCAGTGGCTAAAGCCAGAGTAATTTGAGCAACACAATAAAGTAGTATTGGCTTATCACCTGAAGTATAAAACAAATATCCATGAGTCCACACGGTAAATAAATAAATGGGGAATAGCTGAATCACCCATGTGGAAGAATTCCAAATAATTTATGTAGATATTCCAAGCTTAAGGAGGTGAAGCATAGCGCTGCACTCTTTAAGAATTACAGCTATATGCAACAACATCAATCTCACAAACATAATATTGAGTGTTACATATTGAAAGTATGTCATATTGAAAGAAGCAACACAGAGAAGAATACCTACTATATAACTCTGTGTCTATAATGTACCAAACAAGTAGACTTATAGTCTTGGAATTCAGCATATAGTTACCTCTAGAGAAAAGGGAAAGGGTAATGATTAGAAGTATGCCTGAGAGAGGCCAGGTATGGTGGCTCACGCCTGTAATCCTAGCACTTTGGGTGGGACAAGGCAGGTGGATTACGAGGTCAGGAGATCAAGACCATCCCAGCCAACATGGTGAAACCCCGTCTCTACTAAAAATACAAAACAAATTAGCCAGGTGTGGTGGCGGGCACCTGTAGTCCCAGCTACTCAGGAGGCTGAGGCAGGAAAATCACTTGAACCCAGGAGGCGGAGGCTGCAGTGAGCCGAGACTGCGCCACTGCACTACAGCCTGGGCAACAGAGTGAGACTCTGTCTCAAAAAAAAAAAAAGTATGCCCAAGAGAGATTCTGGGATTCTAGCTGTGCTCTGTTAAACTTGATCACTGATCTAAGTTCTGTCGAAGTTCTCAAAGTTATAACCAATTCAATGAATTGTGTACCTCACACTGTATACAAACCAACTTCAGTTCAGAAAAAGAAAATATGAACTTAATTTTGATGTAATGAAGATATCTAGTACAATTTTTTTCACATGGTGATCCAATTGACCCACTAATGGTTAAACAGATCATTATTTTCCCACTGCTCCGCGGTGCCAATTTTTGTCAAAAGTTATGTCTTCATATATGCTTGGTTCTGTTCCTGGACTGACTTTTCAATTCCATGTGTATATTTGCCTATCCCTGCATCAACACTGTGTGTCTTAATTACTATAAATTTATAGCTTACTTATCTACCTATTTACTATAAGTAATAAGAAAAATTATTTATTATAAGTAATGAGTAATTACCATAAGTAGTAAGTAATAATTACTATAGATTTAAGTCTTGATGTCAGTAGAGTAAGTCCAACAACCTTATTCTTTTTCAAGATTGGCTTGTTATGCCTTATCCTCTGTACTTTTCATACATGTTTTGGAATCAGCTTGCCAATTTCCACATACAATTTTGTACACAACTGTTGGAAACTAGTTTGGGAGCAAGTACGTCACATCCTTGCATATGCCATACCCATATTTCCTTCCTTGCCAAATCTGGAAGCATGGAGATGGAGTTTCTCTTTGCCTGAGTCCCTGAGTGAGGCCAATGTTGCAAAGAGCCTTCACCCCCATCAACACATTACAAACATACAGGGTTAGCAAGAAATAAACCTCATTATTAAAAAAAATTAAATTATATGGCCCTAAAACTTTAGGTAAGAGGAAGCATTAAAAGAGAAAGATTTGAGATTAACTGTGGATTTATTTTAAATATCTGAGCTATGATAAGCTTATATGCACACATACACTCATAAACACAAATGTGGGATACGTGAATCGTTACTTCTATATGAAACATCTGAGTTACTTGCAACTCTCTGAAATTAACTCAAACCATTTACCAGATGGTAAATTCTGGAGATAAATTTAAAATATGCAAAACAATGCTATCTGACATTTCTATGAAACACAGAGTACCTAATTGTAACTTAACATTTTAATTTTGGGAAGAGGAAACAATATAGAATTTTTATTTCTAATATTAGCTTTGAATGATAATCAATTCTGATTTGCAAAACGGTCTATGTTTTGTTAACAAATCAGCATTTCCCACTTGCTGTTTTTATTGGACAATAAAAGCCATATGGGCTAAGAATTCATCACGATTAATAAAAAAGATGCAAATTCTTATAATACAATGTTCCACATAACTTTATAAGAACCTCTGCAACAGCTTTTGTGTATATCAAATTAAAATTTACTATATAATAAAATTATGTAGTAATAATTTTCAACCTCTAACTAAAGTCATATGATTCTTCAACATTTATCCACTGCTACACCACAGTACATAAATCATGCAGGCTAATTCTCACAATACATATTATATAGGGCACAGAATTATTTTGATTTAATTCTCAATAAGAACCGAAGCAGTAACTTGTTATTTTAGACTGGCAAATCAATAGCAAATGCTTGTTCTAAGATTGGTTATCACTCCAGTCATGCAAGTAGCTTAAAAACTGACATATTAGCATTGACAAAAGGATTGCTCTATTTGTTTTCCAAAGGCTTTCCCGCATGACTCTATACTTAGTTTTATGCCAAAGAAAATCAATCTCTTTATTCAACTTGTCAATCAGAAAACACATGTAGAAACAATTATTTTATTGCAACACATAAAAGTACACTGAATCATATAGGATGAAATAGAAATAAAATGCCAAAGTATTAACATGCCTGTAAACAGAATTAAGACTTAAATGCAAAAATAAAATTAAATATAGAAATTAAACCTAAAGGATAAAAATCAGTTGAATAGACTTACTCCAATCCTCAGTTTTCAAATACACCAATCTCTTTTCATTTCAGAATTTTAAAAACTCATTAGAAGGACTAGCTTCTTCCAACACAATGGAAGTCCATAAAAACCTAATTTTCCCTTTTTTTTTTTAATCTGCAAAAACTAAGCTTTCTAGACAGATGATAATGCTGGCACATTTATATCAGAATATCAATGAAGAAAACATTTCTCTTTACAACAAGGATTTTGAGTGATTCTAAATTACACTTTACATAACAAAGAACCAAGAAATACAGATGCCTGGCTTTTGATCTAGTGCCTATAAAAAGAGCCCCAGAAAGGTCTACATGGAATACCAAGGTAGAAAGCAACATAATACACAAGATCTAATGATCACCTAAGTTCCCCCGGTTCCATCAAGGTCACTCAAGTTCACATGCATGAAGTATTCAATGTCATTCACATTAACTGCCTCATGTAAATTTTCCTTTGTTTTAATGGATGAGTATTGTAGGGCCTGGTTGTAAAATATGAAGTCTGACCTAGGAAAGGAGTCAAATCTTTGTCCCAGTGTCCATTCCCCTGGGGATCCTCATGTCCCCAGACTTCAGCTCCCTGTATCCTCAAGGCCACCAAGGAGGCAGCACACCACTTCACACCACCACATCATAAACAATACACCTGTCCAACCATGGCTCTCTCTGCTATGGCTACAATCAACTGCCTCCATTTAAATTTTAGTCTCTGGGCACCTGTGGAATCACACAGATGCACAAAGTGGCACATGCTTTGAAGACGCTCAGGCCAAGACATAACCTCACTTTACACCAACTCTGTCAAAACAAGGCTGCTTATGAAGCATATTTCACTCAAGTATTAGCATCCTACATGGAGCCTTTTATTATGCTAAAGAAATCGTCACTGACTTAGACAACACTTGTCCCTATCCAAGAATACTGTTGGTGTGCAAGGAGCTTCCAAGGGTGAATAGATCACATTTACTCAACAGGAGTAAGCAGACATCCCAATGATGAACAAAAATGATTGCTGCAGACTATGATGACTAAGGAAGACCATCAAATTCTTATAGCTGAAGCAACCTACTAACTTTTTTGATCAGCCTTAGCGAAGAAGCACATGGGAGCAGACACCACAAAGTATGGTGTAGCAGAAAGAGCATTACTTGGAGTCCACAATACGGGCTTTATTTCCAGCTCTGCCTTTTAGTTTACTTAAGCATTTGAAGAGCAAAAACCTTCTTTTCATCTATATATCCTCAGTACCTAGCAGTGTTTGCAAAACTGTGAACCCTCGATGAGTATTTGTTCAATGAAAGAACAAGAGAATATATAGGATGTATGTGATCTTAAGCACTTAACATCTTTGGGTTTAAGTTTCCAAATCTTTAAAAATGGGGACATAGTAAGGCAATGCATGCCTTTTACACTGGGTTGCTGAAAGAACCAAGCAAACTAGCAGATATGAAAGTTATCTGTTAATCATAAAGTCTGTTACAATAGTACACTGCAAGTAAAGAAGCATTCTTTGAATTGGGGGTGGTGGAAGCAATGAGGCTACTTCAAGGAATATGGCCTTGAAAAGCCCAGATTTCTCCTCTGTCCCTTGAATCCTTTAATCTACCTCTTGGCTTAAAAGGGTGTTCAACTCACTGAGAGAGAAAATTGATATGGTTCTAATCAAAACCAAAAATGTGTGCCAAGTTCTGAAAAATACAGTGCTAAAAAAAAAAAAAAAAAAAAAAAAAACAACTTTCTCAAAGTCTTTCCTGGCAACAGTCACCCTCATGAATTTCCCCACTAACACAATGGCACCACCCTGCTCACAATGTGCCAGCCCTTTCCCAGCCACCCCAGGTCCTTCTACTTAATAATCCTAGCATTGCCCACACGTTACCCTAGCACCCATTAGTATCCTACCAACTTTTCTAAAACCTAACTTCATATAATTACAAATCCATGAAGAAAAGTGGGCGCTTCAATCAACTTACTTTTAGATTTCAGAATAACAGGTAAAATATTTGGGAAAAAATACATTTTATTCCTACCTTGCATTTAAAAAAATGAATTCCAATAAATTAAAGAATAATTATTTTTAAATGAAGCCATTAAAAAACAAGAAAGAAAGGCAGGGGCTGGCATTTCTTAATCATTAAAGCAATGAGAGAGAATGTAAAAAAAATGGACATATTTGATCATGCAATCATATACACATAACCACAAAGTTACAAAATTAAAGATAAACTAGGAAAAAGATATGTGACATATAAGAGAAGGGGCAGTAGTCTCATGATATATATAAAGAGCTCTTACAAATGAAAATGGTTGAAAATCAGAGAAATATGAGTTGGGACATGAGGTGGGGGTGAAGAGGGAGAGAAAGTAGTCAAACAAGTACAAAAGCAGCAGCCTACTCCAAACAGAAAAAAAAAAAAAGAAAAGAAAAAAACAAAAACAAATAAGGAAATACCATTTTTACCTACCAAATAGGCAAAGAACTAAAAAGTGTAACCCTCAATAACCTACAGACAGCTGTGCAGAGCGGCAGGAGGTCTCATGCGCTCCTGGTGACAGCCAAACAGGTAAAATCCTTCTGGAGGGAAACTTGGCAATATATCAAAAGCGTTCTGAAAGCTCACGTCCTCTAATCAGTAATTCTATTGTTAAAAACTGTTACTAAGAAAATTAACAGCAATGTGTGCAATGATTTCTGCACAAGAATGTTCACCATAGCACATGTTCATGTAACAGCCAAAATATTAGAAGAAAAAAATCTCAAGGTCCAAGAATAAACAAGTTATGGTATATTTATGTAATGTAGTTTACAAATGTGTTTTCAAGAAAAATATGGTATTTAATAATAGATGTTTACAATACTAGTGAAAATGTAAGATTCAAAACTATACAGGGTATGATCTGAACATGTGTGAAAGGCCCAAATAGGAATACACATATTTTATACATACATGTATGGGGGGTATATTTATTTCATATATATTTATTTATTTATATATAAATATATATTTATATTTTATATATTATTTATATATAAATATATATTTATATTTTATATATTATTTATATATAAATATATATTTATATTTTATATATTATTTATATATAAATATATATTTATATTTTATATATTATTTATATATAAATATATATTTATATTTTATATATTATTTATATATAAATATATATTTATATTTTATATATTATTTATATATAAATATATATTTATATTTTATATATTATTTATATATAAATATATATTTATATTTTATATATTATATATTTATATATTATATATATTTATATTAATTTGTGTATAATATATATTATTAAATATAATAAATATATTTATTTTTATATATTATATAAAAATATATAATATATAAAATATATAAAAATTAATCTATATCTATTTACAAATAAACATATATAATATATAAATATATGTGGGTGTGTATATATATATATCAGCGAGAAGGTCAAGGACAGTAGTCTCAACTTCAACCTTGAGTGTTTTTGTGTTTTTAATTTTGTTTTGGAATTATTGGATTTGGATCTCTGCAGACTCTGAAATGACGATGGGTAAAAGAAAACTTTTCAAGGTCAATTATTATTTCAAATTAGAAAACTCTAGGCTTTATTTCTTTGTACCTGGGAAGTCCTCATCAAGCCATTAAGGGAAGAGGAGAGGGTGAAGACACTGCAGCCATCAGTCCCCTGCAATGAAGTCTAAGACAGAAGGATCTGCAGGAGACGCCCAAGGACACCTCAGCTGGGCTGGCACATCTAAGCCCCGCCCGCTTCCCCACCACTCTAAGCGCTAAAGTCGCTGTCTGGTCTTACTCCCGCAGATTAAAACCACATGAGCCACCTGGACCCCAACCCCATTCACTTTGGGATTCCAGCCTTCCAGCAACAATCAAGTTGTCTTATATTTTCCTCAAATTAAAAAAAAAAAAGGGCTCATTTATAAAAAAGAGAAGGGCTGCTCTGATCAAAAAGTGTTTTACAGAAAGACAAAGAGTAAACAATCTCAACCATTTTGTGAGCTAATAACACAAAGAGAGCTTTGATTTTATTTCTCATATATTTTATAAACACAGGAGAGGGTGGGTAAAAGACATCATGTGGCTTGCAGTTGAGGGGACAGAGGCTGGGCACGGGTCCAAAATCTCCCCATGATGTTACCTGTGACACATACATGCACAAAAAGTCTGCCACATAACGAAGCATTTAAATAATTTAATTTGTATCTAAGGGTCATGGGACTATGCAGCATATTTATTTTCTTCTTCTTCTTCTTTTTTTTTTTTTTAGACAGAGCCTCGCTCTTGTTGCCCAGGCTGGAGTGCAATGGCGTTATCTCAGCTCACTGCAACCTCCGCCACCGGGTTCAAGCGATTCTCCTGCCTCAGCCTCCCAAGTAGCTGGGATTACAGGTGCCCACGACCACGCCCGGCTAATTTTTTGTATTTTTAGTAGAGACGGGGTTTCACCATGTTGGCCAGGCTGGTCTTGAACTCCTGACATCAGGTGATCCACCTGCCTTGGCCTCCCAAAGTGCTGAGACTACAGGTGTGACCCACCATGCCCAGCCTATTTTCTTCTTTATAGTTTTTCTACTTTTGAATTTTTCTGAAATTAATTGTTTTACTTTTATAATGAGAAAAAGGTCAGCAGTGTCTAAAATTTTTGTAGTTAAGTGAAATACCAACTTCACTATATCTCTTTCATCCTCAAAAATCTACAATGGCTTCCCCAATAGCTATCTTATCGAATTCACAGTCCTTCAAGTGTTTTCTACCAGACCTGATGTCCAGAATTTTGGCATAACATAAAAGGTCCCCTTGGGCAGCGCACAGTGGCTCTGGCCTATAGACTCAGGGCTTTAGGAGACCTAGACAGGAGGATTGCTTGAGCCTAGGTGGTCGAGATCAACCTGGGCAACACAGTGAGACCCCATCTTTACAAAAATTAAAAAACTAGCCAGGTGTGGTGGCTTGTGCCTCTAGTGTCTGCTACTTGCGAGGCTGAGGCAAGAAGATCACTTGAGCCCAGGAGTCAAGGCTGCAATGAGCTATGATGGCACCACTGCACTCTAGCCTGGAAGGCAAAGGGAGAACTCCTCTCTAAAAAAAAACAAAAAGGCCCTCCCCCATGGCCAATGACCTAGCCTGTCTCCCTTATTAGCTCTACCCGTTAATCTTCTGCGTGGGTCCATATTCTTGATGTCCGGGCTGGCTCCCTAATGGGTCATGTTCCTTTACATCCATATGCCTTCGCTCACTTTCTAACTTTGTTTGAACTTCCTCTTCTCCCCACCACATCCCACTTACTGGCTGGCTCTGGTGAAAGTTCCCCTCCTCTTGGAAACAGTCCCTGAGGTGATTGCCTGTCGCTTCCTCCTTGTTCCAGGCACCTTGTGCTCACATTCAGTACAGACTAATTTTCCATTGTTCTCTCTAGGACAGGAACTCCTCTTTGCTGTCCCCAGCACAGAGCTCAATGACTAGCCTCAGTGGATAAATGTCTGTCAAATTGTGTTTTCATCTTAATCATTCTTTCTTATAAATTTCCAATGCAGATTCACTACCTCAGCCTTGCAATCATCTGCCTCAGCATTAAGAAGGACTGCAAAACCCAGTAACAGCATGTGCCATGCTTCCTCACTGGAATTTCATCAACCTAAATGACCCATACCTTTGCCCCCTTTTCACGACCCTCCACGCTCTTGTCACAAGAAGCCTCCCCTCCCAGTGTTATTAAGTAATATGACGATTATTGCTTACAACCTACCCTGTTAGACTGCAATCTCCTTCATGAAAGAAAATGTGACATATTATCTGGAATTCCATCTCTCCTGAGTCCCTATACAGTGTTCCACCCAAAGAAAGACCTCCAACCCAATGACTGCAGCACTACTTTGCTCCAGGAAAGAGTTCCAACCAGCTGAGATACAATTATTTTACTAATTTGGCCAATATACATCATTGAGTTTCAAACATTCCAAATGTTCCTGGAGACCATCCTCTTCTCAGTTAAGAGGCAGAGGGAAAACAAGATCATGAATCCCTTTTCTAATCATGAGCAATAAGAGAAACAAAAATGTCCTGGTTTTATCAGTTACATCAGAGGACCACCATGAATCCCTGATGAGAGCAGGATGTTGAAGGAGCGACCAGGGCTGATGTCAGGTCGCCTGCCTATGAGAGCAAGGCAGAACCAGGGCTCTGGCACACCTGCTTTGTTCCCCTGCTACCGACAGGCTTGCTATTTCTTTCAAAGATTTTCTCATGGACCATCACAAGTGAAAGCAGTGTTAGAAAACAGCTTCAGGGCTTGGGGAGGCAGCGTTGTTTTAGACTGGCTGGAAAGTCATGCTGAGCAGCAAGAGGACAGATCTCTTTTAGAGGAGACAGCCCCACCTGGCTGCACCCTCCAAGGAGGCCACAGGGCATATCATCCAGGTGGGTCAGGTGGCACTGGGGCTCACAGTCAAGCCATCATCAGGTTACTGCCTCTGTTTCATCACTGTGAAAGTTAAGCCATGATCCAGGTCTCTGGGTCTTCCTGAGCAAGTCAATGCAGAGCCAAAGCCTGTGCACAAATGAATAACCTCACAAGGATGAGAGCTGTGTGTGATTGATGGCTCTACACAAACCATCTCAGCAAAGGAGTTCAGTAAGAGCCTTGTGAGCATATGACACTCTCCAGCTCTACTAAAGTGATAGATGGGTTCACACGGAAGCTACTAAATGGGCCTCATTGCAAAGGCATGGCTTCAACCATAGCTGGACTTCAGGGAGCACAGTGTTTTCAACATATACCTTGGAAAATTCCTCACTCATAAGTAAAGATTACATATGCAGGGGCCCAGTGAATGCTTGCCTAAAAGACAGTGTAATGCTAAGCAAAATAGTCTGTTAATAGGAAAAGAAATATCATGATTTTAATTCTGGAGTGCTAAGTCGCCTAATCTTCAATGTTCTGTGTTCAGATGACAGGCAGGAAGCTGAGCTAGAGTTTATGCTTGTCCAATTAATCAAATAACCTCCATGCCACTTATCCTTGGAACTGGCATTAGAAAAGCCCCCACGTGCCCCCAAATCATATAAATTTCACAGTTTCCTAGTCATTAAATCCAGGTTGGCCTAATGCTGACGTGTCATATTTTGACATGTAGCCACAGGGGATATACAGTCAAAATTAAGAGGAGACCCTGAGCTAAAACTGGCATGCCCTACTCGGAGGAACAATTTATGCCCACACATAGATAAAACTGCATGTATCTTCTCCAAATGATGAATATTAAACTGTTAGAAACATAGGGAGATATAATTCATTGACTCATTTTGCATAAAACATTTCTTTTAGCTTTCAACCAAACATATAGAAGGGATATTTGCATCATCACAAGTACACAGGCTATTATTACATGTAATTACATGCAGACTTTCAATACTACTATCACAATGGTATTTATTGAATAAACCTGCAGCATTAATAAAATCATATTTTCCCTGGCTTTAAACCCTACATGGCTTCCCCATGCACTTACTATAAACGTTTATCCAACCCCTCACATCGCCTCCAAGGCTCTCTGAGCCCATCTCTACCACCCCCACACCATCCCAACCTCTCCAGCCCCCGGCCCGGCCCCACCATCACTCATTCTGCCCTGCCACACTGGCCTTCTTCCTTTGTTCTTTGTCTCTTGAACAAGCTAAGAGAAAGGCCCTTGTCCCCGCTGTTTTCTTTGTTTGAAAGGCTTTCTCCCGAAACCTCCGTGCAGTAGTTAACTCTCCGATCTCAGGTCAAATGTCACCCCACAGAGGGCCCTCCGCAGCCACCCCAGCGAGTGCTGCCTTTCACCTGCAATCACCATTATGCGCCCCGCACTCACTTCATTTTCTCTAGAGCATAAGTATATTCCAATCTGAAATATATTGTTTTTTTTCTGATTATCCGGACCACAAATATATAAGCTCCAATAAGAAAGTAGTTTGCTTCCACTACAGGGTCTAGAACTGTGTCTGACACACAATAGATCCACCACAAGCATTTGTTACACAGATGAATGCTGTGCTAGAAGGTGGATAAAGCAAGTTACAGACATGGCAGCCTACCCACTGGGTGCTAATGATTGAGAAACAAGTGGACAAATAGCCAAGAAACACAGAAAAAAAAATTTAGCAGCTGCATACTTAATTATGATTAAGTAATCAAAGTTAGTTGAACATATCAAACGTGAATAAATTATTAAGTCAAGACATGTCATATGGAAATGCTAATGACCTAGGCTGGGAAAGCTCTCTGAGGTTTGAGAATGAGGAACTTTATGAAGTTTCTAACATGGTCCCTGCTATGGCACCTAACTGCCTAGAACATCAGAGTTGCTTAATAAATACTGCTGAATTTTGCAATTCTTAAACTAAGAAAATGTTAAAATATTATTTTAGCTTTCTTAGTGAATATTTTTAAAGACCACTTGTCTATAATTCGTACTGATGTTTTTCTCGGCATAAATACCAGATATATGAGTATGAAACTTAAATAGTAGAAAAATCATCCATGGATGCAGGTAAGACACAACCCAGAAGAATTTTTTTTTTTTTAAACACAGAGAATTTTTTTTTAGCCTGACAAATTTCAAAGAGGCTTTGCAAGTGCAAACAGACTTCAGCTTTTTCACATTCCTATGCCCAGAAACTGGGACGTGAAAATGCCAGGAACCCTTTCAATAACTAGACTATGTGATAGATGCAGGAGAAACTCTCCAACCACCAAGATTACTCCTATGGAGCTGCCAAAGAACCAGATGCTTCCTTCAAAAGCATATCAATTTGGCGGTGAAAAACCCTGTGGCCTCAGCTCCAGTCGGGAAGGGCAGGTGGGATGGCATGGTGCAGGATGCCTGTTCCCACTTGCCTCAGCAACCATCTTCTTCTGACAGCAAAACTGTGTTACTCCCAGGCTTGAAGGCATGAGCAAAATACATGGCTTTGCTATATATAAGGACGGGACTTGGAAATATTTGGTCTGAGGCCATGCAAAATGAATTCCATACATGGGGAGACTGTAATATCGAAAAAGATGAAAATAGTTTCACTGCACTTGAAATTTTTATCTTCAAAGAAATTGAACATAGATGAAGGAAAAAATAGCTGCATTTAAAAAAAAAGTTTCATAATGCAGGACGTTAGAAAATAAAACTTTTTTTAACCAATACATATAACAAAGAGCAATTGTTTTTATGACTGCCATCTACCAAACCATCAACTGTGAAATCTTTCTCTTTAATCACGAGTTTTTAAAGGCTCTATTCATGTGCATCCATTTTCACAAACTCTTGTGAAACTAGCATGACCTGGCTTGAAATAATAAACCCAAAGGGTTTCTGTTGTAGTTGTTGTTGAGGCATTAGTGTTTTTATTTTTTTAAGAAAGCCAGGACTTCATTTCTGCATATGAAGCTCCTCGTGGTGTTCATCCTCACTTAAATTTGCAGCCAAAATTATTTTTTCAGTCTCTTTAACCCTGGTGGGCCCCCTGAGAGCATGTGTGTTCTGGGCTTTTGTAATTAGGCAGCTTGCACCTGAGCGTCTCCATCTCTAGTAATTAGAGCTCACCGCGGCAGTTTCCTTCCCAGCCGATCTGGCCATGGGGCCAGGAATGAACACATGGAGGAGTGATGAGGGTGGTGTGCGGCTGTCTTGACCTCTTCTGCACCTTACCCTACTTCAGGATGGCAGGGTTCTCAGTTACACCAGGGGTGCCTGAAAGGCAGGACCCGCATCCTCCATTCTACCCTCTCAGCACCGAGCAGGATCCCCTCTCGTGGAAAACAGCTCACCCCGTGTATTCATGCACAGCTATGTATTTTGAGGGAAGTGGCTCTTTCTGTTTTCATCTGTCACTGTCCACTAAGATACAAATAAAGAGAAAACCTCTGCATCTCTAAATGAAAACACTGAACGTATTCAGAATAGCTCCGTTTCACAACCCCCTTCCATCTATCTACCCAAGTCATAGAGTGCAATGAACCTCAATGTCTTTTTTTCAAGCTGTTTTTCATTCTAAACACCTAAGTTGACTTTCCTGTCCCACTGCAGTAGCCAACAGCTAAAAATAAAATGAATTTCCCTGGGCAATATATAGAAAGGCATACTCTCTCACTTTTTTCCTTCGTGGGCTAGACAGATGCTTGCTGGTTCACTTGCCAATAATGATCGACCTGGCACTCGACTGAGCCTTCAAAACACTAAACATATCAAAGGCCCCAGGTTAACCTCTGAGATTTACTTTGGAGTAATTAATAGGTTTATAGTCCTTAAAATAATCTATGGATGTGCCAAAGAAAACTGTACAACAGTACTGTCCGTTTAGAGGCCCCATCAAACATGGGGGATGTCTGATGGGGCCTCGAAATGGACAGTACTATTTCTAAACCTGGGGGATACTCCACAGCAGCCTCGCTGTCCAGCAAGTCAGACCATCACGTCAAGCAGACATGAAGAGAGAGATGGGAACAAGCTAGGGGGATGTGGACAAGACGGCAATCTGCTTTGGGAAGAAGAGCATCAGCCCACAGCATCTTTTTTAATCTTTCCAACAGAGGCTCCAAAGCACCTCCTCAGCCCAACCAGCCTCCCTGATGAAACTCAGGGCTGTGGCTGGTCAGGAAGAGAAATGAAAGGAAGGGGAGGGGGACTGGCCATGGCAACAGAGGTGGGGAAGGGGAGGAGGGTGAGGAGCTGGCCGTTTTCCTTATCAAGTGGTCAGTGGTAGAGAAGACGGTGAGGTCACTCAGAAGACAACTGAGCTAGGGAGCAGCTGAGTGCCGCAGTTACTACCCGCCAGCAACAGTCGCATGTTCACCGGCGCTCTTTTCTTCTCGTTCTGCCTCTAAGAGGCACAGAAAACAGACAAGCAACTGCAGACTAATGTACTTCTTAATAAGAACAGCAGCTCCCGTGACTGCGTTCTCACCCTATGTCAGATACTCTGCTAAGAACTGCCTTATGTCTTCCCCTTTAAGGCTATCAATGAATATTTATTATTTTAAGTGAGGGCTTTCAAAAATACAGTTGATCCTTCAACAACATGGATTTTAAAAACTGCATGGGTCCACTTATTGTAGGTTTTTTTTTTTTTTGATAAAAGTTACAGCAAATGTGCCTGCCTCTCCTGCCTCCCTTTCCCCTCCCTCCACCTTTCCCACCTCTGCCAGTCCTGAGACAGCAAGCCCAACCCTTCTTCTTCCTCTTCAGCCAGTATACTCCACAGGAAGATGGAAAGAATGAAGACCTTTATGATGACCCACTTCCACTTAATGAATAGTAAACATATTTTCTCTTGCTTATGGTTTTCTTAATAACATTTTCTTTTCTCTAGCTTATTGTAAGAATAATATCTATCATATATTAACAGTACATATAATACATGTAACATACAAAATGCATGTTAATCAACTGTTTATGTTATCAGTAGGGGTTCCAGTCAACATTAAGCTATTCATAGTTGAGCCTTTGGGAAGTCAAAAGTTATATGTGAATTTTTGACTGCATGAGGGTTGGCACCTCTAACCCCAGAGCTGTTCAAGGGTCAACAGCACACACTCCTGAGTTCCAAGAATAGTCTACCACTTGCTGATCACATGATCTAAGGCAAGTAACTCAACCTTCAAAAGAAAACCTTTCTTGATCTGTAAAACAGGAATAACAGAATTAACAATGCATGTAAGGCATGTACTTAGCTGGTGCAGACAATGATTCTGATAACAGCTAATGTTTACATTATCCTATACCTACTCTATAGTGCTCACACACAAACAGAATGAGGCACAAGAGAGGCCCAGTAATGTGTCCAGCCCCACAGCTAGTCAGCGGTAACATCAGGATTCCAACCTATAAGTCTGGTACCAGAGTCCATGTTCTTAAACCATTAATCTACGATGCCTCTCAAGTAAATAGTCAATAAGTGGTAGGTGTGAGGCTGTAGGAAAAAGAGGAGACGAAGGGACAGGAAAGCAGTCCTCATTGGAAAACTAGGTTTCGACTGGCACTGTTGGACTGGGCTGCAGTTTAGGTCCTCCCACTGCTGAGTTCCCTCACTTCATCTCCTGGTGCTTCTGGTTTCCCATTTATAAAATGCAAGGGAAGGATTCTATTTATGTCACAAGGTGCATCTAAGGAGTAAAAAGTCACGTCATGTTTGACCAATGTTAGTCAGATCAAGATTTATTTTAGATAAATTATCTGTTAGTTTTAATTACCATGACTCAGTTTTTATGTTCACTTTTTGGTCAAAGCTAAATAAAATATATAAATATATAAAATCTGGGCTCCAACCAGACTCCCACACACTCTCAGCCAGGCATCTTGAGCAGGTACCGTCCCTCTTGTCCAATGGCTGTGTAAAAGTGAGGGCAGGAATCCGCCTTGACAAAGAAAGTTCAACCGTCTAAACTCAGTGGATTTGAAACTATTTCAGAATAGGATTTCTCAGAATGAAAACAAATCTATGACTCCTCTTAACAGCCAAAAAAAAAAAAATCTTGAAATAATGACTTTAAGAGTAAGACTTTAAAAATACAGATCTACACTTTCCACTGTAACAGCCACTAACCACATATGGCATTTAAATGTAAATTAATTAAAATTAAGTTAAATGCTAAGCTCAGTTTCTTGGTCCCGACGGCCACGTGGAGCCAATGGCACCCGTGCTGGATGGCTCGGATCTAGGGCCTCTCCACCGTCGCTGAAGGCGCTCTTGAGCAGTGCTGAGCCACATGCTACGTGGACAAGTCAATTTTCCTTTAACATGTGCCCAATGTACTTTATTTAAAACACTGAACTTCTTATAATATTTGTCACTCCTACATTATTCCATTATTTATGTAGTCCTTCCCTTTGTTCCTTGGCTCTGTCATAGTGGTGACAGAAGGTGAATGCAATTACTGATTTACTTTTCTATCTCCCCAAGGAGACGGTGAGTTCCAGAACTCGGTAAATGCTGAGTCTTACAATTCTCAAAGGCACAACACAGACCCCGTCCTTATTACATTACCATCCTACACCACGAGGATAAACTCCAGACAATCTGAATACAACTTGAAAACATTTTTAATTACTCAAAAAATAATCCGTAGTATATATTCTCAACAATTTTTTTAAACAAGATACAGTTGGAGTGATTAAAATCTTGAGTTAAAAAAAGTCAGCGATTAGCTCTAAGCCAATGTTTAGGCAATGCAGTAATGCTTAAGTTCTTTATTCAACCATTAGTATACTGATGAAATTCTCTGTAAGGAGTAAAACATCATGTCCTCTGTGACAAATTAAGCTACAAAGCTGTTTCCTCTGTTCTCTGCTTTCTAGCTTGTATTAACTAGTGCCATAAAAGAAAGCCTTTAAGATAATATTTATTTGCAGAAACAAACACTGATTCAAGGCACTTAGAAGCACATATGTGCAATGAGGGGAACACTTGAGGGAATCCTAATATTTTATCATGTCCTGGATATTACTGCCGTTGTACCTGCATATCTCCATACTCATCCCACTCTCGATATTTCATGTCAAGCTCTACTCCCAACCAAAGACGTTCTGGTGTTATACCTGCAGATTACCCACAATAATGGCACCAGTAAATATCACGTCTCACCCTTTGTCAGAACTGTCTAAGATTACATAAACATGACATATTTTAAGAAGGAATGCATCCCTGTTGTTTACAATGTAACAAAGATAATGCCGTGACAAATATCCTAAGCTATAAATAAAGACATTTACCATTGTACTGCACTTACTCATCTCTGGGTTGAACAAATGTTAATTATAGAGAATTTGAAAATGGGACTTGTTAATGCCATTTTTAATTTAGCATGTTACAGTGTAAATGTTTTCCATTGTGTTAATTTACACCTGTTATCACAAGCTTCATTATTAGGTTTATAGTGGAGCAGCTCTCCGTGACTCTGAAATTTGCTTAAAATGGCAGAAACAATTACTAATTAGAAGGGCATGTTTACTTTAATTATATTTATTTCCTAGTCTAGTTTTACATGTAATGTACTATGGAAGTGTATGATTTAATTAGTGAAACCCATTTATGAAGAGCAATTTCTCAAATGAGTACTGCTTACAAAATACAACAGATTCTTTCAGTGTTTCGTAAATTCCTTGGGTGATATTTCTACAGAGAGATATCCACATGGAAATCTTTCACTCATGAGTTCAGAGCATTTCCCGTTTTTGTTCCAAATACTGCAATAATTACCAGTAACAAGAATTCAGCTCTAGAAATTTTTAATGCAAATCTTAATATATGGTGTGCAAAATGTAGAAATGTATGAGTATAATCTTTAAAAATCTATAACCAAAATTAACATGGGATTTCTTTATTGATGTTCACGCTCACAAATTTCAAATCCTATTTTATCAAATCCTACTGACAGTCACACTCACAAATTTAAAAATCCCACCTTAATATATAAAAAGCAAATTCGGTTTTTTAAAATAAAAAAGACATGGCTTTTTTCCTCTCTGAAGTCATTTCTCTGGCTTCCAAAGCACAACTGCCTTTTGTTTTTGTCAAATATTGAGGCACAGTAACTACCAATGAAATAACCAATTCAGGCAAAGATCATTCTGCGAAAGACTACGGGGAATGGGATATTCACCTGGTCTCAAAAGATCACCCCACAGGCTCCTTAATCACAAAAGGAAGAAAGAACCTTATAGCACAGAGAAATCTGGTGGCCACAGCCTTATTCATGTGACCATACATCCCACCAAAGGGATAGTGTGACACCGTGTACTTCCTGTGGTGCCACAGGGGAAGGCCACTCTGTCTTGATGGGATATTCTCGCATCTTATAGGAGGAAACAATTGGAACTGGGGGACATTCCGCAAGACCTAGCCTGGACTTTTCAAGATGCTACATGTCACAAAAGACTTTGAAAAAGCTGGAAGACTATTATAGATTCAAAATGAGGCTAATGAGATGTGACAACTAAACATAATGTGTGATCTCTGGCTAGATTTCGGACTTTAGAAAATAACGGCCATAAGAAAAATTACTAAGACAATTAAGGAAATCTGAATATAAACTGTGCACTAGATATTATTATATTCAGGTTAAAGTGTCCTGAGTTACACTAGAAATGTTTAGGGATTAACTGTAGTGACCTCAAAGAGTCTTTCAAATGTTCAGAAAACAAAGTGAGAGCTATCAAGAGAATGTGGCAGAATGGCTAGTGAATGTGGGTGATGAGTATTCGCCCATCTCCATGACACCATTTTTTAAACTTTTCTATATACTTGAAATTTTAAAAAATCACAGTTGGGAAAATATAAATAATCCAATGGGCAGAGTGGGAGGTCAAACTAGGAGTACTCCTCATACAACATCTTACACCCCAAACTTCAAGAAACATTACTGCCCTATTCTGAATGTAAGCTTTCTAGCATTAATGTTAAACCCATTAAAATGGCAGTTACTCGGCCAGGCGTAGTGGCTCACGCCTGTAATCCCAGCACTTTGAGAGGCTGAGGTGGACAAACCACGAGGTCAGGAGTTCAAGACCAGCCTGGCCAACATGGTGAAACCCTGTCTCTACTAAAAATACAAAAATTAGCCAGGCATGGTGGCATGCGCCTGTAGTCCCAGCTACTTAGGAGGCTGAGACAAGAGAATTGCTTGAACCAGGGGTGAGCCGAGATCACACCACTGCACTCCAGCCTGGGTGACAGAGCAAGACTTCATCTCGGGGGGGAAAAAAAGGCAGTTATGCTTGCAAATGGCTTCACGGTTGTCTCTCAAAATATTTAGTCACAACATTCCCATGAAGCACATTCTTCACATTGTCACATAAACATTCTTATGTTTTATTTTACTTTTTATTTTTGGGATAGGGTCTTGCTCTGTCACCCAGGCTAGAGTGCAGTGGCACGATCATAGCTCACTGAAGTCTTGATCATAGCTCACTGCCGTCTTGCAGTTCAAGACTCCTGGATCGAATATTCTTGTTTTTAGATCCCAGAAAGAATCCATGCCACAGAGCAGCCAAGATGTTTCTTGTATAAAGACTCATGCATCTTGCCAGCTTAGGTGAGAGTTCCTGTACTTGCTGTCTAGAAAAGATGTAACTGCAGAGTGTGTTTCAATTTTAAGATCCTTACTATAAGGTCCACTACACAGCACTGTGCACAAGTGTGCAAAAACACACTTTCTTAAAGGAAAGTAAACGTCAGTGCACGTAGGATTTTGTCTGACCGAGAGAAATCCCCAAGCACCCTAAAGGGCAGATCATTACCCCCTCATCTCCCAGCAGTCCCTGCTTCACATTTCCACACTGCCCCTGCAGATGCAGATGGGCTTGACTGATGCACCAATTTCCATGCAGGAGCTGATGCTGACAACCTCTTCTGGGGATGCTGCTATTGACTAATGTGGAGTAACAGCCAACAAGGGAACAGTCCCGCGGAAAGAAGACCTGCCAGAAGAATGCCACATTCCAGGTTCCCTGTCTCCCATCCTCTCCTACCCAGACAGAGAAACTGCCCAACATGCTCTCCGCTAATCCTTGTGACTGACACAAAGCTTTCCAGCAACCTATGTCGTTTTTAGAAATGCTGGGGAAGTTATTTACAAGAGTCCTGATTTCTCCCCACGGCAAAGCCCATTTCTTCCACCTCAAATAGTCATTCAGGTAGTCTTCTTTAAATGTGGTTATCCTGCCGGTTAGGGCAGACATCAAGCCCCTTTGTTTAAATGCGCACCCACTCCCACCCCAGCCCTGGATGAAACCCCTGGGGTAGACCAGCCCTAATAAGGGAGGTAAAAAGTATTTTGAAAGAGAGCTGGAGAATACGAGCTGAGCCCACGCAACGGCTCCCAGGAAGATGTCGAGGGGCTTCCATGAAGAACTAGTTAAGGCGGGAGCTGATCTGCAGATAAATCAGCAGCTCAGCAGCTTTCAACTCAGTCTTCAAACATACTGCTCTTGCAATGTTCTGAGGCTGAAAATAGATATTCTGTCTCCAGAAAAGGAAGAATTAGGATGAGGCCAAGCTTGTTAGGAGAAACAAGAGAAGCTGGTATTGAACCTGATTAGACAGGAGCATCTTGCTAGTCCCCTTTCCCAAGCTGTAAAAAGTTAAGATGAAAAAAACCAGCATGGCTCACATTTCTTATCTACTGTTAATATAGAGTTTAAATTAAAACTCAGGGGGTCTCTACATGGACAGATGACTTGTAAGTGTCCGCCTCTGTGTGTTCACAGATGTACAACATACACTGTGTGTGTGTGTTTCAAGAAGGGACAGCCCAGATAAAGGGAGGTTACTGAAGCAGGCTAAGTTTCAGCAAAATGTAACCTTCACCTTAGAAACCAGGAACCAGAGTAATTAGATTACAATCTTTCCAACACTATGGGAGAGATTTGATCAATTAAAGCCAAGATCAGTTACATTATTTGGTTTACCTAAGTAATGGACCCTTAAATGCAATCAATACTTCTCTAGGCTGTGAGTCTTCAAGACCTGAGATGCATTCAAAAAACACAAATGGATTTTCAAAGGGCCTCGGGATGTTCATCACAGGCTGAGGAGGAGGACTGCAGAGGGTGGGGGGCAGAAGGAAACAGACAACAGACCTGAGCTTGCTGTATGAAGTCTTCATTTCCTTCCCTCACTGATGTGCTGCTTTCATGTTCATTTTGTAGTTCATGTATGAATTAAATTTGTTTTACCAAAGAACCTTAATCTAGGGATGAGCAGCCATGTCACTCAATTCATTTTAAAATTGCAGCATTAAAACTCATTTAATAGGATAAAGAATACGATTAAGATTTCTATTTGTGTTTCTGAAAATCCACAAAACTTACATTGGGAAGTTACGAAGAAAAAGGCAGAAGTAGCTCTAGATCTTCTACCTCGTCCCCCATGCCATCCCTTCCACAACATGGATTTAGGGAAGGACAATGACCCAGTATGCTTGGGACCCAGGGCCATGACCCAGTATGCTTGGGACCTACCTGGAGCTGACCATATCCTGCCTTCTAGAACTACCCTGGCTTAGAGTGGATCCATAACAGTCCCGTGTTAACAGCAAACTTTCACACCACCTATACTCCTTGTCCCCACTCTATGTGCAGGGTCTGTCTCCAGTCCTCCCTTACCCAGACAGAGGAACTGCTCCACAGGAACCCAGGAAATGCTCCTGGGTTTAGAGATTGTGATTCAACTTGGTGGGTCCATTTGCCAAATCATACTGTTTTAAAGCCTAAAAATAATGTATCTGTATGTCCAGATAGAACACTGCCCAGGCCACTCTCAGTCCATTCACTAATGAGGACTCCTGCAGGGGCAGGGCAGGACAGGGCGCTGCACCTGCTCACATTTCCTCCAGCCGCCTTCCCCAGTACGAGCTTGAGCATGCGCACCTGCAACATGTGAGGCTCTTATCAGTGATTTTGTTTAACACACTTGTAATAATTAGAAAGTGAAGCAACTAATTCCTGACTTCCCCAAGAGCAGGGCTTCTGTTAAAAGGTGTGGGGAAATGTGACAAGAGGGGAAGTGGAGAGGGGGAAATTGATCCTGAGAGTTTACTCTGCATAGCTTTGAAGTCTCTGCAGTAATGATGAAGACAAGCTAAGGTAATCTAAAACAACAGGTAATCAAAAAGTCATTTATGTTTACCTTTTATCATCAATTATCTTCCTCTTGGCAGCAGTTGAAAAATTATGTTTTACTCAAAAGTCAGGCTGTTGACTTTATTTATACAACACTTGAACTGTGTTGGGTGTCAGCGTGTTAGCCACTGTGGAATTTCAAATTCTGCTGTTTGACAGTACCCGAGAGTTGACTCTGAGAGTGGTCTTCTAATAACTGTATTCTTGGTTCCTAAAATGAGATGTTTTAGCTCAGTGCCAAGAGTGTGAAAACACATGGGGGCATTACATTAGAAACCTGGGACCTGTCAATTAATATCATTTTCCTCCAACATGAAGAAAATACATCCAGAGCTCAGTCTTCTCATTTATGGAATGGGGATAATAATGTGTAGCTTGCCTTTCATAGTTGTCTTTTAGACCAGGAAAGATAATGTATAAGAAGCACCTAGAATCATCTTTGACATGGGGTGGGAGCACAGCCTATTATGATGAGACATATCCCTGAAAAAGAGTCCCTTTGAGTGTCTTCGTCTTTCCGGCTGAATCATCTGCTGATTCAAGAAGAGGAGGCCATATGCAGACAGCACAAAGGGAACTCCCCCATGGAGCTTCAGATGGTAGCCCTGCACTCACTTAATTATTCACGCCAGCATGAAATCTGCCTGACATCCCTCTTCCTCATCCTCTTGACAGCAACAGCATTAAAGGATTAAGTAGTATTTGGGGCTCTGAAGGGGCCTGAAGAGTGTTTGTGTACAAAAGGAAGAGCTCACAATCCAAGTACATAAGACAGCGGACATCACTTGGGTTTACATTGACCTCCTCTGTATCTAGGCAATGGTCTCTTCAAAATCAAGCACCACACCCCCAATGGCTGCAGTTCTCCATCCTGGTTAAGGCCTCTCCTTCTGAGGAATGACTTCTTCCATTTAACAGTCAGTCTAACCCTGAGGGCTGGAGAGGGCCACAGAGGTCATTAACACAACCTCTACACCTGCTGAACAGTGTGGCAGGAAGAACATAGGGCTGTGGAGTGAGAAGACCTAATAACCCAAGAGCTACCTTGGCCACTGACCAAGTGGGGGCACCTTGGGAAAGTTACATCCTCTGAGACTCTGTTTTCTCATCCACAGGATGAGGAAGTTGCATTAGATGGATTTTCTGTGTCATCTTGCTTGGGCCATGGGGTGCCACACATTTAGTCAAACATTATTCTGGCTGTTTCTGGATAGAAGTAACATTTCAATCTGAGTAAAGCAGGTTGCCCTCCCTAACATGGGTAGGCCCCAGACAATTGGCTGAAAGCCAGAACAGAATCAAAAGGCAGACCCCTCCTAGATATAAGGGGGAATCTCTTTCTGCTTGACTGCCTTGAGCCTGCGACATCAGTTTTTCCCTGCCTTTGGACTCAAAATGAAACACTGGGTTTTCCTAGGTCTTAAGTCTGCCAGCCTTTGAACTGGAACTCACACCACTGGCTCTCCTGCATCTCCAGCATGCTGAGTCATTCTGCAGATCTTGGAACTTGTTGACCTCCATAATCACATAAGCCAATTCCTTATCCTAAGGATTTACGTGTATTGTTTTCCATCCATCCTATTGGTTCTATTTCCCTGGAAAATCCTAATACAATCCCCAAAGATGAACTTTCATTTCTAACCCCTACCAAATGGCCATCTGATCCACTTGTACACCTCTTAGAGACAAGACTGCACTGCTCCCTGTGGCACCTCACCCTGCTCTAAGGGCAGTGGAGGTCAGCCTCTTGGGAAGCACTACCCCAGGTGACTCCAAAGCTGAACCAGCCACATTCCCACCCACAAAGAGTGTTTCTCCAACAGGTGTGATTTGACCTGAGCAGATACAGTAGAAATTTTATCCCTGCTTTCACTGTAATTATGTCAATGTAGGCTGAGATTGCCTTGGTTGTTATTGTTGGGTTTTATCTCGTTTTGGGTTTCCTGGTTATCACATACTGTTCGTTGGCTCATATTGAGTCTGCAGTTAACCCTTAACTCATTTTCACATCCATTTCACTGGGTGTGGCCAAATCACCACCTGACACTTCTGAAAGAGACTTTTAGTACATAGGGAAGGCCTTTATATTTTTTACTATACCAACATCATCTTGTTACCTTAGGGCCAGAATTTTTGCAGTTCTTACCCTGTCATCTAAAGAACCATGTCCACCTCTCCCTCTGTGTCATCCAGAGATTGGATTGCACAGTACATCATTAACCCTCATAGGAAACAGGAGATGGCACACACGCCCTTGCTGCACTCCCCACTAGCACCCTCCCTCCTGGCCAGTGGTCTCCAGCTCTGACTTCACATTACAATCACCTAGAAATCTTAAAAAAAAAAAAAAAAGAAAAGAAAAGAAAAGAAAGAAAAATGCCAGGCTCAACCTCTGATTCTGATTTAGTTGGAGGGGCTGAGGAGGAAAGATGCTTGGGCATTAGTAAGAATGCTTTAGGTGATTCTAATGTACAGCAGGCTGAGAACCAGTGTTCTGTCTAGGCCAGAGATCAGCAAACTTTGTCTGTTAAAGAGCCAGAAAGCAAATATTATAGGCTTTGCGGGCCAAATGGTCTCTAAAGCAACTGCTCAGCTCTGCTACTGTAGCACGAAAGCAGCCTTAAACAATACATAATAAACAAATGGGCACAACTGTGTTCCAATACAACTTTATTTATAAAAACAAGCAACAGGCCATTTTGCCCCAGAAGCTATTTCATTAGTTGATCAATCTGTTCATCACCCAGTTTTAAAATAGTTGTGGGCCCAGCACAGTGGCTCACACCTGTAATCCCAGAGCTTTCAGAGTCGGAGAAGGAAGGACTGCTTGAGGCCAGGAGATCAAGGTTACAATGAGCTATGATCATGCACTCCAGCCTGGGCAACAGAGTAAGACCCTGTCACTTAGAACAAAAAAAAAAATCGCTGTCTCTCTCTCACACACACACACACACACACACACACACACACACACACACACTGGTTATGGCAGCAAATATAAACTCATCAAACTGTATTATCACGCTAGTCACATCTCTCCATCTTGTCTGTGACACCAGAGACTCTCAAAGTGGCTGGCTGAAATCAATATTCACTCTCTATCCGGCATTCCCTTCATGTATCAGACGAATGATCCCATCTAAACAAGAAAAAGACTTGTTCTTAGAGGATCCTTTCTGTCTCCCATTACTCACTGCTGCCTTATTATATGTTCACAAACGTCTGCTTAATATTGCTTCTAGAATTCCTCAGAAACTGACTTAAGCTCACCCATCTGTAGTTTCCAAACCATGCTTTCCCCCTTGAAAGCTGGGACATGTTTGTCAAAATCATTTACAATCTTCTGGCATCCTATTCTCCTTGATTCACAAAATATTATCTAAAGTGGTTCCACAATCACATCTGCAAGTTCCTTCCGTGCCCAGGAGGCGTAAAGGCATTTTTTTAGTCATTCTCATTATCTCTTCTATCTTGGGTTTTAATGTCTCCTAACCATGTTTATTCTACCCTTTCCAACTTAAAGATCATTTTTCCTGATAAAGATGATAAAATCAAAATAGAAGTTGAGCAGTTCTGTTTTGTCCATGTCATTTGTTTACTCTATACCATCTGTTCTAAATAAGGCTATGTCCTTTTTTGTGGGGAGTGCTCCAAATAGTATTGTTTTAAAACTCTTATATACAGGCAACCACACTTTCTGGTTCACCTCAGGCACTCTGGTATATACTGTCTGCCCTGGGGTAAATACGAATAGAGGCCTCTTTACTCTGAAAAGTGTCTGGTTTTTTGAACAGCTGGTTCAATAAGTAAAGCTGAAGAAATGGTAAAGCACTCCACAGGGTTCATGGGCTCTCAGGTCTTCCACACATTCAAGAAAAAGAGAAAACTATTTCTGTTGAAAACTTTGGCCACACTGGGCCAGGCATGGTCACACCTGTAATCCCAGAACTTTGGGAAGCCAAGACGGGTGGATCACCTGAGATCAGGAGTTCGAGACCAGCGTGGCCAACACGGTGAAACTCTGTCTCAACCAAAAATACAAAAATTAGCCAGGCATGGTGGCGGGCGCCTGTAATCCCAGCTACTCAGGAGGCTGAGGCAGGAGAATCACTGGAACTCGGGAGGCAGAGGTTGCAGTGAGCTGAGATCACGCCACTGCACACCAGCCTGGGCAACAGAGCAAGACTCTGTCTCAAAAAAAAAAAAAAAAAAAAAAAACTCTAGCCACACTGGATTCATATCCTAGGCCTGCCACTTACTAGTTCTATGACCACAGGATAAGTTACCCAATCTCTTTAACTCTCAGCTCAACTCACTGGAATCTCTGTGCCTATTTAATACTAAATGCATGATTAAAGCACATAGCATTTACACATATCACATGATAAATGCTCAAGACCAATTATCATTGCCAATATTACTATCAGTGTTATTAACTCCCTCAACCCCTCCACAGCAACATGGTATCTGTGACTCTCTATTGGTGCAGTTTGTCCTTCCTTTTCAGAATGTCACATCTTGTTTTCTCACCAATCTCTTGCTACTGGTTTAAACTCAATGCTACCTCCCCACAATCTCGTAAAGTCTTTCTCATCTTGACAAAGAAATCTTTGTCTTCACTAGAAATCTGGAATACTCCAAGGAAGTTTCTTCTCTGGCAAAGAAGCAACCAGCATTTATAACAAACATAATTTGTGAGCTGCTCTGGAAAGAAATGCAAACGTGTATTCCATGAATCCCTCAGCAACTGTCTTTCCTGGAATCAAGATAAACTATTATTCTTCATGGTTCCCTTGGGAACACACTCTGAAAACTTAGGAGACTGCAACTCTCAAATAGCTTGAGTAAATCACCCTAGCTAGAAAATAAAATGACATTAACTTTCTGAGAAAAGGACTGACCCAAGGCATATTCAAATAGGGGAATCATAAAAGGGACCACACAGGAGAAAAATGAGTGATAGCTACAGTTTTAGTATCAACTACAAAAACAGTAACCATTTACTGAGTAACTAAGATATGCCAAGAAATGGCATACCAGGCATTTTATAAACATGATTTCATGGATTCTTCTCAACAATTTTGCTGGAAATTGAGGCTCAGAGGAAGCACTTGCCCAAGGGACATAACTAGTAAATGGCAGGTACAGCACTTACCACGGGTCTTCTGCACTCTAAGTTCAAGCTCTTTCAGACATACCATGCTACGTGTATTTTTTTACTGAAGGTGCTCCAAACTAGTTTTTGAGACAGTTAAAAATAAAAGGACATCATGAAAAAAGCAAAAATAATATTTACATACATTTTAGAAAAAAAAATATATAAACATTGTTGGTTAAGTGGATAGCAGACCTTTAATTAGCAATTTTGAATGATGAAACAGCCACATAGGTGCAATGCTTCTGGCCAGGGCAGCTCATTAGGGACTCAGTATCCGAAGTCTTTCTTTTTTTTTGGATGGCTAGCCATGTATACACACTGTATAGCCTCTACCAAAATTACATACCACTTAGCACGAATGCAAGAGATCCCTTCCTCGTACTATAAACAAAAATTAACTCAAAATAGATCATGAACCTAAATGTAAGAGACAAAACTATAAAACTCTTAGAAAATATAGGCCTTGATTAGCAAAACCTTCTTAGATATGACACGAAAAGTACAAGTATAAAAAAGTTTTCATCAAAATTAAAACCATTATCAAGAAATTGAAAAGATACACACAGAATGGGAGAAAATATCTGTAAATCATGTATCTGATAAGGGACTTGTACCTGAAATATACACTGAATTCTTACAACTCAATAATAAAAAGAAAACCTATTTTAAAATGAGCAAACATTCTTGGCCAGGTGCAATGGCTCATGCATGTAATCCCAGCACTTTGGGAGGCCAAGGGAGGTGGATCACTTGAGGTCAGGAGTTCAAGACCAGCCTGGCCAACATGGTGAAACCCCATCTCTATTAAAAATACAAAAATTAGCCAGGCTTGGTGGTGGGTGCCTGTAATCTCAGCTACTTGGGAGGCTGAGGCAGGAGAATAGCTTGAACCTGGGAGGCAGAGCCTACAGTGAACCAAGATCGTGCCACTGCACTCCAGCCTGGGCAACAGAAGTGAGACTCTGTCTCCAAAAAAAAAAAAAAAAAAAAAAAAAGCAATGGATCTCAATAGACATTTCTCTAAAGAAGATAAATGAATGGCAAATAAGCACAGGAAAAGGTGTTCAACATCTTTAGTCTTTAAGGAAATGCAAATCAAAACCACAATGAGACACCACCACACATGTAGCATTGGGATGCCTATATCAAAAAGACACATAATTAAAAAGTCTTAGTGAGGCTGTGGAGAAACTGGAACCTTCATACACCACTAGTGGGAGTTTACTGGTAGGGTCGTAAAGATATTCTAAAATTATGGTGATGGCTGCACAACTCTGTAAATATACTAAAGCCATTGAATTGTACACTTTATATAGATGAGGTGTATGGTATGTGAATTATATCTGAATATAGCCAGCGTGGTTGTTGTTTTAAAGAAAATGGTATGTCCTCATTTCTTCCAAATCCAAGGCAAGTTAGCAAAGGCATAATGAGAAAAAGAGGTCTAATTTTCATTCAGAGGCCACATCAGTGCTCCATCTGGACAAAGAGTCAGCCAAGAAGCCAACTGCCAGGAGTGGAAGATGACCACTTCCAGGATCTGGCAGAGAGACTTTGCAAGTGCCTTTGAAAGAGGACAATGAAAATGTATCTGGCATGAAACACAGCAGGATCCAAAGAACAGGCTTTGATATTGCCAGTCATGATGCGTGTCTTTAAGATCACAGATAACGTTCTGTGTAACAACAAACACAAAATGCCTATGACTAAGTGTATCCTTCTGATCCACTCGTGTGCAGTTAGAGAACACCCAAGGGGTCCCACACACACACGTGAAGGGGACACTCCCAACCCATGAGGGAAACACACCCTCCATCCTCCTTTGGTTCAACCCCAGCCTCCGAGAACAGGTAATTTCATAGGAGCTTGCTCAGCTCTGTGTTATCCACAAACTTGTCACCTTTATAGTCACTTGAAGAAGTTGGAAAAATACAGTGAAAGTCCTGGTGCTACAACAGAGATGTAGCCTATGCCAGATAAGCTTTACATGTGTTACCTCATTAGTCACTCAACACAGGGTGATCATCTTACAGGAAGAGATACTGAGGCACAGGAATGTCAACTTGCCTAAGGTCACAAAGCTAGAAGGAACAAAATAGGGCTTCAAACCCAGTCATTTTGGCTCCAAAGGCTATGCCTTAACCACTGTGCTAAGCGCCGCCTGCTTAACCGGGCTACCTTTTCCACCACAATTTCTCATCCCTTCTGAAAGATGGTCACAGGTGTTGCTGAAATACAGGTAACACTATAGATATATATCAGCTCTCTGAGCTATTAGATAAATGATTTAAATATTTATTTTTATTTAAAAATATTTAAAAATTCTACTTAAATAGAATTTTAAATAGTTTTACATTTAGGGGTACAAAAACTTTACAAAGATAGTGCAGAGAACCCTTGTATACCCCTCACCCCCTGGATACCCCTCACTTGGTTTATTCTGTTGTTACCATTGACATTACTACGTACATCTGTCACAATGAGGGAGGCAACACTGGTATGATACTATTGACTACACGCTACACTTTCTTTGGATTTCACAACTTTTTTCCCCTTAATGTCCTTTTCTGTCCCAAGATCCCATCCCACTACGTTTAGAGCTCATGGCTCCTTTGCCTGGCCTGGTCAGTGACACTTTGCTCAGACTTCCCTTGTTTTCGATGACGTTGATGGTCTTGAGGAACACTGCCAGGCATTTGGTAAAATATCCCTCAATGTAGGTTTGACTGATGCTTTTCTCACTCATCACTAGACCCAGATTATGGGTTTTTCAGGTCACAGAGATGAAACATCCTTCTCACCACATCCTGTCAAGGTGTGACATAGTCGATGTGAACTGATCACTGGGATGAGAAACTGTTTGCCAGGTTTCTCCACCTCTAAGTTACTTTCTTTCCTTGCCCTAGTGTGATGTTTGAAGCTAAGTCCCAAAGTGCAGCCCATGCTGTAGGAATGAGGAGTTAAGCTCCATCTCCTTAATGGGGAGTAACTATATAAATATAACCTTATTTTTAATGATGGTTAATCCGTATGGCATTAAAAAAAATAAAACAACATGCCAAGTGACAGTGTACGGCCCTTCCCTATTGTTGCTGACTCTGCAGTGGCTGTAATGGCTTCCTGATCATCTTTATGTCTCAGAATCACAGGAGGTAAGAAGCACTATCTCCAAGGTGACAAAAAAGTAAAACAACTGGCCAGCATGGAAAGAGGGAAGTCCATTCCATTCTAGATGATGTTTAACAAACAACAGGAGTCAGAGAAAGGAGAAAAAACTATCCCATGATGGAGGCAACACATGCTGCATGTTTGTATGGGCAGGTATTAAACTGGAAGTTTCAAGTAAGTTTCCAAGCAATGACAGATATAAATTTCCAAAGTGAGGTGCCAGGCTCTCCAAAGGAGCTTTTCAAAGTTAATGTGTCATAACTAGATTCATGATTTTTTATACCCCGACCTACTCTGAGTGAGAAACAGAAGTCAACAGAGAATTTTGTTTTTCTTTGAGGGGGAAAAAAAGAGCTGTGCTGTGATCCCCTCCACCATCACCAAAGAGATGGGTAGCACAGTGGAGGGGGGGGGGGTGCCGACTCTCAAGTCCACTGACAGAGGCTTCAAAGCAGAAATGCACAGCACTTGATATAATTTCCGTAGAATTTTGGAGGCCTGCTGGACTGGCAGCTGGTACACAGCTAAAAGATAGAGGCTAGCTAAAATTGCACTGGGAAGGACCTGAACTGCATTCTCCCTCTGAAGTGGAGGAAAGGCACCTTAATTTGGGAAGCCAGATGTAGAATTTATGATGGGGATGTCGACCAAGGTCATCCTGCCCAAGAGATTTCTTCCAGGGGGTCAGATGGACCCAGCAGGGTCTGGATGAGGCAGATCTCATAAAATCAGAAGCTGCGAGCAATGTGGGAGCAAGGGAAGGCAAGGCTGCCAGAGTAAGGTGGCTGCAGTTGGAGGGGCCCAGCAGAGGAGCACACGGAGTGCCCATGTGGAAGGCCCTTTAAAACCAGCTCAGGCTTCCAGAAGTATGGCAGACTAATACTCTTGTTGTTTTACTGTCTACCAGTAATGAATGAATGAAAACCAATTATTATTGTTTTGTTGGGTTCAGAGGAAATGAAAAAAAAATGTCTACAGGGGCAAAAAGGAAAAGGAACAAACAGTAACAACCAAAAATCCCTGGGCAGTGAGCCTCAGAAAAGGGGAACGGTCCTGTGAGGACATGTGGTGATCTCACGTGATCTCTGGGAGGCTGGGCCTCAGCTCTGTGGCTGGGTGGGGGAACTAAACTAAAATTCCGGGGTTACATGGCAGCATCTGGAAGGCAATGGAATTGTCTCAGGACCGCAGTACCCCCGCAGGACAGCAGCACCCTATGACTACTGGCAAAAGCAAAAGCAAATACTCTGAGAAAAGCATCCTTGACTTAGGCCCCAAGACTTTTTCTACAATTAGGATCAACCAAATATGAGCTAGCAATTAAGGTTTACTAAACAGACAGGGAAACGAAACATCAGGAGTGAGAGAAAGAACAGATGCAAAGTGCCAAGGACTTCAGATGCTTCAGTTACCAAATACTGACTATAAAATAACTACATATGAAAGGCTAAAGAAGTAAAAGACATAATCACAAAAATAAATAAGTAACAAGTGACTATCAAAAATGACCAGGCAGGGCTGGGTGCAGTGGCTCACGACCGTAATCCCACCACTTTGGGAGGCCAAGGCGGGTGGATCACCTGAGTCCAGGAGTTCAGGACCAGCCTGGCCAACATGGTGAAACCCCGTCTCTACTAAAAATACAAAAATTAGCCAGGCGTGGTGGCACTTGCCTGTAATCCCAGGTACTCGGGAGGCTGAGGCAGGAGAATCACTTGAACCTGGGAGGCGGAGGTTTCAGTAAGCCAAGATCGCGCCACTGCATTCCAGCCTGGGCAACAATGAGCGAAACTCCATCTCAAAAAAAAAAAAAAAAAAAAATGACCAGGCAGTTTCAGCTTTGCAAACTGAAAAGAGCTGTGGAGATTGGCTGCATAACAACGTGAATGTACTTAATATTAACTGAACTGCGTACACTTAAAAATAGCGAAGATGGTGAATTTTATGCTATGTGTATTTTACCACAATTTTTTAAATGACAAGGAAGATTTTAAAAGAACTAAAACTTTTTAAAATAAAAACTATGATTATTGAAATAAAAAAATTTGCTAGCAAGATTATACAGCATTTAGTCAAAGCTAAAAATAGAATTAGTGAATTGGAAGGAAGAAATGAAAAAATTACCTAAAAGGCAATACAGTAAGACAAGGAAATGAAAAATATAAAGAAATGTTAACCTAAATGGAGAATACAATGAGAAGGTCCAAAATATGTCTCATCGGAGACCTAGAAGAAAAGAATAGAAAGGAAGGAGGAAAGGGAATATTTAAGGAGATGATAACTGAGATGTTTCCAGGAGTGTTAAAAGACATAAATCCACAGATATACTAATCAGGGTAAATGAAAAGAAATTCAGGCTGGGCGCGGTGGCTCACACCTTAAACCCCAGAACTTTGGGAGGCTGAGGCGGGTGGATCACCTGAGGTCAGGAGTTCAAGACCATCCTGACCAACATGGAGAAACCCCATATCTACTAAAAATACAAACTTAGCCGGGCATGGTGGCATGCACCTGTAATCCCAGCTACTCGGGAGGCTGAGGCAGAAGAATCACTTGAACCCGGGAGGCGGAGGTTGCAGTGAGCCGAGATCGTGCCACTGCACTCCAGCCTGGGCAACAAGAACAAAACTCCGTCTCAAAAAAAAAAGAAAAGAAAAGAAAAGAAAAGAAAAGAAAAGAAATTCAATCTAGGTGATTGTCATAAAACTGATAAACAACAATGATAAAGAAAAGAGATGTTAAATTGCAACAAGGCCCAGAAAACACAAAGCCAGCATATGACCAGACCCAGTGAGAAATCCCTTCTATTTCTTACTATCACCTACCCCTCCTCTACTCCTTTTCTCCCCAGCATTCACTCAATGAGAAAGAGTAGCTGGAGCGGGTGGGGAGAGTATCAATATGACACTAAACCTACCTCCTCCCACATAATCTGGATGGATGCCTACAGCCATGTCTTCAATGGGCAAGGAAAGTCTTACTTTCGCATAAGTGAAATTTCTGAAGTTCTCATTAACATATTAATATTCTTGACTGAATATCTGAATTGCTACTAAATTAAGATGGTGTGTTTTCAACTTAACACAACTGTCCAATGTAGGAAGAAAGAGAGACATGTGAGTTAGCCTTCCTCAACAAAAAGCTTGTGATAAATTCCTGTTACCTATGCATTGCAAGTTGCAGAAGAAACCAAGTCTATCTCTCACCATTTGCTTTCCCAGGGTCAAAAACCACAATCATCTTGATAAACAAGGCCTATGCAAATACAAAAATACATCGTCATGCAGCGATAATTTCAATGCCTGCACTCACCTCCATCCCATTTCTAATATGCAACGTATTAACTGCCAACTCATTGTGAAAAGCATCTACGCTGTTCTCTTTTTTATAAATTCTATAGATTCATTATGATTAGATACTCTCCATATACATCAGCTAGCCAGAAAAGGGGAGGAGATAATGAATAATACCCAAGGGAAGGAAAATCCCTTTTTCAGCTGGTTTAAGTCATGCCGATAATGTGCACACAGCACTATGCATTTACCATAAAGCTTTTCAATTAGTTCATAGACAAGTTAACCTTCTAACTCCCAGAAAATATAATTCACGCACATTTTATACCACACAGCATCCTGCTAGCTATTATCCATCATTTACAAGTGTTATTTGTCTATAAAAATGACACTAAAGTTTTGAAAAACGAGGCTGCTCTGCCTTCTTCTGGCTGTGTTTTAACAAATGGTATCAATGCAAAAGGCTTATAAAAAGTCATATAAAAAGCAATTAGTCAAAAGAGCAATAAATTTTTTTAAAAGGATATAAATGACTGCCTGTCTAGATAGCCAAATGTCTGAAGGCTGATACACAATGAAATAAGGGTTAACATAAAAGAGTACACTTCATTATTTATTGTTAATAAAGTTAATCAAATTCAGTTCTTCTTACGCATGCATTTAAACAGAAACACAAGTACGATATGCATATTTATAGAAAACAGCCCTAAAGATCATTATCTCTAAAAGAAAATCCAGCAAAAAGAGATGCATAAAATGTAGCTGTTACCCTTTTACAACATAAACTGTTTTGCTTAAAACACAAACATTTATTTTAAGTAAAACTATTAAACTAAATAATATTTTCCACAACTGACAACCATGACTAAAACATGAATTCTAGGATTAACATTAAAATAATTTTGGGACAGAGGGAAACAGAACCCTTCCATTTTTCTTTTGCTGGTATCTTATCCACCTACACTAGTTTTGTTCTTCCACTCAAAAATCTATTCTCAAAAGATATATTAGAATCTTTTTAAAACAAAATTAGATAAGCATAAGCTCATCAATCAGCAATTTCTAAATGCATTATCTTCAAGTAGTTTGGTCTTTTATGTCACTTATCTGCTTAAAATTAAGTATAAAAGAGTTTCCAAGAAAAGAAGATATAAAATTAACTTCATTTCATAATAAGTTCTCCAATCATGCCAGCAGACAGCTGACATTATTACAGCTCACACTTATAAATCAGTGATTATATACACTAGTTAAGCAAGAAAAGAAATGAAGAAGGCAATTATATAGTGGTGAAATTCCCAAGAAGCACATTTGTAGTCAATGTTGCTAAACAGTAGTTCACTCGTGGTTAAAATAAAAGCCCCCTCCCCCTGCCAGATATTTTTGGGGTTGTGAGTTTTGAGGGGAAGAAAGTAGAAACTCTATGCAATTTGTTTTACAAATAAATTAAAAAGCCAGCAAGAAATCAATGAACTGTAATTTTAACTCATTTTACTGTTTACTTTGGAGCTGAATTCTAAAACTTCCATATGACATTAAGCTATAAAATAGTACTGAATCAAACGGAGAGTAGAATACTTTGGAGGAAGGGGTGGTATCTGAATATCTATAGACATTTGGTAATGAACGAGCCAGTGACGAATGAAGACACAGGGAACTGAGCTGAGCTTGGTTTCCACACCCTCTTCTGTTCCCTGCCACTTGAATAAGAGCCAAAATGCCACTTCTAATCTTATTTTCCATTTCTTAAATGTGTTTTATTAACTCCTCTTTTATTGCAAAGCTAAATATTCTAATTGGCACATTATAGACATACAGCTACTAGATGTCAATTACACTTTAATGTGTTTGTAATGCTCTGCAGCAGTGAGGTTCTGGCAGACCCAGTGAGGTCCCATTTATTTCTTCACTTGTAATAATGGCATGATAATACAACCTGAGTAGTGCATCAGAACACAGTAGTTAGCATCACTGCAAGAGAAACACTCTCTTCCATCTTAGTTATATTGCTTTGAAGAAATCAGATATCCTTTCTACTCATTCAAAAGGAGAACCGAACAATGCTGATTATTCCTGAAGGACCTTTTGATTTTCAAAGCATTTGCTAGTAATCTGTTAATTAATCCACGCAGCCCCTCCGCAAGGAAAACTAGAGGAGAACTGCGCAATACTGTACTAACATTTTAGAGACAACAACAGGAGGGGACAGATATTTGGAGAACCTGACAAAAGTCTGAGAGCTTCTACAAACACAACCTGCAGAAAATGTCACTTGATTCATATCTTCAACTCCAGGGTTATGCCCTGAAGGAAATGCACTCATGATGATGTGAACTGCAATTCGTGGACTTGTATCTTCATCTAAACCATCTTACCCATAATTCATTCCCCCTTACCTAGCACACTTTAAGATCTGTTCATGCTTCCACATAGTTAAAAAAAAAAAAAAAAAGGTGGGGGGAGGGTGTAGTTCAAAAGACAGACAGATAATCCTAAACCCCTTTCGTCCCAGGACTTAGAAAGCTTATTTTTTCCAGTCCAATATACAGCCAAAGGAAGGAGCAGGATAATCTACAAGGGAAAGTGCCTCTTATCTGTTTCCTTCCTGAGAACAAATGGACCAAGCATACAGATGTGAGTGTACACATGTGTGCACACATGTGCCCCTCTCAAAGTGCATCTGAAGTAAATTAAAAGAATCCTTTCTGAGTGATCAGTCTGTTCCCTGAAAGGTCAGAATTTTCTGGTAAATATTTTTTATAACTCCACCCTGTCTAAACAGCAACAACGACAACAAAAATTTTAGCTAAAAGCATGCTTGAAGAAGAGTCTAAATTCCATTGATAAGCCAATAGTGGCATTAATAATAATGGCAATTAATAATGCACACTAGCATGATGTTGTTTTCTGTAGCACATTTTTCTAGATATCTTAAGACTCTCGGTAGCCCATATTTTTATCATCCCTCTCCATGAGGTAGGGCAAGGGTACTTATTATCCCTATTTCACAAGAGAACTATGTCCTAGAAAATTAAAAGACTTGTCTAAGCTCTAAACTGGTAACAAGGCAGAGACATGAATTTGGGTCTCCAAACTCTCTGCTAACTAAATAATGGCCCAGAAGACATACAAAAGTCAACACAAACAGAGTGCCAGCTGTTATTTACACTGCCTACAATAAATGTTTGTTCCAGAAAAAATAGTTCAAACAAGATGAGAAATAGTTTAAACACAAAAGGCTGAAGGGTTCAATATAGGAGAAAAAATATGTTTGCTTTTAATACAGTGGAGGAACTGTTCAGGAACAGTTTGTTCTTCTGTAAAGGCTGGCCTTGTTGTACTGCCGAAGGCCGCAAGATCACAAGCTACGTGGAATTGAGACGCCAGCTCGCTTCGGCACAACCAACTTCTCTCTTAATGCTCTAAGTTCCTGTCTTCTTCATAGCTTTGACCTGAACCATGAATGATCTTTTTGACAAACAAAATTTAAATGTGTGTTATAAACAGGGAGCAAGTGTCCTAATTTTGATACAGGGTGCTAAGAAATACAGAAAACAAAGGAAATTAACTGGGAGATCCAGGGAGGCTAAGAAACAATCTGCCACTGGGAGAAACAGCCATAGCTTCTGATGAGCTAGGAAGATTTTGTGGTTGATATCACAGCTGTTTGTTGAGGCTGTGGTGGGATTTCTTTTTCAAGAGGGTGAAGGGAGATTTGAACTTGGCGCCTGACACAATTATCCTAAAGTAGGAAAGCCTCAGTTGGAAGAGGATGAGTTTCTTTAAATAGCCCAAAGGCTGTGATGCGTAAAAAAGGACTTGACTTATTCTGGATAGCTCCAGAGGGCAAAACTAGCAAGTGGCCAGCAGGAACACACATACTCAGAGTAGAGCAGAGCTTGCTAATAATTAGGACTGCCTCATCCATAGCAAGGAACACTCAGAGGCTCATCTCCTCTGAACTACTTCCAGCTGGGACTCCCGACGCCCACCATCAAGGATGCTGGGAGGGAAATCCCACATTAGTAAAGATGATGGACAAGATAAACGCTAGGACTCTTTCAACTGTTAGGATTTGAGGGTGATTTTCAAGGTCCCCATGACAGTCACTTCCAGACTATGAGGTGGAGAGTCACACAGAACTGAGTCCCAACCTCAGTTCTATCACTTTGGGTATTTTTTTCTCCTTAGATGGTAACCAAACCTTGTATTTTTTAAGTTTTCTTTGAAGTTCAGGGGTACATGTGCAGGTCTGTTATACAGTAAACTTGTATCATGGGGGTGTGTTGAACAGATTATCTTGTCACCCAGGTGTTAAGCCTAGTACTCTCTAGTTATTTTTTTTTTATCCTCTCCCTCCTCCCAACCTCCACCCTCCAACAGGCCACTAAAAGAACAAGATCATGCCCTTTGCAGGAACATGGATGGATTTCTATCATTTTTTTTAACTGTGTGATACTGAGTGGCTCTGCCACCCAAGTGTGACCTCCAAATCAAGGTGTTTATTAGAATCAAATGGGGAAACTACTTAACTCTAAAGATAATCAGATCTATACCCCAGAACTTCAAAATCTTACCCTCCAGAGGGGGGTCCAGGAATGTCCATTTTTTCCCATGAGTTGCTAGCAGTCCAATTTTGGAAACCACCAATAAACATTTTTAGCCTATGAATTCATTTGTAAAATAGGAAACATGATAGTTTTTGCCTAAATGAGTCATGGAGATATTTAAATAACACGTAAAATACCTAGTATGATGCCTCTACCTAGAAAACAGTCATAGTCCCTTTAAAAAACATTTTCTGCAATATATGATCAAGCTTAAGAGCATTCACTGATTAAAAATGAGGACAGAATGGCTTACATAGAGTTAATGTTTAGCCATCTCCTATTTTCTTGCCTGTTTTTTAATCCTGTCTTGTTCTTCAAGCAACACAAAATCAGAAAGAAATTTGATACGATATAACTTGAATCAGTTTAATCAAATGCCTTATCTATGTGAATAATGCCTTAAAATTAATGTATCATCAACACGCATTTAAAAGTTGAATGCAGTAATAGAAAGCCTATGATTTTTTGCTCTTTTATAATAATCAGAAGCTCCAGATATAAACTCCTCACTCAAAAAAGTTTAAAATTCATACATATCTCCCCATTCTCAGGTAAAGATAAAAGATCCCATGTCTCTTCTCCTCTGTATCACGCAGTTACACTCACTCCTTTAAAATCCTGCAAGGTATTGAAGTGGAAGAATCATCCTGTCCTGACATTTATATCTCTACAAATGGCTTCAGTTCTTTAATTGTGAAGTTGCTTCTACACATTAGGGTGAGTGTTAAGATACTCCCAGACAGAAAGGAAGAGGGAAGGTAATTGGAGTAATTTGTATCAAGTGAAAAAAGTGTCTCCTGGATTTCTGTATTCCTAGTTGCAAGTTATTAGACTGTTTCTGTTTGGGTGGTTTTATAAAAAAAAAAACTGTAAAACGTGGTTGCGTAAGCACATCTAAAGGTTAAACTCCAAGCAGCTAATCTGCATGTGAGAACAAGTAACTGTCAAACATTTAACCTTTTGCAGATTAAAACCGTCTGACTAACAGATGTGAAACCATCGTTGCTATAATTGTTAGAAGTAGAAATCTGAGCATTTTTAGAAGATACAACACTTTTTGGAGCAGTCATGTTTATGCTCCAGGTCAACTTTCCTGTTCATGACTGAGATGCAATCATAGCCTTTCATTTATTTTCACACTGTGATTCTCCTGAATTATTATACGATGTTCATAGTTTATTCTACAGACATGCTCTTAGAAAGTTATAAGTTGAATTCTAATCGTCAGTTATATTTGCACACCGTTTCATACATGATAATTTTTTTTCCATTAAAACACTTAGTTTTCTTAACAGTACATGATAATTTTAGGAAGGCATTAGCTTCATTTCCAACTGATCCAAACTGGCCATGGCTCCTGAAGATTCTCTCTTCCCTTCCATTTCTCTACGCTCATTTCTGTCACATAATTACAAGTGTCAGCTCATGGTAGATGCTCAACCAAGATCTGTTGAATGAAGTAATTATCTTTAACACCTAAAAGATCTACTCCCTGAAGACATTTTTTTCACGAAAGCCTTTTTTTGTATTGCAAATTGCCATCTCTAGTGAACTTGCGTGATAATTTTTAATTTTAATAAATGAGATTTTTCTTATAATAGGATATATTGTTTCTGGTTTTCAGTATTAAAATTGCTGATAGGAATGAACATTTTGTAATATATAAAAGGACGTGACAGAATAATACTGTAGCTAAATACTTATCCAGCACAGTGTAGATACTCAAATATTTGTTTAAAATTACTCTACATTTCAGAAGTTGTGGCATTAAAACATTTGACTTGAAACACACTGCAATTTAATGCTACATTTCTTCTTGTCAACCAGGGTCTAACAGTATATGACCTGTTTCTAAGAAGAAATAGAATGTATGCAAAAGCTTTTAATTCTGGAAATGTCATCATATACAATAGAGAAAAAAATTTAAAATAAAAATGTCTAATACTAGAAGAAATCTGAGATATCTTTTACACGAAAGTATAAAAGTGACAGGAGGGGTTCAAGTCTCCGAATTCTGAGCTTTTTATGTGAATAGCATATAAAACATGAATTGTGAAATATACAGTAGACCATCTGTGAGTAAGATGACTCCATGATGCCATACTTGACAAACACGGACTTAGATCTGAAAAACACACAAAGCAAGCATCCACTTTACCCACGAAACACGTCGGGAGAGAGGAAGTGTGGTTCTGTGAGGCCCCTGGTCTGTAGAAAGAAACCACCACGCTCTGGCTCCTGCCTGAAGCTGCACAAATGAGCTGGCTCAGTATTAGTGTCTTCTTTTAAAGGTTAGCACCTTTAAATTGCTGGCATGGCGATTGGTGGGAGCTAGAAGGGGTACCCCTAAAAATTCTTCGAGCAAAACCGTAAATACCAAATTACGACATAAAGGGGCTGCTACTTTCTTTACAAAACCTCGGCTGTGGCTTGTTTCTCCTCCGTGAATCAACTGTCTTTTTCCAACAAAGACACCCACTTCAGGGTTTCAAGGGATATCTATTCAAGGCACGTACTGTACAGCATATGTGGTTATCTACAGGTAGTACAGCCTGTAAACCTAGTTTGCTCAACTAAATAGCATTTATCATGTATTTTTATGCCTTCTGACATCTGCTACTAAATACAAACAATGAAAGCATCTCCAAAAACTAGAGATTTCTACTCTAGGAGATGTGGTGGCTGGTAAAATCACCTGCACTTTAACCATGGAACAAGACATTTCCCCTCCCCATGTCCAGCCCATGCCCAGACTGTCCTCTAAATCAGGGGTCCCCAACCCCCAGACCATAACAGTCCATGGCCTGTTAGGAACTGGGCCGCACAGCAGGAGGTGAGTGGAGGGTGAGTGAGCCTGAGCTCCACCTCCTGTCAGATCACCGGCGGCATTAGATTCTCATAGGAGAGTAAACCCTATTGTGAACTGTGCATGCGAGGAATCTGGGTTGTGCTCTCTTTATGAAAATCTAACTAATGCCTGAGGATATGAGGTGGTACAGTTTCATCCTGAAACCATCCCCACCCTCACCTCCTCGTCCATGGAACAACTGTCTTCCACGAAACCGGTCCCTGGTGCCAAAAAGGTTGGGGATTACTGCTTTAAATGAACCCTTGGCCTTTAAGGGCACATGCTGCACACCTGGAGCTGGACCCATGGAGAGCTGATCCTGAGTTGGGCTGGGGCAGGCTTGCTGGCCGGGCTATACCATGAGCTAGCTGCCTGTCCTACTGGTAAAGCCTGCAACCCCAGAGAAAGTGCCCATTTCAGACCAAGAAGGGAGGTGCTCACAACAAACGGAAACATCTCTGCAGTCACACCAAGAGCTGCACCCTTGTTCCTCATGTGTATTAAGTGCAGGATTAATGCCATGAATGCTAGGAATCCACCATATCACAAACACTGACCTGTTGGGTCAACCAGTTTCCAAAATAACCTCATTGCTGTTTCTTCTCGTTTGTATTTTATCTTTGCCTTTTCACCTTCATTTCCCTCTTTCCTGCCATCCCTTTTACCTTAACTGAGTTCTTTGTTTCCTATTTCTGTCCCCATATTAAATGACTTGGCTAGTTCACTCGTTGATTAAAATACGAAGAAGTTATTGTTGGAATGAGACATTGTTCACTGCAATGTCTTTTTTCGATGGAGAACAAGATAAAGGCCAACGCTGTGAGTGTCAATGTTGAGGACAGGTTCCCTAACTTCAGCCTCAGAGGATCTTCCCATGCTGTAGTCTAACATGCTGTTACAGGTTGAATTGTGTCCCTGCAGACCCCACAATATTCAGATGCTGACATCCTAATCTCCAATGCTTCAGAATGTGACTTTATTTGAAAATGAGGTTGTTGCAGACCTAGTTAAGATGAGGTCACTCTGGAGTAGGGTGGGCACCACAACCCTGTGTGACTGGTGTCCTCATGAAAAGGGGACACGTGGACACAGGCATGCACACAGGCAGAATGCCCAGAAAACATGAAGGTGTCGGGTGATACATCCACAAGCCAAAGAACGCCAAAGATCACCAGCATCCACCAGAAGCTGGAGAGGCATGAAGGGATTCTCCCTCACCACCCTCAGAGGGAACCAGCCTTGCCAACACCTTCCTCTCAGCCTTCCAGCCCCCAGGACTGCCAGGTGACACACACCTGCTGTTGAGGCTGTCCAGGCTGTGGGACTTTATAGGGCAGCTTCATCAAATTAATACATATGCCATGCATTTTCTCTGTCTACCCTGAAATTCAACAAAATGTGTTATTTGGTCAAATAAAATGAAACACAGAGCACCAAATAACTAAGACACTAACCTCTTTCTCAAATAAAGGCAAGTTCATATATCATAGTCAGAAGTTAAAAATTAAAAGAACAATTGTCGTTGTCTATAATCTAAAGGTTGCTGTCAAGGGCTTTTCAGATGACCTCTTCATAGGAATCCTGTTTATTCTTTGCCTGTGAAAATTTTGTGTTGCACCTAAGTTTAAAATTGTAAATAAGGAACCTAATGTGCAAAATGCAACACTTTACTTCATCCATGACTTTACGGACCTGAATAAGAGACTAATGAAATGAGAAATTGTTAAATTACAAAAAACAAGAACACGTGATCTGTATAATAGGGTACTATAAACACAGTCATATCAGAGGAACTAATCTCTCACAAGTCAGAAGGAGACTGAGTAGAAAACTGCGAACGACCACCACCCCTGGTCCCTTGTTGTAACTCAGCCACGGACCCAATGCTGAATCGCTGCAAGCCTTGGTTTCCTTGTGTGCATCCGTCAGGTGTCTCAGGCAAGGCTGCCCGCTCCACTGTCTCCCGATCTAACGGAGCTCAATGACTTTGCTGCGTTTTACTCTGCTGACCCCTCACTCCTTGGAATTTCCCACTTCCTGAGCTCCTGGACTTTTCTGCCTCCTGGCCCTCCTCCTGCTCTGTTCCTCCTCCACCTGTCCAAAGTATTCCTCAGTACCCTCTTGTTCTTGCCACTCTCTGTGTTCTCCCAAAGGGAGCTGGTCCGCTATTTCCCTGCCTGCATGTCCAACCCTGACCTCTCGCCTACCAAGAGCAGTCTCTAGGACAGCAGCTATGTTAATAATCATGATAATATGCTTGCACTTACGTATATTTATACTGTGCTGAACACTACGATTTTACAGTGGATCCATACAGTATGAAGCAATAAGGTGACTTAAAAAATGGTTTGTTAATAGATTAGTTTCTTTAAAAAGGTCAACATATCCCAGCACTGTTTACAGAATTCTTTGGTTTAACAAGGGCTTTTATCTCATTTTACTTGGTGAAAAGTTAAAGCCCAGTTTGTCTCTGAATTCTAAATTAGACGGTACACAATAGGCAAAGTGCTTTCAATTGCATCCAAGGTGAGGATGTGCAGGTCCTTCCTAAGACTCAACACCCAGTTAGAGATAATGGACAAAGCCCCAGCCGAGGGCTTATTGACCTTATTTATGCCAATAACACAAACTCTGACTCTGGAGAATTAAGGGATGTTGGAAACAGTCACTGCCACTTGGAGGTCAATTAAAGTCCACCTTTGAGCACTGGTGGAGAGGAGGCAGGAAGCCTGCAGAGATAAAAGTATCCTAATTTAAATGTTAAAAGGACCATTACAGGATCTTAATTCCTTCTAGCAAACAGAGCATGTACTTAGATGACAATGAGTATAAATACAACCACTCTAGAAAGAAAAGACAGGAGCTCTCTGCTCCAAAGAGTATTACAGCTTTCACAAGAAGGACCTGAGCTAACTTCTCATGTTTGTAGGTGGGCGATGGGATAAGTTTGCAGAAGACCCATTTACGGGGACCATGGGCAAACAGAAGCAGACCATGAACTAAGTTAAAATTCAAGGCCCCCAGGTAAACCAGGGCAAACATCCCTGACTCCCCAATCCACCTCTTCTAAAACTCTCTTAAGAAACACCATGATCAGTGTCTTCATTTAGCAAAGACGTCTTCAAGAACCACAGCTCGTGTTTGGGGCAATCATTTTGCCCCCTCTAGTGAGGGGGCATTTCTTTATATTAAAGCCCTGAGAATTAAAGAAAAACAATATGCAGAAAGTGCAACAAATTATTATCCAGGCTGTGTGCTTCTCTTTCTCAGAACATTCTATTAAGATTCTTCACTAAAGAATGCCCTTCCACAGAGCACCACCAGACAAGAGCTTGGAGAATAAGTACTTATATTTCCTAGAAACTGTCAGACCAGAATAATCCCATTTCTAGAAACGGCAACAACAGTGGCCAAAAAAACTGTTTATTAGGGAAATAATTATGGAAATTTCACTATAATTAGGGAAAATCTCAAATTCTGTATTTTATGTTTCCAGCTTTTACTTTTTCTGATAGGTTCTGGCCAAATTCCCAGAATGCATTTATCTGATGATGTCTCAAGTGATGGCAAACACAGAATATTATATTTCAGTTGTTTGCACTGCTTGTTTCTCCATAGTTCCCACCCTCGATGAGATGTTTTGTGCCTTTGGAGGCATAGTGCTGTCCAAATGCTTTGGGGCCCGTAGGATGGAGCTTGGTGTGACCTGGCTACTTAAGACACAGCCACACCCAAAGGCAGCTCAGATTCTCCTTTAAGACCCTGGCCAGTGTCTCTCTGCCATTCCAGGTAGTGTTAAATCTGGTTTGTGGACAGGTTAGCATGCAAAGCAAATTAGAATACAAAAATGGGCTGCAGACATGTAAATGTCTCAGGAACCAAGTGAGTTTCCTCTGATGACATGAATGTCTACGTCAAATCAGGGTATGGATGCAGAGCAGCTGGTGTTCATGGTGAAAAAGATGTGACTCAAGTGCCACTGACTGCTTCTCCCGAACTCTGCCTTATCCTCAATTATGTCTAACTACAAACCGAGATATCTTCTTATCTAATGCAGTGACAATTAAAATGTCACCCTTGAGATAGTAAGAGTAGGGCTTCTGCTGCAGAGAACTCTAAAGACAGTCAGTATCACATTCAGACTGTGTGCAGGAATTTCTTCCCCACAGAGGATGTGACAACTTCCCAGGGCTTTAAAAAAGCCTCGATACCTGAAAGTAAATACACGTCACCCCAACATGGAAGGCAATGTGGTCACTGCAGGTGAACTCTCAAAATGTAAAACCTAATACCTCACCAAGTTGCCTAAGAGACAGGTCTCAAAACACCTATGGCTCCAGCCCCGGGAACCCATTTCCCTTTTCCTCTGCACCACTGAGTCCAAGTAAACAGCACACTCTGCTTCTGAGGACACTGAGGTTGACTCCATTCGAGCTGATAAAACTGCCTCCCCAACATGTAGTTCTTTTTCCATTTTCTCCCCTTTTTCCTTTTAATAAATTCCCTGCTGTGGTACAAGGGACCGGAACAGTAAAGCTGAAAGTCTCTCATTAATTATAAAAATGATTTAATCTGCTGGAAATATTTATTTCCAGAGAGGGAAGTGTGGTGTCCCAGCTCTGTAATGCTATCAACGTTATGTATGTGCAGTAAGTAGAAGAATGGCTCCCCAAAGATGCCCACCTCCTAATGCCTGCAACCTCTGAATGTGTTCCCTTCTATGACTTAAGAGACTGTGCAGATGTAAGTTAAAGATCAGGCCTGGCCAGGCACAGTGGCTCACACCTGTAATCCTAGCACTTTGGAAGGTCAAGGCAGGTGGATCACTTGAGGCCAGGAGCTGGAGACCAGCCTGGCGAACACAGTGAAACCCTGTCTCTACTAAAAATTCAAAACGTAGCCGGGCATGGTGGCAGGCACCTGTAATCCCAGCTACTCAGGGGGCCATGGCAGGAGAATTGCTAGAACCCAGGAGACAGAGGTTGCAATGAGCCGAGATCATACCATTGCACTCCAGCCTGGGCGACAGTGAGACTGTCTCAAACGAAAATAAAACAATTAAAATTAATCTTAAAAATAATAAGATCAGGCCCAAGGTAGTCGCTAAGGCCCTTCTAAGCAAAAGAAGGAGCAGGAAGGTTAGACAAGTGAGGGCCAGAGTGAGGAGGTTGTTGGCTTTGAAGATGGAGGATGGGGCCGTGAGTCAGAATGTGGAGCTCCTCTAGAAGCTGGAAATAGCAAGGAAACAGATTCTCCCCTAGATCCTCCAGAAGGAGCACAGGCCTGCCAACACCTTGATGTTAGCCCAGTGAAACCCACTGTGGACTTCTGATTTTCAGCACTCTAAGATAATAAATGTGTGCTGTTTTAAGCTGCTAAATTTGTGGTAATTTGTTATAGCAGCAATGGGAAACTACAGTATCTGTTACTTCCTCCTTCCTGATCTAATCCAATCTAGGAGTTTGGGGAAGTGGAGGGAGGAAATCTAGCTAATACCCAAATTCTCTTTCTCTACTATTTCCACTACCAAGTATCTGTTCCATTATCAGAAACTAACCAAGTGATGGTTTATTTATCTGGAAACCACTCAGCATCATAGAGTTTTTAAGGCTGGATAAACTAGAGGCCATTTAAGCCAAGCCTCTAATTTTATCCAAGAGGGAAAGAAAAAAAAGAAAAAAGGACAAAGAAGGGTTCAAGGAATGCCCTTGGACACCAGTTAATGGGTGAATTTTGCTGGCTTTCTAATCCAGTTCTCTAAATTTCTCATCTCTTGCTAGTATTGTCGACAACTCACTCCTTCAGAAGCATTCTTCCTGCCCTAAGCCAGTTCCCTTGGCAAATTTTCCTTTAAAATGAATATTTCAATTAGTAAACTACACATATTTTGCATATTCCAACTAGAAAGCAGCACAGACTGGCCAGCAAATTCATGCCAAGCTAGACTGGCTCAAAGAGCTTCAGTTCATATGACAACATCCGTTCACAGGCTCAGCCCAGGTACCACATTATCAAAGATTGAAATTTTGAAACCTGGTGAATTCAGCTTCTGCTGAAATGCAGAAGATACTGTAAGCGAATATACAGGTTTGTCAAGGTCTATGAATTTCATCCAAAATACTAAGGAGAGTTTTTACTACCCTAAACTCACAGCTTTTACAGGGCTTGTTTTTATTTATTTATTTTTTTGAACCAAAATCATAGATTTAGAGTTGGAAGTGACCTTTGTGATCATTATTTCAATCCTTTCAGAGAATTCTCTCTGCAGGAATATCTATGTAGGACTTGGATTTGACCCAAGCACATACAATGTCTCAGAGGGCTCTCTGCTCCTGGCCAAGAGCATCAGGTCTTGTTTTTAATATAATCAGTGTTGTAAATTATGGCACAGAGAACAGGCTCATTCAGCTGTGGAATGAACTGAGTTAAATGGACTTGTAAACATCCCTAAATGAAAGAATTAAAAAGTCAAATGAGGAATTATATAGCCGTCCCTTGGTATCCTCAAGGGATTGGTTCTAGGACCCCTGGGGATACCAAAATCCTAGGATGCTAAACTCCCTGATATAAAACGGCATAGTATTTCAATATAATCTAAGCACATGCTCCCATATACCTGAAAGCATCGCTATAGATTACTTATAATACTTAATACAATGTAAATGCTATGTAAATAGCTGTTATACTATAGTTTCTTTATTTGTATTATTTTTTATTGGGGCTCCTTTGCTGAATATTTTCTTTTTTTTTTTTTTTTGAGACAGAGTCTCACTCTGTTGCCTAGGCTGGATGGAGTGCAGTGGCGTGATCTCGGTTCACTGCAAGCTCTGCCTCCCAGGTTCACGCCATTCTCCTGCCTCAGCCTCCCGAGTAGCTGAGACTATAGGTGCTCACCACCACGCCCGGCTAATTTTTTGTATTTTTAGTAGAGACGGAGTTTCACCGTATTAGCCAGGATGGTCTTGATCTCCTGACCTCGTGATTCGCCTGCCTCAGCCTCCCAAAGTGCTGGGATTACAGGCATGAGCCACAGTGCCTGGCCTTTTGCTGAATATTTTCAATCCAAGTTTGGTTGAATCCACAGATGTGGAAACCGCAGATATGGAGGGCCAACTGTATCATGTCAAATGTAATTAAGTTTTACTTACACAGTAGTATCCTGAATCTAAAATTAATTAATTAGTTAAAGCCAACTAGAAACTAGCAAACTAGAAAACAGATTTCAAGATTCTCAACTAGGTTACAAACTCCTTGAGGGCAGATGCTGTCTAAACATACTTCTCTCTCTTGCCTGCTGCACCTTATTTAACCACAGGTGCACAATCAGCATGGGCTGAATTCAACTGGTATACACAGTTCCTGCTTAGCTCCCAGAAATGAATCTAGAATACATTTCCTAGGAATCTAGAAATATGAAGCAATATGATGAACTGTACTTTCTTGTGGCCCCCCAACAGAACTCACGCTTCCCCAGCTCATAACCACTTGCAGACATAATTTAAATTTGTCCTAATGGCCCAGATTCCTGTACAAACACCAGATTCCTGTACTAGTGTTTGCTCCTTGGTCTGAAGCTTATTTTTCTCAGGGTACAAGAAAGGTCTGATGCCGCAGATGTTATATCTGCGTTCTGGGTCAATAGACTCACCACACAAAAAGAAGAGTAACTCAGCCTCCTTGACGTCTGATGTTCCTCAAGTGCCTGGCCATGAAGACAGAACTTCCTGATCTTATTTTCCTTGCTCTTAACTCACTATGTATTTCACTGTGACTCTTGTCACTATCACTTCAGCAGAGTTCATCACACAGCAGCACTCCAGTGGCCTAGCTCAGACACTGCAAACCAACCAAGAATAAGAACCAGAATTTACAGTTTTTTAAGAGAACTGTACTATCCTTTAGAATAGCCAGAGCCAGAGTGAACACCTGCTTTGCTGCAAATCAGAATGGCATGGTAGAATGACATCAGGTCGGATGTCAAATTCAGGCTGAAACCTAACTATGCCTTGGTTTCCTTGTATGTTTGATAGAGGCACTGTGTCTGCTGCATTAGGTTATTATGAGGACTAGAGAGAATATAGGTAAAGATGCTATTATTAGTAGTTAGATGTTTATTGTAATTTTGTTTAGCTCTGTCAAAGAATATTACTTTTAATTAAAACGTTAATATAGTTCATCTTGAAGATTTTCTTTTTCCTTACATTTTTATCTGGGGCCTTAGCTGAAACTAAAAACAAACAAACAAACAAACAAACAAAAACTCTATGCAGATTTGTCACCTCTCTTATAAATCATTTTCATTTTCCTGAAACCTGGAGACAAGAGGCAAAATGAAACCTACCATCTCTTCTAAAGGGAGGGAGGGAGGAAAGGACAGTCTATTAGCAAAAAAAATATATACATATATATTAAGGCAAGACTCCAGAAAAAGAAAAAACACAGGCATGAACCAAGCACTAACCAGTGTGCCTCAATGTTTTACTTGAGGGAAATGATCTGTATGTTGCCCCCACCCCCGGCCAGGATGCAGCCAAAGGACCTGGATAGTGAACTCTGCACTTCTCTAAAAAAGATGGCTCTCAAGAAGGTGGAAACCTAGGATGACAGCCAGGAAAAGGTTGGAACCAGAGGTGGGGTCTTTATTGGGCTGGGAGCAGACTAAGTTGTACCCAGTAGCTGGCAATCAGGATCAAGGAAGAGGCTACAAAGTCAGATCACAGTAGAGATCTGGGATACACACAGAGGTCAAGGAAAAGCAAGGTTCAGAAACCAGCAATGCAGCCTGAACCACAGGCAGAAAGCCACAGCAACACTAAGATCTGATGCTTCTAAGTTTTCTGCTGGGGGCTGGAGCCATCCACAAGGTAAGCCAAGCCCACAGTCCACAAGTGGAATCAGGTCACTGTCCTCAGGAAGTAGGGCGACAAGGGTTAGGAATTACTCACTGGGTACAATGTCTGTCACTCAGGTGACGGAAACCCTAAAATCCCTGACTTCACCACTATGCAATATAAGCAAGTTACAAAATTACACTTGTACTCCATACATTTATACAAATATTTTAAAAAAGAAAAAGTCTTGATACAGAGGCCCATTTTCTCTAACCAGGAAGGAGTTTCCAAACTACAAGTCAATTCTTTCTAAAAGCACCTCTCTCTCCTTCACTCAGATCTGGAGACAGAAGAGGATGCCTCTGGGCAGCCAACCCAAGCAGAGCTGGGCAAGCGAGAAAATCGCCACCATGTCAGTGACCACCTGCTCACCCAGGCACTTCCTCCAACAGAAGACCTTCTGTTGAGCCTCCACCCTGCATCCGGCATTCCTGAACGTCCCCTGACCTGCACCCCCTCATCATCTGGCTTAGGAACCATTTGGCCTCTGACCCACCCATGTTCTATATTCACAGACAAAAGAATAGGGAGACTGTGGATTAGGATCACAGGGCCTCTATAATTAACTCTGATTCACCCTTCACACTTTCTGACACACAGAATCATTGGGGGAAAACTCTTCTGATTTATTGAGGGTTGAGTGTAAGGTACTGTCATAGGTTAGCTGTGAAAATTCATTTAATTCTCACACAACCCCATGAGTTAGACAGGATAGTGTCCCCATCCTCACTTTATAGACATGAAAATAAAAAAATCAGATTCCAGTGAGTGGCATGGTCAGAAGTAAACTCACATTTGGCCTCTGGTTGATCAACAGTTCTCAGTAGGCAGCCTCTGTAGAGGAATTATGTCTCTTAGGGATAAAACTGAGATGTAATCTCACAGAAAGCTCTTGTGCGTTTTTTAAATTCCTTTAAAGAAAAATTTGTATTGATAGTTCTTCCCTTGATTTAGGGATTTTTTTAATACCTGGTTTCTTGAAAAGCTTTTTAAGAGGATCTGCCAAATTACATAAGCATTTCTAGTTTTTCTTAATTTTAATTCTCATTATGAGATTTTCTCATCAAAAATAATTCAGATAGTTCTAAAAATGTCCCGTAAGTAAACAATGTCAGGAAAAAGTGAGATATGTTGAAATACGAACAAACGAATGAATGAATGGACAAACTTCAGAACAAACTATCTAACTGCAGCAAGAACTGGGACTGGAAACACCTAACCAATGACAGCCCCATAGTGGTTTCTGGATGCTAAATATAGACAAGGTCCAAATTCCCAAAGTCTAACTCTGGCTTTATCACACATACTTGGCAAAAGAATGTTATCCTGATAAAGCCCTCCTGTCTGGCCATGCTTAAGTAAATGTCCCAACATGGACTGTCTTCCACCTAGCTGCCAGGGGAAAATGGATCACTTCTGTACTCTTGGTGTGTAGCCAGACTATATTAAAAAGTCCTTCATCCTGCCTCAGCAACAAAAAGTGCACTGCCATCAGTTACGTTAAAGCTGTTGTGTGATAAATTTGAATATTGCATAATGGAGGGGAAAAAATCAAGGACTTACACTACAGCTATAAAAGGGATATGTGAAGCTATTTAGTCATGATTTTGTCATGGAGTAGTGACCTAGACAACTCAAATTCCAATTAATACTTGAAAAGCCCTTGGGACATAGTGTGATATGCATTCCTATAAAATGGCTCTTGGCTGGGCTTGGTGGCTCATGCCTGTAATCCTAGAACTTTGGGAGGCCAAGGCAGGCAGATCACCTGTGGTTGAGAGTTCAAGACCAGCCTGACCAACATGGAAAAACCCCATCTCTACTAAAAATACAAAATTAGCTGGGCATGGTGATGCATCCCTGTAATCCCAGCTACTCAGGAGGCTAAGGCAGGAGAATCACTTGAACCCGGGAGGCGGAGGTTGTGGTGAGCCAAGATTGTGCCAGATAGTGCCACTGTACTCCAGCCTGGGCAACAAGAGCAAAACTCCGTCTCAAAAAAAGGATAAAATAAAATAAAATGAAATAAAATGGCTCTTAAAATAATGCATTTGAATTCCTAAGTATTTATATACAACATTGCCCCCTTAATTTTATTTTAAGCAAAGAACAACGGTATTTTTCATTTAGCAGTTGTGACTTGCTACGAGGAAGTCTAGGTCAATCAGCCGGTTTGCAGTTCAGGCAAATCTAAGCTACCTGACTCCACTGTGCCATGAGGAAATGACAGACAAGAGAACGCCCTACAGGCCCTGAGGTTTTCCTGGAGTACCTTCCAAACCATGGCCTGCATTGTGCTTATGACCTGGACAGGTCACCGCAAGCCCCTGCTGGTCCAGGCAGTCAAGAAGGGACTCCACAGTGTCTTCACAATCACCGCACTTCTGCCTGGCACAACGGCTTTGCCAAGCTACCCTCTTCGTGCCCACCGTTTCCTTTGCTGCTAGAAACACTCACAAAGCAATAGAGTTCTTACAGTTCTCTGAGCTCCACCTCAGCGCCTGCTCATAATGGAAAACGGCTGCTGCCAGAGCCACTTCCACCCTCACGGAAGCGGGGTCACGGCTGCCTTTGGGAGTCTGATGAAAGCTGTAGGCTGTCTTCTCAGGAAAGACAAAAATGAAAGAAAGGAACAGAAATGCAGAGACGATGAGAGGGATTCCCTGACCTCCAGGTTAAGGATCCTCAGCTTTACAAGGCTAAGGGAGGAAGAATGGAGGGGGTGGTGGAAGGAGAGGCAGAGAGGGAGAGAAGGGAGTACGGAGTGAGCCAGCTCCAGGGACCAGCCACTGAACAAAGTGCTGCCCTTGTCTCAGCCTGGAATCAGACGGTATGGGTTCTGGCTCAGGCTCGAGATTCCCAGTGAAAGCCACAAAGTTCTATGACTTCATCAAAAATGTTCCCTTGCCCACAGTGCCATTAGCTATTCCACGTGACCACACCAATCTTTTTGACCAAATATTCTCTCTCACTGATTAAACTATTCTACTACAAATTGTTGATGCCTTTGGGCATATACAGGATGGAAATAGCTTAGAAAAAAAAGTATTCTATTTAACAAAACTTTACAGTAATCGGTACAGTCCCTCATTTAGTCAATAAACACTCGGCGACCACATGCTATGTGTCAGGTCATATGCCAGCTACAATTAATAACAACTTAAAAAGTAATCATAGCTAAACACATTGTGCACTTAACTGTACTAAACACTTTACGCATATTAGCTCATTTAATCCTCACATTAATCCTTTGAGGTACGTATTATTCTTTCTTTTCCACTATTCACAATAGACAAAATAGAGCTATCCACAGCTAGCTGGTGGCAGAGCAGGGGATCAGAACTCAGACTATCTGGTTCACAGTCTGTGTTCTTAATCATTACAGTTCCTGCCTTCAACCAACCCACACAACAAGGAGAAATGTAACAGTACCAAAAAGCACTGCTTGTGTTTGACAGTTCGACAGTGAAATGAACACAACCAGACTTGATCATTACACGTCGTATGCATGTAACAAAATATTATATTATACGTACCCTATAAAAATGTGCACGTATTATGCATCGTTTAAAAATAAGTTAAATCATAGAGTTAAATTTCTTAGAAAAAGAAAATGAACACAACCATAAAATATGCATAGGTATAAAATAGTTTTTTCATAAAAGGGGAATTCTGTTTGATGTCTTATTATACACATTGGAGAAATAAAATTTATTATGAAGGATTTATATAGATTGTCCAATTTCGTGTATCTTTATAATATCAAAAGTTCCATAAAGAGAATTCACTTTGAGAATAAAATTATTTTCAAAAAGAATAGCTTATAGATGTTAAGTGTTTTCATTGGTTGTCCATAGTACACCTCTTTATCCAAATATATTAGCATATTGCATATAAATTACTTTATTACCAAGAAATTCGGAAACTGAGTATACAAAATTATCAGTTTCTGTCTCAACTATTTTGAGATGGCAGTGAACAGACTAACTATGATTTGATGATAAACTAAAGAAAAATATCACGCTTTGTCGAATATAATCAATTTGGAATTGAAGAATTAATTGTGATGCAATTACATACTTTCTTAAAACTAAAAAAAAAAAAGTCAAATTGACTATCAAAATGTCTTTAGCAGAAATATACTCACAGCTCTTTTTCAAAGCAAATGTACAAAATCTCCTACAGCCCCTTGCTGTCCAAGAGAGTCACGTGACGTAAAACATCTTCCTCATCACCTCGGCCACACCAGTTCCCAATTCCATATGCTCACCTAACTGCACCCCTGTCCCCAAAGGCTCCAGTCTCCCTCAATCTTACCTGCCCTTTATGCAACATCATTTCCTCCCTGAGGCTCTTTCTTGGTCTTTCACTGAGCTCCCAAAATCCTAGATTCCAAAACCACTCTCAGCCTGTTACCATTCCCAAATCCAATAAGCAAACTATAGGACTTATGAACTCCAAAATAAATACCTGGGTCCCTACCCCAGGCACTCTGGATCCCCAGCTGATTCTGGGAAGCAGCTAAATTTGATAAGCCCTGGACTACACCATAGAAATAAGCATTTAGTTATAGGCATCACTTTCTCTGCTGTACATTGAGGGAGGTGGGCTGGAAAGATGATCTCTAAGGTTCCTTCCAGACAGATCTAACAGTCCAAGAGTCCAGACTCTATAGCTATTTCATGGATACTGGTTTCTCTCCACACAGACTCCATGCTTCTTCAGAGCAGGGGCCACATTACTTTTTCACTGTCCCCAAGCCAGCATGGTGTGTTATGCATAGAAGGAGCTCAATAAACTTGTGACTCGTGGGTTTCTATGACTGTGCCCGCTGACTGAGGGTAACTAGTAAGCTGAGCCAGGCACTGCTGTGGCAGGGCTACTTGGCAGATCTTGTGCAGACACTGAGTTACATCTTGCTCCAAAGGAACCTCCCACAAAGGCATCAAGATGTCAACACTGGATTTACTGTGGTCAGAAAACTGTAGAAATCAAACTCTTTCAAATTCTAGTATACCAAAATACAACAAGTTCTGACTTTCTGTTTATATGTTAAGGAAACCACAGAAAGCCCTCAGAGATAATGTATCTGGTTTGTAAGAATTATGATGCATACTGCCATAGTGTCATAAGAATTCCCATATCTGGCTGGGCGCCATGGCTCATGCCTGTAATCCCAGCACTTTGGGAGGCCGAGGTGGGCAGATCACAAGGTCAGGAGACTGAGACCATCCTGGCCAACAAGGTGAAACCCAGTCTCTACTAAATATACAAAAATTAGCTGGGTGTGGTGGCACAAGCCTGTAATCCCAGCTACTTGGGAGGCTGAGGCAGGAGAATCACTTGAACCTGGGAGGCAGAGGTTGCAGTGAGCCAAGATCACACCACTAAACTCCAGCCTGGTGACAGAGTGAGACTCCATCTCAAAAAAGAGAGAGAGAAAAGAAAAAAGAATTCCCATATCTAAGAGAACCTAATGGTGAGAAGAACGTATCATGGATCTTTTTGCTGGAATGACAGTGGGGTGATCCAGGTAACAATTCAAGTCCAGGAAGTATATTAAATGGGCTTGAATCTATTACCAAGGTTATTCTACTATTGAAAAAAGATGTTTCTAGCTGGCCTTCTGGAGTTGTCCAATGCCTGGCTACTAAACCTTCTTAACAAGAAAATCACCTTTGTTGAGATAATAGAAAAGCTAAGATTTATACAGAGAAACAACATTCCACACATTTATAAAGGACTTAATAGCTTGAATCATTTCTATCTGTTATGCCATTTAAACCTCTTACAACAGCCCTTAGAGTTAGGCAAGACACACATTATCTGCATTTTACAAATGAGAAAATGAAGCTTTGGAGAAGGTAAAAACCTACCCCACAGTGGAGCTGAAGCTCAACCCTAGGGCCTTACACTTCATCAGTGACCCCCTGAATGAGGGATTCTATAGAGGCAGATGTATGATGTCTGGCCAAGAAAGTACAGGTGTGGGTGTGTGTTGTTTACTGTATTTTGCTTGTTTTGCTTTTCATCTGAATGTATTGAAGCAAGGTAGTAGAGCTTCAAATGGACCACAAGCCCCATCACATCCAACTGTGATACTGTTTCAGACATTTATTTGGTCTACTTGGCCCTGAAGGTATTTGAATTTTTTACCCCTGTGCTAAATAATTATACTTACATACTTATATAAATAATTATATCTTCCCATCATGTAACATCTTATGAGCATATTCACTGCATATTTTATTTCTTCCTTATAATCCTGTTTACTCATTAGAGGACTAAGCTAAAAAAAATTGAATGACTTGCACAAGATCAGGACCTAAAATCTAAATGTGTCATATAAGAAATTACATTATGTGAGAATTTCTTAAGCAGGTGTCAAGTTAAAATTCTTCAGAAAATCATTACATAAAAGTTTCTGAACTTGAGTACTCAAGTACTCAAATCTCTTTTGAGATTTGATTATTCTTACTTACAGGACTATCATTCAGAGAATATGCAGAAACAATGCTTTCGTGTTTCCATGGGCATGTCCTGAGAAAGTCATATTCCTTTATTTTTATCTCAAGTGTTCATGAACTTTCATTATCAAAGAAGAAAATAGGCAACTGTTTCTGAAAAAGGAAGTCATTCAACAAAATACTAGCAAAACAAATCCAGTGATATATAAAAGGATTACATACCATAACCAAGTGACATAGTCCAGGAATGCAAGGTTGGTTCAACATATAAAAATCAGTCAATGTATTAAAGTATATAAAAGTATATTAATAGATTAAAGTATATTAAAGTATATTAAAGTATTAATAGATTAAAACCCATATGACCATCTCAATACATGTAGAAAAGCCTTTGACAAAAATCACACATCCTTTTGTGCTTAAAAACACTCAACAAACTAGGAACAGCAGGAAACTTCCTTAACCTGATAAAGGGCATCTATGAAAAACCAACAGATAATATCACACTCAACAGTGAATGACAAAGCTTTCCTTTCAAGATGAGAAACAAACCAAAGATGTCTACTCACTCCACTACTATTTAACATTCTCCTGGAGGTCCTAGCCAGGCCAATCGGGCAAGAAAAAAAAATTAAAAGCAACCAGATTGGAAAGGAAAAAGCAAAACTATCTCTATTCACAGATGACATAATCATGTGTATATATATAAAATCCTAAAAAATACACACACAACTATTAGAACTCATGAATACACTCAGCGAGGTCACAGGATACAAAATCAATATATAAAAAAGAAAGTAAAAATATCAGTGATCCATGTTACCATCACTAAATAATCACTGGCACCTAAAAAGCTTCCTCTTTTAGTTTTATTACTCTCAACCTGGGATATAGAAATCTAAAATCCAGAGTTTACTTTAGCTTTTAAAACTATCTATGATATCAGGTTAAAAGAAACATTTCCTGGCAGATGCACAGCTCTGGAAAATTTTGTTTTCCAAACGTCTGGAAAACAAAAGGAAAGCTTCCTTTGTTTACATAGCCAAGAAGGTTGAGTGATGAGAATCAGAAAAGATTTTGAAGCAATACAAGATCTTCTCCTAGGGCCATTAGAGATCAGCTAATCTGTTCAAGTTTTAATTCTCTTCTAATGGGTTTCCTCAAAGTACTTTACAGCAGTTGCAATCAGTTCCAAATATTGCATCGTGATACTCACATAAACTGGAAAGTAACGGCTACATTTCCATTTATTTCATTTATATTTTTACTTTGGCCAGTCTCGTAAAGATTTTAAAAACCATTAAGTACTTCACAATATTGGTGGGGACTGTTTCCTTCTTCATTTTCATTAGAATAAACACAGAAGTGGTATCTATCCTAATAATACAGAACATGCTTCTTAGGTAATATAAACCAAACACAAATAGAAAGAAGCATTGTTATACATTTTAAAAAAGTGTTACACTTATTTTTCTGCAGGCCTGAATACAGACCCTGCCTGCTCTAAAAGTCACGAGGTATAAAGTGTGAACCTATGCTCTGGGGGCTCCTGATAAGTTCCAGGAAACTCCTTTCACAGCCTCTATCTCAGGGCCACATCAAATACACGTTCACTCACTGGCCTCAACAGTCGATTATCACTCCCTATTTATTTGTAGGTTCACATATTTTTGCCATTTAAATTTTTTCAAAAATTAAAACCTGGCTCAAGTTACAAGTAAAGCTTGGGTTAAGGAAAGCATTCATGAAACACTTTGTTTTCTGTAAATCAGATAGTTTATTGCCTGGTTCCCTTCCAATATATATGTGGGCTTTACTCTCCATTCAGAATTTGATTCTAATTTTTAAGTGGCAAGCAAAGTCGAATTATTAATTAAAGAATCAAGACATATAAGTATACCTTACTCTCTACATGGTGAAGGCAAACACTTTCAAAGACAATTTCCCTAATATTTTAAACCTATCACATGAAAACTTTAGCCCTTTGGATGGAAACATTTCACTGACTTTCTTCATCAGTCCCCCTTTTTTGCCATAAAAATTCACGAGATAATAAATTCCAGTAAAAAGAAAACCACACAGTAAGGCACAGATCTTTGATAGTATAAAAGAACATTATCTAATTTAATCCCCATAACAAATCAGTGACAGTATTATCTCATTTATATATAAGGAACCTGAAGCTCAGAGATGCTGAGTTACTAAAGATGGCACAGCTAGTAAATGGCATGTCAGAATCTGAACCCATTGCTGGATGGCTCTGAACCCTTTGCCCTTCCCAACATTAATTCGTGCCTTTCTGGAATTTTGCCAGCCAAGTGGATTTTTTTTAACCTAACTTAAAATATTCAAAAATAACTAACGTTATTTAACGTCTTATTCTCTAAGATTTTTTAAAAAAACATTTAAAGTTATTTTTGTCATCTGTTTTAATATGTCCCAATCCCTTAAGCTAAGAATCTATCATTTTTACTTTACCCAACTATCTCGTGATATAAATTAAGCCTGTTTACTCTTTCCAGGTCACTGAAGCAATGCTTCTTTCTAGAATTAGAGTCATACAACTAGAAGAGATGGTCTGACTTTGTACAGACCATTTGTACACCATGTGTAGTTCCATTTCTAAGAAGAAACAGCAAAATGATCTACATGAAAAAAAAAATCACCTTACAATTTCAGATGACTTTCATGAAGTGGTTTTATAAATTGTATTGCTGTACCATCATTATTGTTATTAATGAAGTTACATTTAGGTGTTATGGTAGATTTGACCAGATGTGGCAAACAGTTGTTACCATTGTCTTCATCCATAAAATTTGTCAAATTAGAGGTTTTATGGAGTATACAACTAATTGCAAGAAATTATATAGGCAGTGTATTTTTAACATTTTAAATACTAACAAAAACAGCAGGACTTAATGACAGTGAACTACAGACAATCCATGCACAGTGAAGCCTGTTTAATTAGAATTCCACTAGTCTAAAATCTGTAATAGCTTGAACACAATATACTATTCATTCTGAGTTTGAAAGTTCAAAATAAATCTCAAGATGTTTTTCCATATATACCTCACTGTACCTGCTGGAGACCATTTACATACATACATACATATATATATATATGTTTGTTTTTGAGAAGGAGTCTCGCTGTGACACCCAGGCTGGAGTGCAATGGTGCGATCTAGGCTCACTGCAACCTCTGCTTCCCAGGTTCAAGTGATTCTCCTGCCTCAGGATCCCGATGAGCTGGGATTACAGGCGTCCACCACCACGCCTAGCTAATTTTTGTATTTTTAAATTTTGTATTTTTAGTAGGCAGGGTTTCACCACATTGGCCAGGCTGGTCTGGAACTCCTGACCTCAGGTGATCTACCCACCTCGGCCTCCCAAAGTGCTGGGATTACAGGCGTGAGCCACCACGCCCAGCCTATATCACATATATTTTAAGGTCGCATGGGACCTCAGTACTCATGCCCTCTGATTCTGTCATTAAGAGATACATATTACAGGATAGTGGTGATGTGTAGGGGCTCTGGAGCCAGGCTACCTGCATTAAATTCCCAGCTCTGCCTTACTAACTATGGGACCTTGGGCAAGTTACCTTGTGCCTTTGTTTCCTTCTCTATAAAATGGGGAATAGTAGAATCCACCCTACAGGTAATGAAGATTAAAAGAGATAATACATACCTGTGAAAGGCTCAGGACACTTCTTATGTGTAAGAAACACAACACCCTGAGGCCAGCTGGCCTAGATGTCTTTCCAAGGAAAATCTGCCATCAAACGTTAGGACAACATCGTGGGACTCCTGTCTTTTCTATTTGAAAATAGTTTTTAAAAATCCATTTAAAACAGCCCACAATTAGACAAGCTCACTAATTTTTCCTGGCTATGTACCTTCACCAAATTACTTCTCAATCAAAATTACTTTAAATTACAGATAGTATGACATAGATGTATGCCAAAGGGGCTTATGCGGACTTTTAAGTCATATATTCAAAAATAACTAGGAAGAACCTACTAGTTTCCCTTTACAATCTGATGTTTCATATTACCCTCTTCTTTGTAGTTCCATTCTGTGAAACTTCCATTTCTCATAGGTATTTTGTTAAATATCACCCCTACCCACAAGGTTTATCCCAAAGTATCTACACAGATTCCACCCTCGCGTTCTTCCTCTGATTCTGGGCCTGGCCTGCCCACATCTCCTCTGAGGCCTTCCTCCATCAGTTTGCCCATCTTTCCCCTCAAGAGTGGGAACACGCATAGCCGCCCTCCCACCTCCCATCCATTCTTTCACCCTCACTGCCAACTCCAAAAAGCAGCTGGTCACAGACCCCACTGGCTCATGGCCTCGCCCTGGCTGATCTTTCCTTTTCAACCCTCTTCACCGGCTGCTTTCCCTCCCACTACACCGTGGTGCCTGCAGCCTACTTCTCATTCTCTCCTCCTCCGCCCTAGACAATCTTGTCCAATCTCAAGGCTTTCACCAGCACCTGTATGCTGATAACGCCCACTTATTTCCATCCTGACCTTTTCCCTAAATGTCAGGATCTTTAGTAAACTTCCTAGAGACAATTTTATCTTCATGGTCCAAGGGCATTTACACGCAATACATTTAAATCCAAAGGGTTCCTCTTTCCCCACTCAGCTTGCTCTTCCTCCTACTTTCCCTATCTCATCACACAAGCTAGATAGCCTCAAAGCACCCTCATCCCCTTCTACCCAGAAAATGAGTGAATACTGTCTGTGTCATGCCCCCAACAGCTCTCTACTCCCTCTCCTCCTCTCCATCCTCACCGGCCCAGGCTAGTCAGCCCTCACTCCTCACTGACCTCCTGACCTTCAGACATGGCCTCTCACAACCACCAGACTCATCCATCTATAGTGCCTTCTAGAAATAATAAAAAAATGCAAACGTGACCATTTTGCTCCCCTGCTTAAAGCCCTCATGCAGGCCATCACCTACTGGAAAATGTTTGAGCTCCTTAGAAAGCCATGCAAGGCCCTCTGAGAGCTGCTCCCAGCTCCACTGCCCAACCTCCCATCCTGCCATTCCCAACCTGAATGCCAGGGACCTGAAACTGACCTGCACTGGTCACTGCTATTGTTCACAACTTGCTAATTTTCACCTCTTTGCCTTTCCTTACATTATCGTACCTGCCATATCCCTACCCCGCTCCCAGCCTGGCTAACTCTTATCCTTCCTTTAAGACTGCAATCAGATGTCACTTTCTCTAGGAAATCATCCCTAAAATACCATGCTGAGTAGGGTACCCCCGTACATACTCCACAGGATTTGGGGCAGGTAAAAAGTCTACTTAGACTAATGAAATAATCTGTTCTTATTACCAGGCTAAAATATAAACATATCAAGGGCTAGAAATGTGGTCTCTTCACTTCTGTGTCTGGCTCAATAAAAGGATGCTCATCTCAACCCAGACACCTAGAAATCCAGAGGAAGAAAGTTACAAAGAGCAGCTTCAAGCCCTCTATACTGTAGACGGATTGCGTTACATTATTATATATTTTAGGGCTCTAAAACATTACCTTTTTTTTCTTTCTGAGACAAGGTCTCTCTCTGCCATCCAGACTGGAGTGCAGTGGTGCAATCATGGCTCATTGCAGCCTTGACCTTCCAGGCTCAAGCAATCCTCCCACATCAGCCTCCCAAGTAGCTGGAACCACAGGCATGCACCACGATGGCCAGCTAATATTTCTGTAGAGATGGGGTCTCCCTATGTTGCCCAGGCTGGTCTCAAACTCCTAGGCTCAAGTCATCCTCCTTCCTCGGCCTCCCAAAATGCTGGGATTACAGGTGTGATCAGCCTGTACCACCATGCCTTGTCTAAAATATTACTTTTGTCCTGCTGAGGAATAAAAGTAAGGAAAAGAAATCAATTTATGTAACTAATTATTTACCTAACTATTAGAAACCAACATACCCTACTTCCTCTCAGACTCCAAAGAATTTTCTCAGGTGTTCCATTCATATTCAAAGATTAAACTCTACTTATTGAAAAAAATTAAAGGAAGTCACTTACAAGGATTGGTTCTCAAAAGCAGCTATGCCATGTTCTGGGGAAGGAACTACCTTCAATGAAAGGAACACAAATAAGAGAGTCCTGGTGTTACCCGCTGAGCTGTCCTCTCCTGCACGTAGACATGCTTCTGCAAAAAACTCAGCAGGCTCCAAGTCAAACTCTGTCCTGGGCTCTACAATATGCCGCCGCACGTGATGATCACTGGTGCTCAGGCAGAACGGACTTTATCCACATCACTGTAACCTGAGCCCAGACTTCATCCTAGACAGTCACACAGCTAGGGCCACAGGTGGCACACCATGGTAAAAACGTGAGACCATCTGATTATCCATCAAAACAGAGGGCCTACTGCACATAGACATAGATGTGAGTTGGAGTAGTGTGGTCTTCCCATTTCTGATGTTGCCATCTATTTCCTCGAGATGACAGACAGCTCATATATTTTGCTCAAAGGGTTGCTAGAGCTGTATCCTCCTTTAAGGTGAATCCTCATTTCTACTCCCACAACAGAAGTGGTCCTCAACCTCTTTGGCACCAGGGACCAGTTTTGTAGACGACTTTTTTTCCATGGACCAGGGGTGGAGAGATGGTTTCAGGATGGTTCAAGTGCATTACATTTATTGTAGACTTCATTTCTATTATTACATTGTAATCTATAATAAAATAATTATACAACTCACCATAATGTAGAATCAGTGGGAGCCCTGAGTTTGTTTTCCTGCAACTAGAGAGTCCCATCTGGGGGTGATGGGAGACAGTTACAGATCATCAGGCATTAGATTCTCATAAGGAGAAACCTAGATCCCACACATGCTCGGTTCACTATAGGGTTCATGCTTCTGTGAGAATATAATGCCAGTGCTAATCTGACGGGAGGCGGAGATCAGGCAGTAATGTTAGCAATGGGGAGCAGCTGTAAATACAGATGAAGCTTCTCTTGCTCGCCATCCACTCACCTCCCACTCTGCAGCCCAGGTCCTAACAGGCCCCGGACCAATATTGATCCACAGCCCGGGGGCTGGGGACCCCTGCACTCCTTAACAGAAGAGGGGCCTGGCAGGATGTTTCAGAAAGTGGAAGGAAGTAAACATTTGAATCTTCGGCACACTGAGAAGGCCTGGCAAGGAAAGTCTACCTGCTTCTTCCCAGGATGCTCTGAGCTTCTATTTTAGTAAACTACAGAGTCTATGGCCAGTGAAGATACCTACTTCACAGCCTGAGATAAAGTCCTCGGCCTCCAACTGTAGTTTCTACCTCAGCAGTTCTGAGAAAGGACACTAGAAGCCTCCCTGCCATGGAATATGATTGGTGGGACAAGAAGCAAGTGGGCCATGTGGGCAACCTATCTTCTCAACCAAGGCAGGGTCCCAGGGCAAAAGCCCAGACAATGCATCTAAAGGTCAGAACCTACCTGACCATCATCAGTAGCTTTTTCTATTCTTAAGGAACTCCTGAATGTCGCTTCTTGGGACCCAACAGAGTAAACCTCTGAGTCTGACAGTCTTTTTTTTTTGGTGTGTGGTGGGGGGCGGGTTGTCTGAATCACCTGTTATTTGTACTATTTATTGATAGTAAACTGTATTTTCTTAAATGTAAAAGAAACTGTATTAATTTGATGACACTAGTACTGAAGCAATAATCAAATACTTGCTTATCTTACTACGGGCCTGACCTACCTTCAGGCTTGAGGGCAACTGTTTTCCTCTCTCCTCCCCCACAATCTGAAGGAAGAGTTAGAACAGTGGAAAGTAATGTTGCATATTACAAGAAATGGTTAAACACAATTAGTCAGATCATATAATGGACTATGACGTATTAAGGCAGTATCACGGCTACCAGGAGTACAGATACCAACTATGGCCCCAAATAATGCTAAACACTATTGCAAGAACTTCATCCACGAGTTCACGTGTCTCAAGACTGCAAGATTTAAATTTGCCCTACTATTCGTGAAAATTCACCTTTCTTTTCCAAATCTGGAATACCCCCCATTGTTTAAATCCAGTCTGGGTTTCTCTTGTCAGTAGCAGTCTTCAATGTCTACTTCAGAGAATGAAAATGTGTGTATGTGCACTCATGTGCTTATGTGCACGCACACACCCTCCTTAGAAAGATAAAGTCAATAAACTTCCTGTCAGTATCACAGAACATGCAAAGTCAATTGTGCAACATTTCCTTGCATTATCCATCCTATATGCAAACATTCTAATGAAATAGAACTGGAAATTACACATGGAAACTGCAGCTAAGTTTGGCCACCTAATGGACTCAGGGTACTCCGGTAACGGCGCAGAGAGAAGAAGGTTGGCCGAGCGGGGATGCAAGGTCCCCAACTGAAGTATCTGAAACCTACTATGGGTTCCACGTAGAGTCTTCAGTTGTGATTTCTCGTAGGACACTAGGAAAGTTGCAATTTGCAGCTATGGCCACGGGGTAGTGCAATAATTCTGCAAATAGCTGACCCCACCCCCAACACTCCCATCCCCCCAACCCCAGCCCTCCCAAAGACAGAATGGCTAGGAGAGAATGGGGACATTTGGTCTGAATCCTGGGCATCCACAGGGGTTACTGAGAGATTCTCCACAAATCCAAAAGTGTCTGTAAGACTATACAGTTACTCTCAGCATTCGAGCCCGATACAACAGAAGGTCCCGGGCTTTGAAGGAATGATGAGAACTGAGAGGCTATAAAAAGTGATTAGCCTATTTATTACAAATTGTGTTTACTTAGGTTTTTATGTTTACTTCCCACCATATCTCCACCAGAATACAATTAACCACCCCCTCACTCATCAGAATTGTATTAGAAAGACTCACAAAAATAAAATAAATACTGCATCTAAACGCAACCGTCAAGCTTTATGGAACTGTACTGTTATTACACAAAGGTGTCCCCAAAACAGGGAGAAGGAAATGCAAATTTTGAAAGGTCTTCTTTTCAAAGGAAATTTTTGTCCATTTAGTCCTTACAAGTCAAAGTTTGGTCTGTGGACCAAAACTAATACTTGGGAGCCAGTTAGAAATGTGGACTCCTGGTTCTATTAGATTAGAATGTGTATTTTAACAAGGCCTCTAGATTATTTGGATGCACATGGAAGTTTGAGAAGCATTCCCCGAGTGAGAGCTAAGCATACTGACCTATGCTCTCAAAACTATTTTCTACACCCTGGGTCTTTTCTTCTTCTACAAGCATTCTACGTGAAAACAAATATATTTTGAAATTTTAAAACAAAAACAGATTATTTCCCAGAACTGGTGGTGATCCACTACAGTAAAGCCTCTTCCTATCTAAATTGCCAGGTAACTAATTAACATGTCAATGAACACTGGCTGAAATTCTGTTCTGTCACTTCATAACGCAGGTAAACAGTACAGATATGAGAAGAAAAATTTAAGACCAACAGACTCACATCATGGTCCTCTAGGGGATTTTCGAAACTAATTTCCTGCCCATATAAAAGGAAAAATAAAATTATTTCCAGTATCAAGTTAAGCACATAACTCTCTAAATGGAGTTGCTATGTTAAAGTGGTCTCCAAATTACAGTCATTTTTGTTTACCTCCGCTAACAATGAGCCTCCTGGGAAGAAATTATGTGAAGAAGTTTAAGTACCCTCTATGCCTTTCTCCACAGGTGAGTGGGGAAATTGCAGAGGAAAAATACACAAGTGAATACAATTAATGACTTCTGCACTCTTTGATTCCTGCTACCCTGTGAGGGGAATGATCATAGAATTTTGAAGCTGGAAGGAATCTCGGAGATAGCCTATTGCTGCCGCTCTGCCTACCCAGGAATGTCTTTCTACAAAGTCAGGTAATTGTTACCCTTTGAGACAGCCCACATCACATCACTGTTAAATGCTCTCACACCCACTGATCTTACTCGTGCCCTTGAGCAACCCAGAACAACTCTATTCCCACTTCCCAGCTAAATGCCTTCAAACACTTAAGGCCCCTATCATATCCCGGGTGGTAGTTTCCTTAGATTGAACCCATTTAGTTCCTTGGATTGGGTGGTGTCCTCTTACTCTGATATAAACACTGTGTATTTTGTTTCCAGTGAAACTAAATTATGATTAGCCTGACATAATTTAATGAGACCCACAGTGCCAAATGAAGTCATTCGATGTAATGGTTGGTAATGCAATACATTCTCAGTGAAACATAAAAGATTATGTAATGGTTAATAGATCTACATATGTGAGTAGTACCACCGTAAGTAAGAGCATATTTGTCTGCTGGACTATGATGCACGACTAAGAAAAGCTACCAACCTCTACTCAAAACCGTCCCAGGGTCCTGTTGCCAGGGACAGAACGCTGCACCGCATGGACTGCTGAATCTGACCTTATGCGGCCTTTCTGTATTCTTCCTTGTTTATGAAAAAGAGACATTTTTAAGAAAGCAAAGGGTATAGAAGAGCTACATTTGGCATTCAGAGCAATTGACACTTTTATTACTTAACATCACAACCTTATGAGGTAGGCCAGTCTAAGTGCTGTCATTTTATAAGTGATTAAACCAAGACTGAGAATAGGAAATGAGAAAAATCATGAGCTGCCCAGGGCCAAACAGAAAGCAAGGTTGGGGCCAGCTGAATTCAGAAACCTCAATTAAATTCCAAGACAAAAGGGAACAGCCAACATTGAAAATAAGTTTTATGGATTTCACTTTGAAATAAAACAACAACAAAAAAATTATGTTACCATTAAATGATATTAAAATCGTCTTTTATGGGGCCTCGATTTTGCCACCAAGGCTTTATTCCCAAAAATTAAAATAAAAAAAAAATCAAACAGGCAAATCTATTCCAGGTTAAAAATTCCACTTACACACAAAATCTTGCATTCCATATTGAGAGGTTTTTTTTTCTTAATTTGCCTATTAATCTGTATTAAGCCAAAGGTCTTCGTTCAAGTTGCTCAAGTGTCATTGATTAGACCCATTGTAGTTAACAAGGACATTCTCCCAAAATAGATTCTTAGCATTTTAAAACCCTCCTACATTTTCACAAAAGAGAATCTGGAACACAGGAAGGAATCATTTCCCCACACACAATACTCATCTTCATCGTCATCCAGATACATTTGGTTAAAAACCTATCCACACATTAAGGTGCACACTCCCTGGGTTCCTCCTCCCTGGTATCCTCTGGGGCCCCAGCCCAGCTGGAGTCCCCAAGTTCTCGGCGCCCTGAACTAACCAGTCTCTCCACCCAGCTTTCTCCAAAACACACCCCACACGAGGGCTGAGCTCCTCCACAGCGGATGCAACACTCCACTGCTTCCCATCGAGGCCCCCTGCCTCCTCCAGGCTGATGAGCAGCCCCTTCCCCACTGCTGCCCACAGCCCTAGCCCTGGAAGCCTCTCTTCTGAGAAGGCTTTGCCTCCTCGTACCTGCCGAGGCCCCTCCAGGCCCATGCTGAGGGCCAATGAGAGCCACGCAGTCAACTACACGGTGACCTTCGGCCAGTGTGAGTACACGCAGCTCTGCAGAGCTGCTGTCTACCAATCAGCTCCAGGACACCTGGGGCTCAGACAGGTGCACTCTCCTTCTGCCCTTTCTTTGTACTCTGTTTTGACCCATAAGGACTGACCAAAAGGATAGGAATAGGCCTTAAAATGTTTGCTTTACTGCAGCTGGAGGAAAGGGTTAGAGGCACCTGAAGGTCAAGATCAGGGATCTGTAGCATTTTCTGGCACTATGAAGTAAAGTCTAAAAAGGCCTGGAGGAAGCCGCCCACTGGCCTGCGCATGCCCCCTGGCAGTTGATTTGAAGACAAGCAAAAGCATCAGCGGGCACTACTAGGCAGCATCCTTAGGGAGACTAAACTGCTAGTGCCTCTGCATCCCTCCCTGCCTGTGTTAGCCTACCTTCACCAAACAAGATCCACACTTTATTCCCTCCATGTTTCTATTCACAGTCTTCCCACCACGTGGTTTTCCTCCTTTCCATTTCCTCCTGAAATTCTACTCCAGGACCCATTTCAAATGCCACCCCACCATGAATATCTTACTTTCAACAGGATGTGCCCATGCCCCCTCAAGCAGGCAGTGTCAGCCTTGGATTACAGGTATTTATGGGTATGGCTTATTCTCCTATTAAGTTCCCAAAAAACACACTGTCCTTTGCATCCTGTACAGCAGGGTTTCCTAAACTGCAGGTTTCAGCCTATGAATGGGAAATTCTAAAAAAAAGAAAAAAGAGAAAGAAAGAGGATAGGAAATATCCAAGTGTATCACACATAGTAATAAGCGTTATTTCATGATGCTCTTGTTTCACTTACGTGTATGCATGTTCAAGGGGTGGTGGGTGGCAGTGTTAAACGTGTATTTGTTACTGGGGGTCATGGTCTGAAGCATTTGAAAGTCACTGCCCTGATGGTACCTCTCCTCTGTCTAATATTCTGTGAATGCTTATTGAATTGAACAGGTTGATGAGTATGAAATGATCCATGTATTATAACTTCAAAGGCTCCAACTTAAAGGAATATAAAGAATAATGCCTATCTGAACAAAAGTGTGTGGATTCTGGCTTATATGAAGCTGTGGAGGAATGGGGTGAGTGGTAGGGAAGATCAGAATATTTATTATACTGTTGTATGTTGATAGACTTTCTCTCCAATGATTAAAATGTGTTAACATTTAAGGAAGATGAAATACAAGTTCATTTTGGAAAACTTTTCTCATTCACTGAAACTACCTCATGACTACAAAGTTCTGCATCTTTAAAAGAGACAGTATAGGTAATTCCACCATGATGCATAAAATGATCTTTTAGAGACACCATGAAAGCCCTTGTTCAAGTTTTCTTTGCCCAAGATGTCTCCATGTACTCTCAATACCCCCACCCACACCATCTGTCTTCCAAGACTTAGTTCAAAGGCCACCTATTTCATGGAAGCCTTTGTTTTTTAACTCAATTTTTCCTCTTTCCATCCTCCACCCAAGTCCCAAATATGGTCTCTTTTCTGAATCACCAGTGTTGAAAACTTCCTTTTTCATGTGTGTTCTTGTCTTAATTTCCTCACTTGACAATAACACTAATATGTACAACCTACGCCTTACTCATCCTTGCATCTCCCACAGAAACCAGCACAAGGTCTTCTACTTAAGAGATGATCAACAAATATTTGTTAAACGAATTAAATGAAAGCAACAGTTAGCCTGTTAAAAGGGATGGTCATTATTTTAAAGGCCCTGAGGAATGGCTTATATGTCTAGCACCTAATCAAAAGCTGGTGGACCACAGAAGGAAGACCAGGGAGTGGAGGGGGCAGCCTTGTGCCTCTGCATATCTGCTGCCCCTGTAAACTCACGGAATGCCCAACTCTTCAAGACTCTACAGAACAAAGCTACAGTGTTGGGTGCTGAATGAACACCTTAACCTTTTTCCAAGTTCTCCAGTCTTGCTTCAAACCAGAAATTGGAAGTGGAATTAGAGGTGGAAATTAGGGCCATCCTTTTCAACTTTAAGGTATGGCTGAAAAAGTTGAAACAGCCATCTGGATAATTCAGGCTCAAAAAACCCATCCTGAAGAGTAAGTATGGATGTTTCTGAGTGGCAGGAAGAGTGTGCAAGAAGGCAAAGGAGGTAGTTGTGAATTATCAATTGATTGTGTATATTGATTATATTCAACAGAACTGAGCTTTTCCCTTTTTATTTTCTATAAGGACACTCTCTGTGACTGCAAGAATAAACTAGCTCAGATTCAAAGCCACAGTCACCACTAATAAATTCCAATTTGTTCAATTGGAAAATGATGTCCATCAATTAGAAAAAGTTCTTAGGGATTAAGATTCTCTTTTGCCATTAATCTGTACCTCCTCCTTCCTCCTTCAAAAAAGTTTTTCTATGATCAATCAAAGGAAGAAGTTTTCAATGGTCTTTAAAATGTATATTGCTCTAATACAATAATTCATAATTAACAGGTATACTTTCCTAACTATGGTAGTTTATTTTCAAATTTTTAATTTTAATACCATTTAGGGCTCTCTCTCTTTGTTATTTTAGTAGGACCTTAACTTCCAGTCCATCGAGGTTTTGTTTTGTAATTAATTTCAGAGCTGTCCTTATAAGCTGAGAGATATTTGAAGTACTCTAGAAAATGGCAATTGTCTGACCGGATTTGAAGTCAGATCACTGGGCTTTGAAGCTAATTTCTGGTTGAAATATGGCTGCCCCATTTTTAGATGTGTGACTCTGGGCAGGTTACCCTATCTTCCCATCTTCAATTTTCCTATCTTTAAAATGGAACTAATAACAGTACTTGCTTTATAATTAAATGAGCTAAAACATGTAATGTACCCAGAACAGTGTCTGATAAATAATACGTGTTCAGCAAATGTTAGTTTTAAAAAGTCTGCTGTCATCTGTTTTATGACCTCAGTAAAGTCATTTAACAGTTCAAAGCTTCTATTTCCTCATCTATAAAATGGAACTACTACCACTTACTTACCCTTTCCAGGATTAAGAGATTCAAATAAGAAAACAATGGATATGAAAATATTGGACACACAGAAAGTTCTCAAATATTAGTTATTTTGAACCATCTATAAGCTTAAAAGTAACCATAAACTTAAAAATTTACGTAAACCATAAAACTGAGAACATAGCATCCAAAAATTCATCTGTGAGAAAATGTCTAAACATATTAGAAATGCATACTCAAGCTTGGTTTTTCTTTAACTTATCAGAAACATATAAGCTTTTGTAAAATGTAATTCTACATCTGCAAAACTAGAAACCCTCCCGGTCAAGCCAAACTGTCCTAGTATATTGTGATCAAGAAAGTCTACATGCCTTCATAAGCCAAAACTCGATGCACTGATTAAAATGTGATTGCACGTACATCAACTTTTTAAAAAACGTGTAAGTTTTTGTTTTTTTTAAAGTAATAAATGTACTGCTAATGTAAATTTCAAGTCAATTCAACAGATATTTATTCTGTGACACTGCTCCAGGGTAATTCAGCTGGGAACTAAGGATGCAAAAGGAAACAGAGCTCAGGTTCTGTGCAGGAAGACCCCACAAATTACGCTGATAATCTCAAAATATTACTTATGAAAGTCATAAGGGGGTTCGCTTTGAGTCAGCAAGCAGACAAGCAGCATAAAAATATACCGAAACAGTAAGTTCTTCCCTTTGACTGAAAAACTGCCTTTTAAAAGCAAACAGCATTTTAAAAGTACAGTTGCTATCTGGAAAGCTATTGAATTTGCGCCAGAAACCAACATTTCTAAATGTAAACCTATAAAATAATAGGTATCTGTAAATGAAAGGCTGAAATAACCCCAGGAGCAGCAACACAGTAATTAGCAACTTTTACACAGTCATAACATGTTTCATATTCTTTCTGCCCTGGCTCTTTGAAGTTTCCAGTGCAATACGTAAAAGTTTTATTACATTAGGGCCCGTCCTTGTGTGTTTTACAGGCACCAACATTATGCAGAGCAAGCTGTACTTACTCATCATAGGATCTTTTATAAGAAACCGTTTGATAATGTGCTAGCTTTGTGTCCAGTTTATTTTGTTACACCTGTCTTTAGGAAAATAAAAGTCACTGGAAACCTAAATCACAGAAAATACACACAGATCCACATATCATCTATATGTTATAAATCATAAAGCAGTTTAGCTTTAAAATTGTACATTGCATATTCATGTGCACACCACTTGCAGTTTTAGACACATGTGAACTCTTTACTGAATTAAAGCAAAAGGAAAAAAAAAAAAGCTCAGCTCTACAATAAGCGATTACCAGAGGCAGAACAGAGTGCAGTTAATATGCTTGTTCCAGCAGATGTTCATCCCCGTAAATATTAAACATAACACAAGTTCCTCCAGGAATATGCAGGCAGTAATTTTACCACCTGAATAGTGCTGGTTGGAAACATTTAAGAGATAGTGGGGGGTTGGGGGGAGCAGAGAAAGAAGGGGGAATAAGACAGATACTAAAGCAGCCAATGGGATTTTTAAGACACCCGCAACTGGAATTAAACTGCTTCCAGCGGCGATTTACCTACAGCAGCTCCCCAGTGTGAGATCCCCCGAGAAACGGAACCTGGAGTGCCCCCCGGGCTGCGAGCTGTGAGCGTGGCATAAAGGGATACCCGGGGCGCCCGGGTGGGGTGGGGAGGAGGAGTGCAACTGTGACGAGGTGTGAAGAAAGGGCCCAGAGGAACTGTGAACCCCGAGGAAAGGAGTCTCCCTGGGCTAAGGCCTCTGGAATACCGGCACGGAGAAACACTCGTTTCCTGCCCTGGATGTTCACTTTTCCATCTCGGTGGAAGTGGGTGGGAGAGACAGAAAGGATGCAGCCGAGACCGGGCGCAGGCGGGGAGGCTGGAGCATCCTCTAAGGGCACTTCGCAGCAGCACCAACTCCAGGGGGTCGGTGGTGCCAGCCGGAGGAGGGAGGGGGCGCAGTCGGAGGGAAAGGAAGTGAGAGGAGCAGGGGGCCGACGGGTGGATCCCCAGGCATTAGTGACACAGTCTTCAAATCGCTTCTTTTCCTCCCCACGGCTGCGCTCTGCCCCTGGCTACCTAGATCACCAGTCCCTGGGCTGGGGCGGGCCGCCGCGAGGGAGGGGAACAGGAGAGGGGGAAACAGACGGGCAGGCGGCCACGCATCCCACCCGGGGAGGCAGAAAAGGGCTGGCGAGGCAGGCGCCCCCGACCCACCCCACCCCCACGGCGGCCGGCCGCCCGGAGCCCCCGGCCCAGGTGAGGACGCGCGGGCCGCCGCGGCCGCCCCTCGCCGCTCCCGCCCGCCCGAAGCGGCCGGCACGGGGACTTACCACAGTGACTCGAGGTCCCATTCCTGGAGCAGGGCTAAGTCGAAGCTGTCCATGGTGGGAGGTGTCAGCGTCGCCGCCGCCGCTACCGCCGCCGCCGAGGCTCGGGCCGCCCGCGCGCTGCAACGAAAGGCGCCGCTCAAGGTGCATCCCAGCCGCGCCAGAGCGGCCGCCGCCCGCCCACCGCCCACCCCCAGGTCGGGGCTCCCGACGCCCCCCGCCCCCGACTCCGGGCCGGCCGGGCTGGCTGCAGCGGCCGGCGCACTCACCCGCTCCCCGGCTTGCGCGCAGGCACACTCAAGAGAGAGCAGCGAGCTCGCCGCGCCGCCGCCGCCCCCCGCCCCCGGCCCTGCGCCCGCCCCTCCTCCCCTCCCTCGCGGCGGCCCGGCCCGCTGCTGCAGCCGCCGCCGCCGCCGCCGCCGCCGCGGTGCTCTGCGCCCGCCCGCCCGCCTCTTTCTCCTCCGGGAGGCGCGTGTGCGCGGGCGAGGCCGAGGCGCGCGCGCACCGTGAGCCCCGCGCCGCGCCCGCCCCGCGCGCCCCTGTACTCCCCGCGCCGCTCCTCGGGGTCCCGCGGCGCTCGCAGGCCGCGCCGCCCTGCCGCCCCTCTCTCGTGGCTTTTACGGCCCGCCCGCCCCTCAGCAGCCCTGGGGTGCCCGGGGCGGCCCTGCAAGCGGGAGAGAGCGGCGAGGCGGCGGCGCCGAGTGCGGGGGGATGCGGAGCCGTGCCCGGCCCTGTCGCATCCCTCGGCCGCCCGCCCGCGCCCGGCCCCGCCCGGCCTTGCCCGGGCTGCACGCACTTCTCCCGCGGCCCAGAATCCACTTGACCCTGCTGGGCGCTCCCGCGGGCGGCGGACCCGGGTGGGTGCGGGGGAATTCCCCGGCCGCCCAGGCGCGGGGAGAGTGAGCTGTGCCGCCCGCAGCAGCGCCCCAAACAAACCGTTTAAGGTCTCTGGAGCCCGCAAGTTCAGCGAAATAAAGCGGCGGCGCGGAGGAAACCTCTTCCACCCGGACCTGCTCTCCGTTGCGGTTTGGCCTCCAGTGGTGGTCCCACCCACCCTCTAGCTGGCCAGCCCTGGAAACCAACCTCCTTTCTTTTTATTTCTCACCGGGAAGGGGGACAAACTGGCCTCTGGGTGTCGACTTCAAACTTGCCGCCCGTCTCCGGTCTGGAAAGGCAGGTGATCAGCTAGAAGGGTGATAAGAGTATCATCGTGGCTCCTAAAGAGTAATAATAATCTCCCTCATTGTAAAGACAGCTCTTCCCCCTGGCTTACTTTTTTAGACATGCTGAGAAGCGCATGTCTCCATCAGGGCCCTACCTCTGCTTCTCCACAGTTGGCCTAGAACCGGAAGCCCCTCCAAGGCCCCCTGACTCTCCTGACCTCTTGGCCACAGCTCCGGATTCTCACCAGGGATTCCCCAGAATTCCTAGAGAGCAGCTCAGAGCCCTGCAGTTGTGCCTCACCACGCGAACCAAACCTCGCACTCCCCGCCAAAAGGGAGTCCCTTCCAGCACTCTCCCCTTTGTTCCTTTTTCTGGGCAAGAACCGCTGACTGGGGCTGCCAGAAATGTAAACCCTGGGTGCAAGTGACGGGATCCCTCCAGCGTCAAGCCGAAGAGTCATCCTCTCACCTCACCCACCTCCGAATGAGGATTAACAAACTCAATTCAGGACACAGGTAGAAGACCAAAAGGCCAATGAGACTTCTTTCCTATTTGAGATCGGATTTGAGAATGCTCAGCCTGGCTCCCTTCTTCCCCCAGCTCTGAATCAATCCTTTCTTCATTAGCATCCATAACTAATGTGCAAAATGTAAAACGCTAAATTAAGACAGAGTTGGCATCAACATAGTCTGAGAAAATGAAATTGTTATTTTACAAGCTGATAACTCTCAGCCCTCAAAAACCCCTCTCATTAGCTGAAGGTAGCAAGTAGCAAGAAGATTAGGTAAAAACATAGAGAATATGAATATAGGAAAAAGTACAGGTGTGAAGGGCTGGCTGCCCAAATCCCAATGCACAGTGTATTTGGAAAAAGAAAAAAAAGAAAAAGAAAATCTGTCTTTCTAATATCCCCTTAGCATACGCCTTGTTGGAAATGTTTGCTTTGGCGAAAGTGAGATCGAGACATTGAGACAGCATTCCCAGGAACAAAGGCTGGGGGTGGAGGGTGGAGGAGGGAGCAGGAACAGCCCCTGTCTGGAAGAACTGCAAGTTCTGAGGCCTGAACAAGAAATGTGTCCTGTTCCCGTGCTCCTGGCTGCAGCTGGGAAGCTTCTTCAGAAAGGAGACCTCCCGGCCCTCACCGGGATCTGGCTTTCCTTCCCTTCCCACCACATCTGTTTATACAAAGGAGGGCCGCTGAAGGACAAACATAACCGTGTTTACTGCGAGTCCCATGCTGGGCCTGGAGCTCAGATACAGATTTGCCCTCACCATGGAGGCTGAAGATAAATAGATGATCCCAGAAAAGGAAAGAGGGAAGGCCCTGGGATGGTATAGAGCTGGTTGAGGGGTTTACTCATGAAAGGCCTCTCCCAAAAAGCCATGTAGTAACGGGCAGATTTACGTTTGAATTTAAACTCTGGTGCCTTGTGTTAATATATGAGAGTGTGTGCACCTAAAGCAATTGCAAGGCGGGTATTTAAAAATGTTTCTTTAGGAATAGCCATGATTTTCTGTTTGGGGCCTCTAACATGGGGATAGTTGGATTGATTATTTCCAGTGTTATGTTTTCATGTAATAGTGTCTTGGAGAATGAGGACTTTTGAGGAAACCCAAATAGTAGTTGCAGATCCTGTTTTTTACTAAGCTGTCATGGAGATAAATCCAAAATAGTTTTTACAAGTAAAATGTAGAACAGTTAGTGAGAGCCTTTATGGGAGATCTTTATTATTTATCTGGTTTATGAAGATGTTCCTATTATCCTCCAGCCTCTGGGTATGCAAACCAAAACAAGCACTTAATCTAGTTGTCAAAATTTTAACTCCTTAATACAAAGCAAAAAAAGGGTTTGGACTTTTGGGGATTAGAATGTCAGAACTAAAAGGGAACTTTTTTATGTAAAAGAGAAAGAGACTCTCTAAAAATAAAAATGTTAGAGTGATGTTTTCTATGAAGCTGCCTTAGCTTTTGCTCATCCTATAGTGCTTGTGACCTGAGGGTCTTTTCTCCCCACATGGATGCAAGCAACACCCCTGGGAGCTGAATCAAACCACCCAGCTAAGGGGAGGGCTGCTGGGGGAAGCTGCTAAATGAGAGGAGCTGCTTGGCTTCCCGGGTCAGGTTGGTTGGTTGGTGTAGACTAAATGTACCAAAGAAAGGGACTAACAAATGAATCCTGCTCAGTCTGGGGCCCTACTCACATTCTGCCAACCTAGTGCTGGAAGCCTCCTAAATAAATCCAGAAGCAAACCTATAGCATCTAAGATCTCCCTTCAGATATGATTTGATAGAAGAGAAGCCTTGCATGGCTTTAATTCATGCCTTATCCTGAAGACGCAGCTGCAACTCAGAGGTCATTTTTGTAACCAAGTGGGATTTTTTTTCTCTCTTTATAATCCCACCATTCCCCTAGAAAAATATGTCTGGCCAAAAGCTGGCTCTGCAGGTGGTACTGCTGGAAGGTGATAGGAGCATCATCAAGCTGCCTCAGCCCCTACAGCATCTCCTCCAGCTTTGTCCCTAAGGACACTACTCTCTCCTGTTCCAGCAAAGCTGCAGACGCATGACTCCATCTGCTTCTCCTTCCAGAGGCTTCTTGGGTGTTTGTAACTGTATCCAGGGATTGCAGGATAAACCTTCTAGGCTTTCTCCTTGCAAATTACATGCTAATATGTTGAACCCCAGGACAGCGTAGATTTTAGATCCACCCAGGAGTTCTTGTGTCTTCAGGCCTTTCCCTCTCTCTCCACAGGTATCTCTGAGTGGTTCTAACCTAGGATTCGAGGTGCCTTTCTTTCTGTATTTTTTCATCATTCACCAGGTCCCGAGCAGATGGTGTGGCTGTGCTGACTGTCATCACTCCTCCTATGTTTCCATGGAAACATGGGGCATAGGGACCATCTCCGCCTTGGGCTCTCTGACAGTATCCTCTGGCGAAGAACTTCAGTACTTGTGCCCCTCCCCCCAGCCTGTCCACTGTCCTAGGGAGTTGGAGACCTTTCTGGGGCCCTAGAAGCCAGGGTCATTTCAGAGATCATCTAAGGACATACTCCCTGCAAATGGTTTTGAACTGGCTGGGAAAAGGAGGGAGGGTAGAAAGGGGGCCAATACCCCGGTCGAGGGCTGAGAACTGTTTTAGAAGGCAACATATTTGGACTATCTGTCCCTGCAGCCAGCTTCCATAATAGCTGATTATTGCCCAGATGTCAAAAGAGCTGCTCCTAGGGTTCAGTCTGCTCATCAGACAACAGATATTTATTGAATGTAAGTAGTTGCTGAGGTTTTATGCTTCACTGACATTCTACACCCTGGGAATGAGTGTTTCTGGGAATGTGCATTTCTTTCCTTTTTTTTTTTTTTTTTTTTTTTTTTTAACAAAACCAGGTTTTTCCCTAAGGAATGCACCTTCCCCAAAGTTTCCCGCATCCTCCTGCCTACATAATTCACTTATATAGTCACTATGACATTAATTAGATTCAGAAGTCTGTGGAAACAGCAGAGCTCGGCAGGGTCAGAGGGCAAGCAGGGCAGAGAAAAGAGAGGGGAAAATGAGCTCCGGGAGAGGGGAAGGAAGTGGAGGGAAGTTTTTCATGCCCTTCAAGTACCAAACAAAACAAAGATAATTTCAAAAGTGGTCAGCCACTATAACACTGCTTAGAGAATTAAAGTATTGACAAATTGAAGAGTGCTTTAAAATAAAGTGGATGGGGCATAAGCATGTATGTCTTGGTGTTAGTTGCTCCTTATACAGCCGGTACTAAAGGCTGGTGGGTGAAGCTTACCACATTTTAAAAAGAAAAAGGCAGGCACACATACTAAAGTTGAAAATGCAGGCAGGAAGGACATTTACTTTTCATAAAAGCGGATCAGAAAAGCATCTCCTATCACAGATCATGTATTTTATGCCATGCTGACCAATGTTGGGGGATAATCTCATTATTTTGTGATATGAGAAGATCCTTTGATGCTGGTAACAAGAACCAATCATCCTGACTTAAATCTTAATATCCCCACAGGTTCTTTGTCATGCTTCTTCAAGATGTGCCCTGGCCATTCATGCAAGTTTCAAGGACTCTGAATCTGTTGAGAATAGGACATAACTAATCGTATCATTAGCAAACATGTCTATATTACTGTCAACTGGGTGCTGTTCTAAAGTATCAACTCCATTTAGTCCTCCCAAAAGCACATGAGGTATGTTGCCATTGTTTTTATTTTGCAGGTGAGTATGCTAAGGAACAGGTAAGTGTCACAAACCCAAGCATGGCAGATCAGGAATTGGTATGGTATTACTGGTAGCTGTGATACCATACTCCACCTCCCACAACTTTTGCCTTAATTATCTATAGCATTGGCGCATTCTCATGCTCACAGGCACTGAAATAATGAAAGTAATACAGTCCCAGTCGGAAGGCGAGAGAGAGCCCTCTACCCCTCTCTGCAATTCTCCTGCCACCCAGTTTTGCCCCTTGAGTTCTGCCATAACCGCACCTGGAGTGAGGCGCTCCTTGTCTCTAGCCTCAACGTCTTCCTTTGCAACATGAGAAGGCTGGATTGGGTGTTCTTTGTCTCTGTCAGTTTTTGTCTCTGACAGTTCTGAAATGTTAGAGGTCTGTTTTTTTCAGTTGTTCTTCCTGAGCACTGCCAGACAGGAATCCCTGGAGTATGTCAAGAGAGTCATAAACCTTTTCTTGTTTAAAGGTAGGACCTCCTTCTTGGCTTAAACAAATCTCAAGGTGTTGGTCTGCTTCAAACAGGAGTGCTGTGCTATCTGTGAAGTATTAGCAGACGGCAAGAGGAATGTGTTCAGGAAGAGGACACTTAGCTTAGGTCTGGGGGAAGCATGGGGAAGAAGTCACAACACAACTGTGGGTGTCAGGCTCTTTTCTCTGGGGCACCAGAGAGTATTCAAGCATGGATTGGTAGTCCCCATGCAGCCCTCGGAGGAAACCGAAGCTGCAAATGCAGCAATTATGGCTTACAGCCTGAAAATGGTGACATTCCAAAATTGCATCTTAATGGGTAAAACATTGGTGGAGAAAGGGCAGCAGAAGATCCCCACAAGGTCCTTCAGGTACAGGCATCTCCCACTGCTCAGAGTCCTGCTGGGGGTCCCCAAGTCCCAAACAAGAAGAAGCAGAGAGCAGAGTTCACCTCTTCAGGAGCTTAAGATAAACAAGTTCATGCAGCAGACACGGCTGGCTGCCCACCCAACATCCATCTGCACTTGTCCTTGATAGCAAAACCTGAGTCTGGTTTGGGGAAGTCACAAGCCCAGCTGACATAACTGTATTTTCTAGTCTCTCTTATTGCAAGAACTGGGCATATGACTTAGTTCTGGCCAATAAGACACCCGTTTATGTCAGTCAGGATTTCTCAGAATGTTTTGCTTCCCTGCAGTAGACACCACCCCTTCCTCTAGGTCACTTTCTTCTTCCTGTCCAGAAAGGTGGAGAAGCCATCATCAATTTTAGGAGCAAAAGCCACAGACTAAAGTTGGCAAGTCTGAAGTTAAAAGGAGGCTAGGTCCTTGATGACTGCTTCATATAACCCTACCATCTTTGGACCATCCTACCCAGATCTGGACTTTTAGGAACAAAATAAGACCCTATGTGGCTAAGCCACTCTAGCGGTGTTTTGAATATTGCAGCTAACCCATTAGAGAAGTCACAGTCCCTTAAATGTGCCCCGCACATTGCCGTGTATAGTCAGGACTACCAGATATCCCAGCCTATATGCCCCAATGGGGGCAGCACTGCCAAAGAATTAAGTGTGATTTACAAAAACCTGTGATTACTTCCTTACATGTAATCTTGACTACTTCTGAGTTCACTCCAATTGTAAGCAAGTTAATTAATAAGAAACTCATGCTCAATTGTCTGAAGACTGATTAATCTGGCTCCAGCATTTTTTGAATATTCCATATTATTTGTTTCTTTATTTTCATGTTATTTGTTAACCTGGTTAAGTTGCTGTGACATCCTCACAGGGATACCAACAGATGGCATTTACGAAAAACAGTGTAGGAATAATAATAGTCAGCCTTTCTTGTGTCCTTGCCACATACACAAAAATATGTATGTTTCAGAGTTTGTCATTGTTTCTACCAATAAACTAATTATCACTGTATGAAGCTGATTTACTTCAGAAGAAGTTTACGAAAACAACTAATTAAGTACAGTATGTTGAAATATAAACTGCATTACAGGGTTAGAACCCTATAATAAGATCGCAGAAGCTTGAAAGTTGGGAGAAGCCATCAAGTCTCTCTCTAGCTAACCTGCTACCCATTGCAGCAGTTCCCTCCATATCAACCCTGCTATGGGCAGTCTCCACATGAATGTTTCCAGTGGTGGGGAGTGCGCTCTCTGAAGAGCCTCCCTGTTTTACTTTTCAAGGGCTCAGCTCTAGCTGGAACAACATTCTTCCTTATATTTATGGATCCCAAATTGATTTCCCTGTACCTTCTTAACATGTCACAGGCTCACAGTAAGCATGCAATTAGAGCTCAGCTTTGCTGAACTCCTTCTATTGGTCCTCCATATATTGAGACTTACGGGCTCAAGTATTTCCTCAGCACTTTGGTAAGTGAAAGAGCAAAGAAAGAAGTCTTTGCTCAGTGGAATACCATACAGAGAGGGCGAGTCAGTCTCTTAAGAGGAGCACATGGCCATGGAGATGAGAGAAACCCCACCTTCTTCTAATTTGTAGTTGGTTTCTTGGAAGAAGGGAGCTTCATAAAGAAGCTAGAGCTGGCCACAAGAAGGAAAATGCCCACAACAAGATAGGAGGCAGGAAACCCCTGGAAAAGAAAGATACCTACCTGCTAGTTCTCAGGGAAGAGGCTGGGCCAGGCATGGTGGCTCATGCCTGTAATCCCAGTACTTTGAGAGGCTGAGGCTGGAGGATCACTTAAGCCAGGAGTTCAAGACAAGCCTGGGCGACATGGTGAGACCCTGTCCCTACAAAAAATAAAAAATTAGCTGGCCATGGTGGCACACACTTGTAGTCCCAGCTACTCAAGAGGCTGAGGTGGGAGGATCACTTGAGCTCCAAAGTCAAGGCTGCAGTGAGCTGTGATCACACTGCTGCACTCCATCCTAGGTGAAAGAGTGAGACCCTGTCTCCAATGGAAGAAAAAAAGAAAGAAGCTGCACAATGGGAGGTAGAAAGCAGGAGCCCAAGGTCGTGAGAGGAGGAAAGTGAGTGAAGGAAGGGGCTCTGATTAGAGCTACAGGCCCGAGGGCCTGCCCTGCTCCACCACTATCTATAATGAGAGCAACTCTTTCCAGGGATGGCTCCCAGTGTTTTTCCAAAGCTCCTACTCACCTGTGATGCTTATTATAATTCCATATACTTGGCACAGACAGTTACAATTTTATGAATTTAGCATTGCTTTCTGTCACTCTCTAGACAACAATATGAGGTTTATTACAACATAAAGGGAAATTCATCCTCTTGGACTTGACTGAGTGTCAGCCCAAATCCCCATGCTGTCATCTCTGTCATCTTCCCTTGAAGAATGCAACCTCAAGTCAGGGCTGAAGTCATTGGGGATACATTCCCAAACCAGGGTCCTGGGGTCAGGCCTCAAGAGGATAATCTCAATGATCACATAAGTCATTTCAGATATTGATTTACTGAACAAACATTATTGAACACCTATTACATGCCAAGCAGTGAGCTAAGAAAGAAGATGAGAAAGAGAAGTTTGAAAGGCCAAAAAGCCCACTGTCTAGAAGATAATGCACACACATCTTAATGCACTTACTCATCCTTGAATTGAACAAATACTTCTTGATTCAGTTAGGTGCTTAGAACTATGCTAGGTACTGAGTTTATTACCAAAGTGAAACAGACATGGTCTCATGAAACAGGCCATATACAATGTTGTTTTAATATGCTTAGTGCTATGATGAGAGAAGTGCAGGTACTCAGGGAGATCTTTCCAGAAAGAACGACTGATTTGCATTCCAAGTCAAGAACTGAATTATCAAGACTAAGTGAATAGGGGGGAATGGAATAGAACAAACGCCGTGTACTATAACGTATTACCTGCTATGACAGAAGCATGTCTGTGGAGCTACAGGAGCAAAAGAAAGTGGATGATGACCAAGGCACTCCTAAAGGGCTTAATACAGCCCCTAACATTGGGTTGGGTCTAACGGAATGAAAGTCAAAGTGAGAGTGAGGAGGCAGTGATGGAAGAGCATTCCAGGCAGAGGGAAAACCACAGAATAGAGCACAGAGGCCAGAAGAAGCATGCCATGTTCCCCTAGCAGAGAAGGTTCTATGTGGTCAAAGTGTTGCCTTGAGGTGGGGGGGTTGTAGAAGTCAGTAGGTCAAATGGGGGTTAGGGGAAGAAGCAGAATGAAGGGAGATGGAAAAGGAGCCAAGGCCAGGGCAAGAGATTGGGGCCAGATGGTGAAGAGGCCTGTATTGATGTTGTAAAAACATTTTCAAGTAAGCAGGAAACCAAGATCAGAGATTCAGTAAAGCAGCTAGTGAACACCCAGCTGCCAAACCCAGGGGAACAACTGAGAGTTGAAAAGAGGAAATGTCTTCTGAGAAGCCAGAGAAAGTATTTCACAGAGGATTCAGCCCAGGGGTTTTTCTTTTCTTAGTTGTAAAATCCAGCAAGTCTGGAAACCCCTTCCCTCTGCACAGAGCTGGCCCAGAGCACAGTGAAAATGTGAAGTGCCTTGTTCATCAATTATTAAGAATTCAAAATGTTGACAGCAGAGCTTTAGACAAAGATAGCACCCTTCTAAGGGTACGGCCCTGTGTGACTGCACAGGTCACAGGCTCATGAAGCCAGCCCTGCACTGTGTTTTTCTGAGACAGAGTCTCGTTCTGCCACCCAGGCTAGAGTGCAGTGGTGTGATCTCAGCTCACTGCAACCTCTGCCTCCCGAGTTCAAGGGAGTCTCCTACCTCAGCCTCCCGAGTAGCTGGGATTACAGGGGCCTGCCACCACGCCTGGCTAATTTTGATATTTTTAGTAGAAACAGGGTTTCACCATGTTGGCCAGGCTGGTCTCGAACTCCTGACCTCAAGTGATCCACCCACCTTGGCCTCCCAAAGTGTTGGGATTACAGGCGTGAGCCACCACGCCTGGCCAGCCCTGCATTTTTGCACCATCAGGCATCCTTTCACTAACAGAAAGGGTGGGTGCTGGCTCCCTGGAGCCTGGAGTCACAAGGACTAGATGAGCAACACATTGAGAGCTCAGCACTGAACTCATAACATCATGCAAGCCCCCGTGTTGAGTTCATTCCAAAATGAAAAGCTTCTTTTAGTTCCTGATTGTATTGATAATATACACACAGGAAGACAATTCAAGCCATGCACAGCAGTAAGTACGTGATTGGGGTGGAAATGTCAAATTATAGGTATGTATTTCAATTTTTTTCTCCCCTTTCTATGAGAGAGTCCTCAAAAAGACTTTTGTTTGTTATGCAAGGTGATGATCAAGATGAATCTTAGGGAAACTGAGAGGAGGAGGAAATGGTTGTACAAAATTAACATGTGGGATTTCCTGGTGATCTTCCTAAAATTGGCTCATAGCTCAATTGCATTGTAATCACAGAGCAGACTCTTTATCTATCATTTGGATACTTTAAGACTTGTTGAGATTTGCTCTGTGATCCCACCTATAGCTAATTTTGTAAGTTTCCATGCATGCTTAAAAATATGTGTATACCAGCCAGGAGTGGTGGCTCACACCTGTAATCCCAGCATTTTAGGAGGCTGAGGCAGGCAGATCACTTTGAGGCAGGAGTTCCAGACCAGTTTGGCCAACATGGTGAAACCTCGTTTCTACTAAAAATAGAAAAAATAGCTGGGCATGGTGATAGGCACCTGTAATTTCAGCTACTAGGTACTTGGGAGGCTGAGGCAGGAGAATCTCTTGAACCCAGGAGGTGGAGGCTCCAGTGGGTTGAGATCATACACTGTACTCCATCCAGCCTGGGTGACAGAGGGAGACGCTGTCTCAAAAAATAAAAATAAAAATAAGTGTATCCTGCTATTGTTGGTATGGTATTCCTTATTTGTTCATCCGTTATATTTTCAGCTCATTTTTTTCAGATCTTTCTATTCTTACTGATATGATGTCTGATGTATTATGTCTATCTTATCTAAGAGGTTTGTCAGAATACCAGTATTTCCTATGTTTCCACTGGTGAAGAATTCTCTGTGTCTTTTAGTATGGGAATATCAACTTTTCTTTTGTTTCTTTCAGTCTGGAAATATCAATTTTATGTTTATAATTGAAGGGTATTTTTGCCAGGTTTAAAATGACAGATAAACAGTTCTTTTCCTTAAGTACTTTGAGTGCTGTCAATTTTATTGTTGTTCCTATGAGATGTTTGTCAACATTTTCCTCTATAATTGAAGGTTTTTAAAATTTCTTCTTATAATTTTTTTCAAGTTATTCTTTACATATTTGAAATCATGCTATTATGTGCCTAAGATTTAGAATAGTTACACCATCCTGTTGAACTGGCCCTGTTAACAATGATGAGTGGTCTCTCCTAATCTCTAATGATGATTTTTGCCTTAAAAATCTACATATCTCATACAGATATAACTGCATCAGCTTTCCTTGGGTTTATGTTTGTAGGAAAAGTATCTTTCCATACTTCTCCTTTTTGCCTTTCTATATCCTTATGTTTTATATGTGTCATTTGTAAACAACATATAGCTCTATGTTTGCTTTTTTTTTTAACTCAGCCTGACAAACTTTGCCTTTTAATTAAAGAAATTAATCTATTTACAGTTAATGTAATTACATTTATATTGGGCTGTAAGTCTACCATTCGCAAGGAGCTATTTGTTCTGATCGTTCTGTTCCTTTGTCTATTTTTGTGCTGTCCTCATTTGGATTATTTGAGTATACTTTTATTGTCCTATGTTCCTTCTCTATTACCTTGGAACATACATGGCTTTGTTTACTATTCTTTACTGTTGAACTTGAAAGTAAATCATGAATTCTTGACTTATCAAAGTCCAATATTAATTGTTATTTTTATTTTCTTCCAGGAAAATTCAAGGACCTTAGAACTTTTTAAATCCATTTACTCTTCTCTATATTTGTGTATCATTGTTGTCATGTACTTAATTTTCTATATATTAAACCCCCAAAGACATTATTATTTTATATAGTTAATTTTCATTAGCATTTTGCTTGCCCTTCATTCATTCCTGCACCTCTGGTCTTCCATTTAGGATAATTTTTCTTCTCCTTAAAGAATACCAGTATTTCCTGTGTTTCCACTGGTGAACAATTCTCTGTTTCTTTTAGTAAGGGAACATCAATTTTTCTTTGTTTCTTTCAGTCTGGAAATATCAATTTTACATTTATAATTGAAGAGTATTTTTGCCAGGTTTAAAATGACAGATTAACAGTTCTTTTCCTTAAGTACTTTGAGTGCTGTCAACTTTACTGTTGTTCCGATGAAAATAAAACCCCTTTTTCCTCTGTCTGCTTTTAAGATTTTCTTTTTGTCCTTGATTATCAGCAGTTTTACCATAATGTACCTAGGTGTGGATTTCATTTTATTCATCTTATTTGGAATTCATAGGGCTTCTTATCTAAGTTTGATAGCTTCATCAGTTTGGGAAGTTCTTAGCCATTATCTCTTTAATTATTTATTTTGGCCCATTGATTCTCTTTCCTCTTCTTCTGAGACTTCAATTTTATGCATGCTAGAATTTTTAGCTGTCTTTCTATCTTTTACTTTCTCTTGTGAAATTTTACATTTTTGTCTTTTGAAAGCTTCTTTCTGAATATTTTATTCTAATGTGTCTTCCAGTCAACTAGTTTCTTCTTCAGCTTTATGTCATCTCTTGTTAAACCCATCCACTGAGTTCTTAATTTGGGGTATCACGATTTTTTGATTCTAGAATTTCCACTTGGTTATTTTTTATTGTTTCTAGGCCTCTGCCAAATTCTCAACCTTATCTTTTTGCCTTTTGGAGATTGTAAGCATAGTTATCTTAAAGTTTGGGTCTACTGACTCTTTTACGTGGAGCGCATAGGTGTCTATTTCTCCTATCTGTTGTTTCTGCTGACAACATTTCATTAATCTCCTTGTAGCTAGTTATTTCGAATTATGTGATCAACATTGTATTTGAAAAACAGTAATATGCAAAAACATTTGAGACCTAGGGTGATATTATTTTTCTCCAGAGAGCATGTCCAATTCTGCCAAGTACTTGGGGGCATTAGCAATTCAAGATTATCTTTACATAATTTCACAAGTTCAGGGGATTTTAAAGTATACTGCAATCCCTTTAGGGACATGTATACTTTCAAGACCTCATTTCTTCTAGTGTATGCTTTCAGTATTCCAACCCAAATGATAGAGATTCACTGTACTCGAGTTTTCCCCATTGGACCCTCACTTCATTGCCTCACCTGAGCTCCAGAAGACTGTCAAGAGCATAGTTTGCCTCTCTTCCACCACCTCCAAAACCAGGGAAGGCCACCAGGGGAAAAGTGATCCTAAACACCACATTTACTTCCTTTGATTTCTATCTTTTCTGGAGCAGGGTGCTGTAATTCTTTACTCAGTTGTTAGATCCTTAATGCCCTTATATCCTAATTATTTGAAAACTTCTTTTAGATGAACTAAATAAATGCATATATTGCATTTATATGCACATTTATCCAAATAAAGTTTTATTTGGATTTGAGTAACTTGCTCTTCCACTGACTTTCACAGGATGCCTGCAAACTATCCTGTGAATGGGCTAAGAGCACAAGATTTAGAGTGAGCAAATCTGGTTCTAATCCTTGTTATGCTCCTAGAAGCAGTGCAATTTTAGGCAGCTTACTTAAACTTTCTAATTACCACTTCCCTGACTGGTAAAGGGAGCTGATGGTTATAGCTCCATTGTTGATAAATCAATGAAATAACATTGCAAAGTTATATTACAGTGTCAGCATCTAGTGTAAGCACTCATCAAATAGCATCTATTCTTATTTGATATGAGCCATTTAAATGTAACATTTACCAAGGATAAGTATTTTAGATTGAAAATGGTTATAATGATGGGATTTTTTTTTTCTGGTCGTTGTATTTCAGGAAGGAACTCTTAGGTCATCATTTTTGGCCCCTGGGAATACCTGCTTCATAACTTTCCTATGCCCAAATCTTAGCACTGTTTATGCTGTAGAACTCAGCCCTTTGGAATACTTCCTTGCATTCTTGGATCAATAACAAATTCCAACTAAGGAAAATTCTGACTTTTTTTTTTTTTTTGAGACAGAGTCTCGCTCTGTCGCCCAGGCTAGGGTGCAGTGATCCCAGCTCACTGCAGCCTCTGCCTCCTAGGTTCAAGCCAATCTCCTACCTCCCGAGTAGCTGGGATTACAGGCGTGCGCCACCACACCCAGCTAATTTTTGTATTTTTAGCAGAGACGGGGTTTCACCATGTTGGCCATGCTGGTCATGAACCCCCTGACCTCAGGTGATCCGCACACCTCGGCCCCCCGAAGTGCTGGGATTACAGACGTGAGCCACCACACCTAGCCCTAATTCTGGATTTGTATACACATAGTCTTAATGCATACCTTCATGCAGAGATGTGTGAGACCCCTGCTTATGTGTCTCAGTTTCTACAATTGCTCCAGTTGTCTTAATGCCTTTACTAGCTCCCTTTTTACCCACAGGTAAGGCCAAAAGTGCACTGGTAAAGTCCCTGTGATTACCCTCAGGGGCTTTGTTGTTACAGCCCTACTTTAAGCCACTTGTCCCTGTTTTACATGTCTAGAGATTATCCACTCTTCAGGAGACCATTCCTGCTAATTCCCACTGTTGGGCATTTGAAAGCATGCTCATTTAAACATCAGTAACTAGGAGTCTTCATTGGCCTCATGCTGCTTAATTCCTAACCTGGTCTTGACCCCAGAGTCAAAGCCCTGTGAAAAGTCAATACAAGCAGCAAACAATGGTATGTTATTCTTGGCCGACTTTGCAAAACAATGAAAGAGTTCAACAATAGTTAATTATGGCTTAATAGTTGCTAACAAGTATTGAGTGTTAATAAAGTGGCAGGCAATGTGCACACATTCTCTCATTTGATTCACATAACAACCAAATGAGGTAGGCACTGTCATTATCCCCATTTTACAGGGAAGAAAGTGTGGTTTACAGGGGACAAACTATTTAATCTGAGGCCTCAAGCCAGCAACAGTGTTGCATGTCAGCCATTCCCGGAGTCTGTGTGCTCCCCCACATAGAATACTTGCCTGAGAAACACAGACCTTCAGTGCATTATGGAGGAAGCCATTGTGAAGTTTTTGAAGGAATGTCTAACAGTGAATAAGTCTGTAGTTATTAACAGAATCGCTCTGTTAGAATGGAGTAGATTACGCTTCTAAAGACTATCCTGATGGGGATAGAGCCTGAGGACCAAATTAAAGCAAACAGGTTAGCAACATCAAAACCAACTCATCACAATAGGGGGAGAAAAGACTGGCAGCAAAGGGATATCATCTAGTCACATTAGTGATGATGTTTAATACATAGTCCATACGAGAAGTATTATCAGGTCTTGAGAAGTAGCTTCTTAGAGAGGCTTACGATTGACAAAATGGAAGGCGACACACCTGCCAGTGTATGCCTGTGAAAAATCAGCCTTCTAGGCCCAGCTAGAATATGTATTTCCACAGGATCTCTGACTGGACACATTCAGCATGAAACCGTGGTCACAGAATTTACCCCCATTAAGGATTCTAACAGCTCAGTCTGAGGCTTCCCACAGAAATCATTGCATTTGAGTATCTTTTATGGAGGCAAATTAAAATAAGAAAAAAAATTGGTAAGTTACTTAGTGGTCTGGTTGCCTTGCCTTCTTAGGAAAGGTTTTCTTTTTTATTTTGCTTCTGCACCCCCAACCCCCACCCTCTGCCTTGTGAATACTTATCCAACCAAAAGCCTGTAGCCAAAAGGCTGAGATCCACATTTACCCAAACAGTTTTGGTTATTACATATCTGAGGAAGGGAAGAAATTCTCCCCTTAACTTTTTGAGGCAATTAAAATGTAGCTTCAGAAAATTATTATGAGATTGAAGAGTCCCTTCACTCCACCTTAGCCATTTTTTTTTAAGAGATTGGGCCTAGCTCCATCACCCAGGCTGGAGTGCAGTGATGTGATCATAGCTCACTGTAGCCTTGAACTCTTGGGCTCAAGCGATCCTCCATGCCTCCATGCCACCATAACTGGCTAATATTTCCTTTAAATTTTGTTAGAGATGGGAGTCTCCCTATGTTGCTCAGGCTGGTCTCAAACTTCTGGCCTCAAGCGATCCTCCTGCCTCAGTCTCCATGAGTAGCTGGGATTATAGGCATGAGTCACCATGCCTGGCCACCTTTGCCTTTTATCCTAGTCTCACCAAAGTCTAAGTAAGGATAGAAATAGATTCAGGGACTGTGAATGTCAAGGTTTAGGTGTGAAGGTGAAAAGGTCCGAAATATTTATTACAAATGATAGGGACAGGAGGCAGAGAAATTCTGGGAGGGCAGGTCCCTGGTGAGGGCCCCACTCTCAAGCTGAAAAGCCTGATACCACAGCCCAAAGTGAGAACTGACAGCCCTGTTTTCCTGCTTGAATGTTGCCTTTTCCAAAACCACCCATGGTCCACCCTGCCCACCATCCAGTGCCCATAGAAACCTCAGGCTCAACCAGCAGAGAGAGGAGAAGCAGCTGGGCTTCGGAGAATATAGTTGAACATCGGAGAGAAGTGGTTTGACTTCAGAGGGACAGCTTGATAGTGTAGCTTTGGAGAGGAGTCCGGCCAGGGATGGGAATATCCTGCTTCACAAAGATGGTGGCAATGAAGGAGCAGTGGTTATATAGGCTAAAGCAGTGGCTTCTCACAGTGAAGATATGGAAGTGAAATTCTCAATAAACTAGCTCTGTACACTGCCAGGCAGTAATACCTGGCACACGAAGTGCTCAATGAATGCTTGCTAGGTAAATAAATTGATTTTGACAGTGTCTGAGCTGGCCAAGCTTTTCAGCTGAATCTTAAAGGATGAGCTTGGCAAGTGGAGAGGGGATGGGTTCAAATCAAAGCATATGCAAAGGCACCTGGGGTGAGGAAGACCTTCAAGTTCTTGTCCAGGCAGTTAGGTGGGCAGTGGTACCATTGATAAAAAAAGATGGCAGATGGAGGAGGAGGTGTCAGTCAAATTAATAACAAGCATATGGCCGGGCGCGGTGGCTCACGCCTGTAATCCCAGCACTTTGGGAGGCCGAGGCGGGTGGATCATGAGGTCAGGAGATCGAGACCATCCTGGCTAACAAGGTGAAACCCCGTCTCTACTAAAAATACAAAAAATTAGCCGGGCGCGGTGGCGGGCGCCTGTAGTCCCAGCTACTCGGGAGGCTGAGGCAGGAGAATGGCGTGAACCCGGGAAGCGGAGCTTGCAGTGAGCCGAGATTGCGCCACTGCAGTCCGCAGTCCGGCCTGGGTGACAGAGCGAGACTCCGTCTCAAAAAAATAAATAAATAAATAAAAAATAACAAGCATATGCTATTTTGCCACAAGTTGGGGAAATTAATGTTTAAGAGACTGGTACATCATGACAAGTGTTACTGTCTAAAGTTGCCCTTCTCCATATTGACACAACTTACATCATTCTACAGTCTTTTTTATTGGTGCATTCTTTGACTTTCCTAGAGCCCATCTTTTAATTTTGTCATTTAGCACAATGGGATATTATTTACTAAAGATTGAGATGATCATGAGAGAACCATCCAAAATCAGAAACTTTATTTCAAATTTATTTATTATCACCTTCCTGTAATAGCTAGGCTGTCACTTTATTTAATTTCTTGCTAAAACCTATGTGTTATTGTGTCAACATTTTGTAGATGCAGAAACAAAAGCATTAAAATAAAGCATCACTCAAGGATGTGCAGGGCAAATTAAGAGATGGTCGCAGCAGAGAGGCAGAGAGTGAAGACTATAATAATAAGGTTGCCCAACCCAAAGTTGTAAAAACTGAACATATGAGACCCTGAATTGGAAAATGACATGCCTGAGAGTCATGGCCCAGGTGCGTGCAATTGAGAACAAGTATGTCTCTAGAGAAGAGAGGAAAGCAAAATGGCTGTTTGATAAATGAAGTCAATGTTTCTCAAAATGTGAGTTTTCTAAAATGAGCATTTCCCAAAATGTACATTTTTCAAATTTTAAATCTTTAGAGATTCACAATGCATACTGGCAATGAGAGACTCTGAGAATACCGGCAACAAAGAAAACTATTTAACTTCATTTAACCCAATGTGGATCAAACTAATTTGACCTTGGAATGCATTTTTCATGGAACATCTATTACCACCTCCCAGGAAAGTGTGGGAAACACTGAGTTAAAAAACGAATGTTTAATTTGGTAGATGATCAATAAATGCTTATTTTTGAATTTTTATGAGTAATTTTCTAATGAAATCTGTATCTGTTGTCAACAGTTGTTCAAAAATGGATGTAAAAAAGTGAAGTAGCCATGACCTTCAGAATGAGAAGAAAACCTTAGAAGTAGGAGGAATATGGCTTTACTAACATCCACTAAAATAATGCAAAAATGTCTACCATTTGGCTTGGCCAACCCAGGGATAAATTATTCCCTCAATTTTTGTAGCATGTAGTTCCTCTGAAACTGCTAATTCTGCTTAGATGCCTTCTGACTGTAAGCGAAGTTTAATTATTTCATTTTCTTTAATAGCAGAGGGTTGGTAAATTGTTTAAGAGGAACAAACAATGTCTTGTTACATAGGTGGAAGGATGCAGAGTCCTGGTGTGCTCCTGGTGACATGACTGTCAAGGCATATGAAAGTCGATATTAACAAAAAATAGAGCTAATGATTCATATAACACCATTTTTCACTTTACATTGAAATGTGTTGGGTTTGTAGAATGAGAATATATGTGATTATTGGGCATACTCCAGTTCAAATTTTGGCTTCATTACTTGTAGCTCTGTAATCATAAGTCTCTGTGCTTCCGTTTTGTATTTGTAAAACGGCATCGATAGTGTTGAATAGTGTAGAATAAAGGCCTCCTCATTTTGACTCTTAGAAATCTCCAGGAGAGCATAGCTCATCATCATCCTACCCTGAAGCAAAATATCCTAGCAGACATGCCCCACCCCATCCCACTCACAGTTCTAAAGGAGAGAGGTCAGAGCCAAAACATAGACCTGCTAACAGTAAGCACGTGAAACACAGTCACTTAATCCCACTCCCTTAGATAGAAATGCAAAGCCAAGGAACCACCAGGCACATAAAGAGAATGGCAGCATGAAAGAAGAAGAAACAAGAATGCCTTCCCCCCTGAAAAAAATGACAACCGAGGAACAGAAGACAACATTAAAAGTGCTCTAATTAATATGCCAGGGGGATTTGGGAGAAAATATTACACTCTTAAAAGCAGAACACAATGCTAAGAAAAAGAAACAAAGAATAAAAGAGAGTGTTCACAGGTTTAAAACAGGGACTAATTACATTTTAAAAATTTAAAATATTTGGAAAATAAGCCCAAGAACTCTCTTTCCTCTCTCAGAATGTAGGGAGAGAAAGACAAAGGAATCGAAAACTATGAGAGAGATCCTTGAAGATGCGTCTAGGAGATTTAACATACAAGGCTGGAGTTGAAAAAAATTATCAAAGAAATACTTGAAGAAAAAATTTCCAAAGCTGAAGGACAAAATTCTTCAGACTTAAAAGGGTTTCCTGAGTGCACAGAACAATTAGTGAAAAGAAAGCTTGCCTAGGCACAGCTTTGATGTGTCAGAGTACCAAGGATAAAAACAAACATCTAAAGGCTTTTATACCCAGCCAGATATCAATCAAGTGTGAAGGCAGAATAATGGTATTTTCAGAAAGAAAGATCTCAGAAAGTTTATTTTTTATACATCCTTTTTTAAAGGGTATTATAGACATATTCCAGAAAAACAAGACTGAGATAGGAAGTTGTGGGCTCCAGCAAATTGTGGTTCCAATCCAGACCCCTGATAGCAGTTAGAAGAAATTTACAACATGGCAATTGCATTGCTGACATAGAGGGCAGCCAGTACAGGTGGAGCAGAAGGGGGGAGATGGGGGGGTGTATCAGGTCTTCAGGAAAAGGGACTTAAAAAAATGACTTGGGGAAAATTAATCAAGGGCAACTAATGCAAGAAAACAACATCAGCTGGAAACTCTGAAAATCAGGTGGATGAATGTATAATAAACCTGAATGTATAATAAGGTCATAATTCATATATGAAGCAAACTAAAATGTGGCAAAATTAGAGCATAAAGACAGAGAGAAATTCCACTGAATCATGATTCTGGGAACCTTGATCAGCCCAGGGGTCATGACCTTAAGACATATTAAAAAGAACACATTCCTAATACATGACTTCATCAGTCAATGACAGAATCATAGCAACTTGGTTGCAATTTCAACACAAAAACAAAAGGTAAACATGTATCTGGAAATGGGACATGAATGGTGGGGATAGAACGTGGAGAAGAGGAGAGGGCCATCAATAACTTTATCTTTTAAAGTGGGAAATAAAGAGACATATTGTTGAAAGTTGATAAAATGAGAAATGGAGATTTAGCATAACACCTTACATTACAACAATAAACACAAGAAGAACAGAGATAAAAATGCAAATGTCAGACCCTGGCAATGTCCAAGATTCTGGGAGGAGAGGGGTGGTATTATGGAGCTATATCCTCAATTTTCATATTATGGAGTCTGTAAATATCATCTATTATTGACAGATTAAAAAAAAATAGAGGTATAAGCATGTTGTCTATGTGAAGGCAAGACCAGAAGAATAGAGAATGGAAAAATGGAAACAAGCTCGCAGAGTGGGGCCCATGCCTGTCTCATTTGTTCAACGTTGTATCCCTAGAGCCTAGAATGGTTGGGTGCCGGGAATACCTGCTTAATGAATGCATGAAAAGAAGTTCACCCTGGGCAATGGTACTGGAGGTGAAGAGAAGGGCCAGGGGCTGTTGCTTTCCAACACTGAGTAGTTGCAGATGGAGGTATTATTTTGGTTAAAAAAAAAATCTGTAATTGTGAAAACTATGGAAGAATGAGGCATGCTGTAAAGGGGGTGGTCACCTTGGGGAGGGGAATGTAGGAAGAACTCTGGAGGAGGAGCCAGCCAAGGAAGGAGAGGAGGTGTTCCCAGCTGAGGAAATAGTGTGGAGACTCCAAGTGGAAGGAAGACAGATCCAGCTGGCTGGAGCACAGCAGGGGGTGGGTGACAGGCTCCGCGTGAGCCTGGGGAGGTAGGCAGGGGCCAGGTTTACACAGGCATGGTAGGCCACATTCAGGATGCTGATGAACTGCTCAAGAAATGCTCTGTGCACACACTTGGGACCAGGGTGCCATGGCATTCTGTTCTTAACTGATCAGGAATGGCCTGGACCTTTGGATTTGATGTATGGGATCTAATTACTTTGAGCAACCAAAAAAAGAGAAGAAAATGCTACCTATTAGATAACTGAATAAATAGAGCGTGGCCAACTTCTCACACCCATCCTGTGCTTATTGCATGAGGCGAATGAGATGTGCTGGGAATGCCGGGGAAATGGCTGGATTTTCTCCTCACCAAGGTGTTGCTACTTGTCAGGAAGTTGTGACACTGGTTTAGCACGGAGGCAGAGAAACACGATCAGGACAATTTAGGCATTGATCAGTGGCAAAGCATGTTCTGTTCGAGAAGCCAGAGGAGTGTTTACTGGGCTCTCAGGAGCATGAGGCCGGGCCAGCTGCCAAGGATAATTGTAAAGATATGGGCTCTATTCTGAAGAAGTGCCCATTCTTAGAAGACAGAAATAGATGTGGATGCACACAGATCCAGATTCTCACAGAGCACAAATGCTGCACGGGGATTAGGCTTGGTGCTCTGGGAAGCTGAATTAACTCTTCCAACCCACTAGGGTCCTTGTTAGTGCATCGAAGCAGTAATTTACTCAATGACAAGAGTTCACGTCGCTTTCTAAGGCACTTAACTTACTCCCAGGATGTTGGTTGCACACCAGGGGAATCTGGCTCACTAATCTTTAATACTTGTCATAATTATTTTTCTTTCAATAATACTATTTCCCCCTTGAGAAACTCAAAATTATTACATAAGAAATGTAGAAATATAAGTGTGTGATATTTTTTAATAAAATGTAGTCAGTGGCCCCAGGGAATTTTTGTAGCAAAAGCCTCTCAAATCAATTATGTTTTCTCATTTCTGTTTCCAATAATTGAATATTTTATTTCTATATTTATTTAAGTTCTTTCAAAATGAAAAGGTGGAGTTGTGTTGACACACTGGGAAAGGAGGGTATTATTAATTAAACTTGTTTAAAGTCTAAGATGGAAACAGTGCTGATGCATATACATTTGCTTCAATGAGCTGTTGGCTGCTCTGTGAGGTTACAGAAATATTATTGGCAGTTGCGGGTGGTGGCACCATTATATGCATCATTCCATCCTCTCTGGGAGGTCCCTGGTGGTGGCCCTCCAAGAGGCATCATTCCATCATCTCTAGGAGGTAACTCTGCAATCACAGTTCATCCAGTCAGAGAAAAAATGACCGAGGCTCCCCTAGGTGTTTAGTGTCCATGACTCAGCGGTTTAGAAAATCCAGGATTACGGACTGCATTTGTCTCATTTTAATCTGGATGTTCAGTCCTGCTCCCTCCCTCTGTCACTTCAACTGGCCCTCACTGTCATGTGCCTCCATTGTCTCATCTGATTCTAACATTCCTGCTGTGATGTGGGTGGGGGTGAAGGTCATTCCCCTTTCATAGGTAAGGAACACAAGGTTCAGAAAGGTTGAGGACATTTGCCCAGGGTCACAAGGCTGCTTGGTGTCGGAGTCAGAACTAGCCTGGGGTGGGGAAATGGGGTCTTCTGGTTCCTTGCGGTCACTTCCTGTGGAGTCCCTGACCTCCGGTCCTGTTTTGCCTGACCTCTCAGCTTCAACTGCTCTTCCATGCCACTGCTGCACAAATGCTCTGAATGTTTGAATAAACAACCCCTGAGAAGAGTAGCCCAAGGAAGTCCCTGCCCAGAGACTGATGAGTTGTTACCCAGAGGCCTGGAGAGCTCCCAGGATGGCAGACACTGCCTGCAGGAGTTGGCATTCATCAGAAAACAGTTCTTCACGGAGTAGGTAGATCTTCAACCCTGTCTGGCTAGCTCCCTTTCTAAGCTGGAGGTGTCAGAGGCGTGTGAACCAGAGCAACTCCATCTTGAATAGGAGCTGGGTAAATGAGGCTGAAATCTACTGGGCTGCATTCCCAGACATTTAAGGCATTCTAATTCACAGGATGAGATGGGAGGTCAGCACAAGATACAGGTCCTAAAGACGTTGCTGATAAAACAGATTGCAGTAAAGAAGCCGGCTAAATCCCACCAAAACCAAGATGGCCATGAGAGTGACCTCTGATCGTCCTCACTGCTACACTCCCACCAGCACCATGACAGTTTACAAATGCCATGGCAACATCAGGAAGTTACTCTATATCATCTAAAAATGGGAGGCACGAATAATCCACCCCTTGTTTAGCGTATCATCCAGAAATAGCCATAAAAATGGGCAACCAGCAGCCCTCGGGGCTGCTCTGTCTATGGAGTAGCCATTCGTTTATTCCTTCACGTTTTTAATAAACTTGTTTTCACTTGACTCTGTGAACTCGCCCTGAATTCTTTCTTGCGTGAGATCCAAGACCCCCTCTCTTGGAGTCTGGATCGGGACCACTTTCCTGTAACAGAGGCTCCTTTAAAACAGGTATGGATAATACCACCCCTAGTTCTCTCTCTTTCCTCTAGCCCAGCCTCATGGGGAAACCTCTCCAGAGGCCTCTGATTTTTTCTGTGGTTGGTTAAGGAAGACCAGAGTGACCTACTCAAGGAAGTTAATTTCAGAGGTCAAGCAATGACTTTCCCAGAGTCTGCCTCTTCAAACTCATGCCACTGGAGATTAATAAACGTTGGTTATTGTTATTTGGCCCCAAGGAGGCTTTGAATGCGGAGAATTGCGACCTGCATGCCTAGGTCAACCCCATAGCCTTAGATCGAGCCACTGTGACACCAGAAGGTGAAATGGGACACAAGGGTAGAAATTACAAAGAGGCTGCCTTCAGTTTGAAATAAAGGACTTTCAAGTAATTAGAACTCTTTCAAAAAGGAATGGCCCTGTCAAAAGGTTTCGTTGCCAGAAGTAGTTAAAGAGTTGTTGACTACATGTCTAAGTGTGCTGGGAAGGGAGAGGATGGTTAGAATAGATGACCTCTAAGGTCTCAGCACGGAGATATTTAATTTGTATATCCTTCCTGTGGACACATTTCTGTGTCCTGGAGTACACAGGGAGGGAGTGGGGTCAGAGGTCAGGGCCAATGGTCAGGGGGCTCCAGAGCATCTGCCTCTGGACACAACACAGGCCCACAGCTCATAGGCCTGGCTACCTTCTCAGTTCCCCTGGTTTCATCAACATTGTCACCATTGACTGGGTTAGCAGCAGCAACCGCTTAACGTAACTAAAATATCTATTCTGATGAGATTCTGGAACAAAAATCCCAAATGACTTTTCCCCTCGAATCATAGGAAACTGCAGCAGAGATATCACTGTATCACTTGAATGTGTACCTGCTTGCCAGTTACTCCGGATTGATGCTTCCCGATGTAAACAATGGCTGATCGTAAGGTCTAAATCATATGTGTGAAACTTTCTGCAAAACAAAAGCGATTGGGTATTTAGGCAAAAACATCAGTTTAGTAGTTTCCCTGGCAAATGTCCTATAACTCTGTGTGTGTGTGTGTGTGTGTGTGTGTGTGTGTGTATACATATTCATGTATAAAACAGTTTGCTTTACAAGCAAGTAATGGTCAGGTCATTCTGCTGGGCAATTTACTCTCTAGGAACCCAAAGGGGCCTGTGTTACATGCATGCTTTTTTACAGGTTACTCAGAGCCATTTAGAAAATTACTATTGTGCTTCACAAAATGCCCCACCAGCCTGAGGAATTAACCCTCTTCCCAATACGTCTAATTCACTTGTTCTTCAGGTAATCGGCACATTAAAGCTGATGCAGATCCAGTGTCTATATAATAAAAACAGCTAATTTTTACTGAGCGCTTAGCATGTTCCCGGAACTCTAAATGAATTGGATACAGCTTCAATAAATCCTCACAACAACCCAGATGAGAGTTCCATTATTGTCCCCATTTTAACTGAAGAGTAAATTGAGACTCAGAGAGAAAAGTAATTTGCTCATGGTCACATAGCTTCTAGTGCCTGGCATGTATGAGGCCTGCAATGAGTGATGATTAATATTATTTTATAGTGGGAGGCACAGTTGGGATTTCAGTCCAGGTCTAACACTCAATGAAGCCTTTACACGTGGCCTCTATGTAGTCCTGCCTCATAGAATTCATATTGTGCATGAAAAGGAGGCATGCCATGGCCAAGTGCTGCCAGCGGGAATCCCTGTCCTAAGGGAGGCATATTGTGTATGTCACACTTTCAGTAGCTCCCTGTCAGTTGACAGCGTGTGGCACGTAAAGCAGAATGATTGAGATAGGAGTCTCCAAACTCAGGTAGGATGCGTGAAGTTTCCAGAAGTTCATGAATACATTCAGTGTTAGTGCAAACTATGGCTAGGTTCATAGCTTGCAGATGTCATCCTTCCTAAAACTGATGTGCCCGAGAATGCTCTGCAGGCAAGGCTCCATGCCAGCTCCACGTTTCTGCACCCCAGGTTTCTGCCAGACCAGATACTCACCTCATCTGGGCCTGTCCTCTGCGCAAAAGTAAGAGACACCCGCTCTGAAGAGTGCACCCCATGGGCACAGGGCTCGATGAGATGCCAATGCATTTGTGAGAATTAGAAAACAGATTTCCCTTTCTCTGAGCAAGAGAAGTGTGGGCTGGATTTTAGTCTCCATCCACGGGCTCAGCCGTGTGCCCACAGGCACATCACTGCCTGCCCAAATCTTATAGCAGTGCGTTGCCTAAGTAATAAAAGCCCCTGGGCACCAAAGGGGCAGTTTCAAATACTGATTTCCAGGAAGCTTCGGAGTATGGAGTTTCCTGTAGTTCTTTTAGGAGGTTTGTGAGCAAAATCACTGGCTGCAGTGTGGGTTGATGAGATCACTGGGCTGCCATCGCAGGTCCCTGGGGCATGAGCTACCTCCAGGACAGCCCCACAGAGACAGCCCCACAGAGACAGAGACACTAGCAGTACCACAGGCTTCTCAGCTGAGATGACAGAGGGCACCTGCTAGGCCAGAAGGTTAACCACTCACTCTTCATTTCCAAACAAAGATAGTCAAGCATCTCTTAAAGTACAAAAATATAACTGCAGGCCAGACAACAATAAAGATTGAATAATAGACTCATAAAATTAATGGTCAGAAACTCCATAGCAATATTTTCAGCTCCACGTTTCTCTAGCCCCAGATTATAAACACCATACTTAAAACAACAAAAAAGATGCACTCAACTTTCCAGCCACTGCTTAAGAACGGGGCAGCTTACTAATCCTGGGAAACTTACACCTGGGGACAAAGTTTATTATTGGTTTAACCAAACTGAGAAAGTGCTGGTTTAGTCTCTCTATGGTACTTTCTCATCCCTTAAGCTACTTGAATGAGTATGATTTTCAGGTTAGTATTAATGATATGATGTGAGTGCAGTTTTCGTGGGAGAGGCTGCCTTTTAATATAGGTTTCTCAAGAATTAAAGAACTTCTGCAGCACCCTCTCCATTATATATATGAGTCAAATGTTGATATAAAGCAGTGTTGCCACCAAAGACTACCACACACCCCAGGGATCTAGGGATGAATGAGTGAAAGAATAAATAAACTTTTTTTAAATTTTTTTATTTTTATTTTTTTTAGAGGCAGAGTCTTGCTCTGTTGCCCAGGCTGGAGTGCAGTGGTGCAGTCTCAGCTCACTGCAACCTCTGCCTCCCGGGTTCAAGTGATTCTCCTGCCTCAGCCTCCCGAGGAGCTGGGATTATAGGCATGTACCACCACACCCGGCTAATTTTTGTATTTTTAGTAGAGACGGGGTTTCACCATGTTGGGTAGGCTGGTCTTGAACTCCTGACCTCAAGTTATCCACCTGCCTCAGCTTCCTAAAGTGCTGGGATTACAGGCGTGGATAAACATTTTTAAAGTTCCATCTGTGTGTCATACATGGCATTAGAAGATAATAGTAATGTTAAAAGCTAATGTTTGTTGAGCACCCACTATATCCTAGACCTTGTTCTAAGAAGGGTTCATATCTTTGCTCATTGAATCTGCCATCCCCTTTTACAGAACAGGTAACTGGCTCACCCTCACTCAGCCAGGACATAAAGGAGTCAGGGTGGGATGGAGTGCCTGCCTTGAGGGGTACATTGCTCCCAGCTCCGAGGGAGGACCGGCCCGCCACACACTCCACCTCCTTTGGCAGAACATTTTTAGTTCCACATCTTGGAGAATTGGTTCCCCATCTAAACCCACAGGTTGTACCTAGGATTCTGCTGTTGAAATTGAAGGATGCCTCAGTTAGACAGGAGGAATAAGTTCAGGAGATCCATCGTACAGCATGGTGACTATACTTAAGAACAATGTGTTATATGCTTGAAAATTGCTTAGAGAGTAGATTCCAAGTATCCTCACAACACACACAAAATAAGTAAATGACAAGTAATACATATGAATACATATGTTAAATGGCTTGATTTAGCCATCCCACAATGTATACCTATATCAAAGCATCATGCTATGTGCCATAAATATACACATTTTTGTCAATCAGAAAATAACTCTAGAAACAACAAAACAAAGCCAACACTACTAAAAAGACAAAGAATGTAGTTAAGTCTTTTTTCTGCTTAATCAAGAGAAAGATCAATAAGATATAATAACTTAATGAAGAGAGAAAAAAGAAAAAGACTAGAGAAATTTAGAAAAGTTTCTTGAAAAACAAAGGGTGCGGTATCTTTTTTCCTCTTCATCCTCAGCTTTAGTTGAAAATTAAGTGAAGTATAAGGCAGTATACATACACTAATGCCAAGTGAATAACCAGACTCTCGCTGTCCACTATGGTAACCACTAACCACATGTGACTGCTGAGCATTTGAATCATAGCTAATCTAATTTGAAGACTTAGTACTCAAAAAAATGTTAAATATCTCATTTCCTGTTTTTATATTGATTACACATTGAAATGATAATATTTTTTCTTGTTTTGGATTAAGTAAAATATATTATTAAAAATTTTAAAAAATTGAATGATGCTGGCCTTTTCAAATTTGAAAGAAGAAATTAGGTCAATGGGTTGGGTTTTCTCAATGTTCTGTTTTTGTTTTTTTTTTTTAGATACGGGGTTTTGCTTTGTCTTGCAGGCTGGAGTGCAGAGGTGTGATCAGCTCACGGCAGCTTCGAACTCTTGGGGCTCAAGTGATCCTTCCACCTCAGCCTCCCAACAGCTGGGATTACAGGCATGCACTACCATACCTGGCTCTCATATTTTAAAAGACTATATTGCTGTCTGGGTGCGGTGGCTCACACCTGTAATCTCAGCACTTTAGGAGGTTGAGGTGGGAGGATCACTTGAGCCCAGGAGTTGGAGGCTGCAGTGAACTGTGATCACCACTGCACTCCAGCCTGGGTGACAGAGCCAGACCCTGTCTCTAAAAAATAAAATAAAATATGAGAAGTAAAAACAATTAAAAAAAAACACCCTGCACTCATCCACAATTCCATCACTGGAAATATTCACTTTAATGTTTGAAAATGTATCTCCTAGTATGTATGTTTCGTTGTTTGTTTTTTAACCAGAGTGCAGTCATACTACACATACTACTTTTTTTTTTCTTTTAGAGGCAGGGTTTCACAGTGTAGTTCAGGCTGGAGTGCAGTGGCCACTCACAGGCATGATCATAGTGACTTACAGCCTGGAACTCCTGGACTCAAGCAATCTTCCTTTCTCAGCCTCCCAGCTGGAATTACAGGCACATGCCACTGTGCCTGGCTCTCATGTACTACTTTTTATCCAACTTTTTTTCACTTAATAAAATAGGCCGGGCACAGTGGCTCATGCCTGTAATCCCAGCACTTTGGGAGGCTGAGGTGGGCAGATCATGAGGTCAGGAGATCGAGACCATCCTGGCTAACACGGTGAAAACCTGTCTCTACTAAACATACACAAAAATTACCCAGGCATGGTGGCGGACGCCTGTAGTCCCAGCTTCTGGGGAGGCTGAGGCAGGAGAATGGCATGCACCTGGGAGGCGGAGCTTGCAGTGAGCTGAGATCGCGCCACTGCACTCCAGCCTGGGTGACAGAGCGAGACTCTGTCTCAAAAAAATAAATAAAATAAAATAACAATAATAATATAAAGGGGCCATCTTTATATTTCAAAAGAAATATATATCAGGATTTTACATGACTGCATAGTATTTCACTGGACTAATATGGTACAATTTGCTCAAGCCACTCTCTATCTTTGGAAATGTAGCTTGTTTCCTCATTTTTGCTATGATGAAACACATTATGATAAATATCTTTGCACATACACCCATCAGGAGAAATATCTAGTTTTTAAGGCTTTTGACAGCTACTACAGGGGATTACCCACAGGAAAGTTTGTACCAACATGAATTCATATAAGCCTTGTATAAAAATATGCATTTTCCAACACTAATACTAGCATTAAAATTTCATCAATATTATTGTATTTCAATGTGTAGCTTTGGTTTACTAATAAAGTAAAATTTTTCTTCCCAACTGCTTATTAGGCATCTGTATTTTTTTTCTGAATTTATTTGACAGAGCTCCTTATATATGAAGGATAGTAAGCTGTCATTATATATTGAAGTATTTTTCCAGGTTTGCCATTCATCTTTTTATGTTTTTGTGGCATTTTCGACAGAGTCAAAGCTATCTTTATTTTCATTTATACTTTATTTATTTGGTATCAGGCTTACAAAAAACTATCATCCCAAGATCATTTAATCTTTACCTGAATTTTTCCCTAGCAATTTTACAGCTTTATTATCTCACATGACGATCCTTTTAGAATTTATTTTGATTTAATACACTAGGTTTGCATCTAGCTTTTACTCTCCTCTCCACCACCCATAGCAGTTAGACAGCGTCTCAATATCATTTACTGAAAAGTTATCCAATCGTTCATTTATTCAGTAAACAGTTTATCTAAGACCCATAGGACCAGGCATTGTTCTAGGTCCTTGGGATACAAGAAGGAACTTTCATTCTAATGGAAACAGCAGATAATGGCAACTAAATATATATGGTAAATGGAGCTAAATGCAGTGAACAGGGAGAGGCTGGCTATTTTATACAAGGTGGTCAGGGAAGCTCTCTCTGAAATGGTGGCATTGGGCAGAGACCTAAAGGGAGTGAGAGGTGACCTATGCATCTGGGGAAGAGCTCCAAGGTGCTAGGCCATGACATAGGAGTGTTCAAGAAATGATGAAGAGACCACTCTACTGGAGCAGTACCACAAATAAGGGAGAGAGCACCAGAACAGTTCAGAGGGGTGACAGGAGCCAGATCATGTAGCCCCTGATAGGTCACAGTGAAGACCTTGGATTTTGCACTGGGTGAGGGTAGTGGATTGTATTTCCCAAAGATGGCCACAGCAGTGTGTGTGAGATCTTTTGCAATGTGACATTGTCACGCCTCCCTCAGGAGGTGGAACCTATTCCTCAACCTCTTTGAGTCTTAGCAGGCCTGGTGACTGCTTTTGTCAATAGAAGACGGGATAAAGGCTGCTGTGTATTTTAGGAGCAACTCTTAACTGCTGTGGCAGCTTCTGCTTCCTGCCTCTTAGAAACCAATCACAATGCAAAAAGTGCAACCACCAAAACATGGCCATTCTGTGAGAAGCCCAAGGCACAGGGAGAGCCTGGGAGAATGAGATGCCACATGAAGAGAGAGAGCGCCCAAGGAGCTCCAAGGCACCAGACGTGTGAGTGGAAGGGGATCCTCCTGCTCAGCCAGCCCAGACAACCAAATACCCAGATTCATGACCCATGACATCTTGAGCAAATGCGGAAGGTTGTTTTGAGCCACCATGGTTTAGGGTAGTTGGTTATGCGGCAAGGGACAACTGGAACTGTGAAATAGGGACCCATAGGAGAGTTCTGAGCAGTCATATATTTTGACTTAAGTGTTATAAGAATTCCTCCAGCTCTGCGCTAAGAACAGTGTGAAGGAGGGAGAGTGTGGAAAGAAGATTACTTTGGAGAGCAGGGGAGAGACCATAGGATCTAGGACCAGGGAGGCAGAGGCTAAAGTGCTAAGAAGCAATTCAATTCTGGATGATTTCAAAGAACACACAGATGGGATTTGCTGATGGATTAGCTATGGGTTGTGAAGGAAAGAAGTGAAGGATGGCTTCAAGGTCCTAGGCTGACACTGGAAGAATGAAGGGGCTTCGTGGGGATGTGAGAAAACTGTGGGAGGAACAGGGCTGGAGTTAGAGAAATTAGCAATTCTGCTTCGGACATGTTAAGACGTAAGGTTGAACACACATTCAAAAGGAGAGACTGAGTGTTGTGCGAGAGCTGGGTCTGTAGTTGGGAAAGAAGTCAGGGCTGGGAGATGTAAGTTTGGGCATCGTTGGTGTTTCAGTGGTCACAGTGGACCAGATCATCTGGGAGCGAATGCAGATAAAGCAGGGCCATCGGGGGACTGGGGCGCTTCACCACCCGGAGATGTGGGAGAGGTGGAGAAGGCACCCAAAAGGGAGGCCGAGAAGGCGCGGCCAGTGTGGTAGGAAGAGAGGAAGAGAATGATGATCTGGGAGGCAGAGGAGGAAGGTTTCCAGAAGGAAGAAGTGAATGTGTCAAATCAGCTGAAGAATCAAGTCAAATGAAGACTGACAATTCTCACTATGACTGTCCTCATTCTTGAAATTACTGATTTGAAAAGGGGCTTTTCCCATATTCTAAATGGACACATGTGGGAGTGTGTGTGCACTTTCACACTTTCCCTTCTCCCCCATTGATCTGTTTATCCATTTGGAGCTATGTGACCGCTGAAGCTTTTGTATCTGACAAAACAAGTAGCACACTTCCTCTTTTTCTCATCTTTTTTTCAAAAGTATCCTGGTTATTCTTATCTAAAATTAATTTGAAATTTGACATTTGAATTTTATCAAGTCCTCTCCCTCCCCAAATGCATTGGAATTTTAATTTAATCTTTTAAAATAAAAATTGGTTTCCTGAGAGTTGATATTGAGTTTTCTATGTGGTATATGTTTCCATTTATGTATGTTTTACATCGCTAAGTAGATTTTATAGATTCTTTTTATATAGGTCTTGTGGTGTTTCCTCTTAAATTCTTTTCTAGGTATTTAACTTTTGATGCCTTTTATGAATTGCATCCCATTTCCCCATTGCATTTTCTTACTGACCTTTTTCTTTTTGCCATAAGGAATCTATTTATATATAAAGAATTCTATTATTTTGAATTATTTTACTGCTGATACAAACAGATTGCAACACCTTTATTATTTTCACCGCGTGGGATCCCACATGTATGAAGTTATATAACCGATGTATAAGGCTGTCCTAATCTCTGCTAGTAAAATCGTTCCTAGTTTGGAGGATGGGATTTAATATGACAGGATTTCATGGTGTTTCCCAAAGAACTTCATGATTTCCAGGTGCTCTGGGAATGACTGTAGCCACACATCTCAGAATGTCCCAGATATTCCCAATTTCAAAGATTTTTCCCTTTGTTAACCCATGAGTCAGACCATATGTCCTTTGATCTTTGCTTCAAAAAATATTGCCATGGTATTTAGAAACAGGGACAGCCCAGGCAAAGTTGTAACACATGGGATGTTTTTCCTCTGAGCCCCTAACTTACCCCTCAGTACTCTTCCTGGTTATGTGTGCCTGGTGCGTGCATGTGTGCACGTGCACACGTGCATACACACACACACACACACACACAGACACACAGAGGCATCCTGGAGGAAAGGGATTTTATTCAAATACAACCACATGAACTGCCTGTACAGCCTAGACTCAGGATCGCCCTAAGGGAGTTGGCATGGAAGATTTCAGAGCTGGGCAGACTGGGCGGGGACCTCTCATCTGTGTTTCCTGAGGGTCACCTAGCCTCTTTGAGCCTCCGTTCTCCATAGGTGAAAGGAGTGTATCATATCTGCCTTGCAGGGGTGTTGTGGGACTCAGAAGATGTCCATAACATCTATGCCCAGTGTAGAGTAGGAACTGGGAAATAATATCCATTACTGTGATTTTGTGAGGAGTTCCAGATAACTGCTCAGGTCTTTAAGAGAATTCCTTGGTCTTCATACTCCACTCCCAGCTGTGGAAGCAAAGCAATCAGAATGAGGATGCAGGAAGCATGGGGTGGCCATCTGCCAGTTCTCCCTTTTGTATGCCTATTTCTGCAAACAAACCCACCAACGATTAGATTGCCCATGATAACAAGCCAGCCTCCACTCAGAGCTCACCGTGCAATGACTGTGTGGAAGACATTTGTGATTTTTTTGCTGTCACCACCAACTATCTTCCCTTCCTGTTACCACCGCAGTCTTCCTTCTGGGGATGCCTCACCATGCATAGATGTGGGAGATAGGCCGGAAGTCTAATGGAGGGTCTACCTTTCCTCAAGGGGCAAGCATGTGATCTAAACAGGGGTCATCACTCTCTCCCCTCTTTCTGGGATTTTAAATAAGTGACATCCCAATATGGGGACAATTGAGGTCATATCTGTCACTGTGGCAGCCACATCATGTGGCCCAGACTGTTGCCACATTTCCATTCCTGTGGTTCTTAACGGTGTTCTTACCTTTGCTTGCTGCTCTATTTTAAGTCAATCAGCCCCCAATATTGTTCTGCTAGATTGACATTTTGTTCAGCATAGCCTGATTCAGTTTCTGTCTTTTGCAACAGGAGCACTATCTGATACAACCAGACTCCAAGAGGAAAATAGAAAAAGGGAGCTCATACCACTTAAAAAGATTTCTCTTTACTGTGGTCATCATCCAGGGCTTGGGAGAAAGGTGAAATCTTAAAAGATACCAGTAGGCCGGGTGCAGTGGCTCATGCCTGTAATCCCAGCAGTTTGGGAGGCCAACGGGGGGCGCATCACCTGAGGTCAGGAGTTCGAGACAAGCCTGGCCAATATGGTGAAACCCCATCTCTACTAAAAATACAAAAATTAGCCAGGCGTGACGGTGGGCGCCTGTAATCCCAGCTCCTCAGGAGACTGAGGCAGGAAAATCACTTGAACCCAGGAGGCGGAGGCTGCAGTGAGCCGAAATCATGGCACTGCTCTCCAGCCTGGGTAACAGAGCAAGACTCTGTCTCAAAAAAAAAAAAAAAAAGACACCACTAAATGGGACACAACAACTGAGTTGAAGTTATGCATCATTACATTAGAGAGGATTTGGGGGTAGAATGCCTTTCTGTTTGCCAATTTATCATCAAAGGGGCAAGAGGATGAAGGGCGGAAGGGAAGTGGTGAATATCAACTTATACAACCACCACTCAAACACAAACTCTTTGCATGCTTTTAGGAGAACTTGAAACAATTTCAATTTTCAGGATGGGGAAAAGTAAAAGCCCTATTTGCCCTTTCTCTCTTCATTATCCATGGTCTCCACATTGCTCCTTGGTCCTGAGAAAGCTGCCACAAAGCATTTTACTAGTTATCTGATTGTCATTCCATTTAACATGTCCCCTGGTCTGCTGGCTGATGGTAGTTTAAGCAGGATCTAATTGGTAACATATTGCCGATTGAATTAAGTGCCATATGATAGAGATTTAAACCATGGTAATTTTTCCATAAAGAAAAATCTGTCAACAGGCTATAGGGGAGGAACAGCAATAAATCAAATTGTCGTGTTTATTAGTTATTGCAGGAGTCTAGTTGTCTTGTATTCATTATAACCCCCCATTTTTAGTGCAGATAAAAACTACAAAGAGGAATATCTGTGCAAGATGCTTTTTAATAGGTTTGTATTTGTACACAAACACCTGCTTGTATTTTAATGATGAGAACAATGGTGCCATTTCACTTTGAAAGGAGCATGTATTTTTGGCTGTTTTCTGGATGAAGAATAATGTTTTTAGTTTTTGTCAAAGCTATGTTTTAAAACATTGAGAATCAACTCACTAATAACCAAAAAAAAGGCAAATGAAAGCAGAAATGAGATATGACTTGTTTGTCAGACTTGGAAATACTAAAAGAACAGATAGGATGATTGCACTAAAGGATTTCTAGAACAGTCATTGCAATTTAACTTGTGATATTCAAAAACCGGAAATCAACTAAATTTTCATATATGGGAATGGTTGCACAAATTATGGAACATCAGCTCCAGAGGGTGCAAATGGGTCATTTGAAAGAACAAGTTAAATCATACCTAATGACATGTCATTAAGAACCAACATTATTTATACTTTTCATTTCCATTTAACTTGCCTTTACCGAAGGTGGATTTCAACACGTTTTCCTTACATGACTCGGAAATAATATAACAGCATTTTACGTATGTAGACTCATTGAGCCCTCATAAAATCCTGTGAACTCTGTAGGACAGGACATTACACCCACTTCACAGAAAAAGATGTGGAAGTGCAGAAGATAAAAGTTATTTATGGAAGGGTCCATAGCTGTCAACCTTGATAGGCAAGACATCAGGTCCTTCCTCTGAGTAGTGGTGTAGAAAAAATGGTTGGAATTTAGAAACCAGCATCCAGCTCCTCACCATGCCTTCAGCTTTCTCTGTGACTTTGAACTTGTTTCTTAAACTCTCTGAAACTGGACGTCCTCACTGGTCACGTTTTGTTACTACTTGCTTTGTATTCTGGGTGTGATGGGTGGGGGATTGGGACACAGAATCTGGAGATGGTCAGATCCCAACGCTGCTATTTCCCTGCTCTGCACTCTTAGGCTACCTACCAATCTCTCCTCTAAAATAAGCATAATTGCAATGGCTCAGATACAATAACAAAATGTGTGTAAAATGCCGAGCACCACGTCTCACACCTGAGAGGCACTGAATGCATGTTATATACTATCATTTGGATGTCACCGTTCCATGTGCCTATTTCCTGGTTTGCTGTACAAGATGTGTATGAGTACATGTCATCAAGCCCACAGAGCTCCAGAACATGTTCCTCTCACAAGCAGGCCTCATAGGGAGGGGTGTTCTGTGCTGTTCCTCTTTCCTGCTCACTACTTGTCTGTAGCTACAGTGTAAGGACTGTAATGTCACTGCTCTGGCCTTAAGTGTCACCCCCCAAACCCATTTTACACACACCACCTCCCACCTTTCACCTTTCCCAAACTCTTACCATGTCCCTTCAAGTTTGATGGCTTAATTGTACAAAAGGTAGTGATGATGATGATGATGATGATGACAATGATAACAGCTGCTAATACTTACTGAGCCCTTTCAATGTTCCAGGCACTTGTCTAAGCACTTTACATGTATTAGCTTATTTAATTCTTAAGAGGAAGGGATTACTATCTACTATTGTACTTGTGTTACAGATGTGGGAACTCCGATGCAGAGATGTATAGTGACTTGCCTAAAACCATCATGTTAGAGTGGGAATTTAAACCTTGAAATCTGGAAAATAAGCAATGTATATATTTTTCTATTTTCTAAATGCAAATCAAATATACATATGCATAACACCACTAAACACTAAGTGCAGTTACGCCTAGAACAAGGGAATAGCAGTTGACAGAAACACAACCAAAACTAAGAATATTAAATGTCTGTATTACTTTCACTGTAATCACTTCACTTCAACAGTGAGATGGGATAGCCCTAGGTAAAGGAAGGTGCTCTTGTAGTTAGAACATTCTTAAATTTTGCACCAAGGAACACATGCTTTTAATAATGGCAGAGACAACATTTTTTGATGGATTATTTAGTTTGTACGATCAACATTCAAAGAATGAGTTTACCACCACTTTGTTATTGTAAACACTTGACCTTTAGCTACCTGAATGATCCCCTCTTTGAATAAAAGGAATTATGAAACACATGTGTAGACATATTTCATTTTTATATATGTGAGACTCGAATAGCAAGGAAATCACATATTAGGAAAAAAACCCCTTTGTCTTGCTATTAGTTCTCTTTGGTTTCAAAAATCTGGTCACTGTGTATATTGCATTATATCATATGTGTGTGTACATATATATACACACATAAACACACATACACACAATGTCATGTGTATAAATACATGATGTGTTTATGCACATACACAGACACACACACACAAATACACACATATACAATGTTCCATCCAAGAAATACAAATATAGTGCTGTTAGCCCCTAACAGTGAGGAGGTCATTATTCCAAGTCATTTCTGCAGAAGTGACGGTGGCCTTAGGTGGAACTGCCCATGATCTCTCCTTGCAAGCTCACTCACTGGGGCCATTGACTGGGATCCAGTCTGTGGCCATGTCATGGTTTCTATTTTTGAGGTTATAGCTAATGAGCAACATGAGGTTAAGACACACTTTTCATAAGGCCCCAGCCAGCATCATAAATATGTGTGTGAGCATGTTCACACTCAGGTTATGTCTTCTTTATGTGCACCCTCTACCACACACACACACACACATGCACACGCACACACACTGACGGCTTCAGTGACCAACTTTGGTCACATCCCATCTCTTCCTTCTCAATCCCTCTGGCTGTTCACCAGGGCCTGGACCATCTCGGTGAGGCTGACCAAGAATGCTCCCCCTGCCCTGACCAGCGGAGCATGGGCACAGCTACTTAGAGCGCCACCCTTCAGGACACAAAGTCGGGGCTACCTCTCTTCCAGGCAAGGCATCCTAGAGGGCCCGCACACCCTCCAGTTTGATCTTACCTCTCAGCTCCCGTTCCTTTTCTTTCTCTCCCCAGTAAGTCGTTGAACGTCTTTCTTCTGAGGCTGAGCGTGGAGCTCTCTTCTCGCTGGCGAGCTTTCTGAATGGCACTTTCTGTACAAACAGGAAGAGCATGTGTGGTCACAACCCAAGTGTGCAGGTGTTGATAGAGGATGTGAAAGTGTGGAGGCGAGTGACTAAACCAGATACCCAACCGGCCAACTCTCACTTGTGGCAGGGCCTGGTCTACCAGAAGGCTGGAAGCAGGAACCTGGACTCTACTCTGGGGAGACCAACTGACAAAAGCAGAGGATGGTGGCCCTGGAGGCCAAGGGAGAAGGTCTCTTTGACTCCTGTGCTTTCTAACCCTATGCAGACCCATAAAAGAATCCCAGGAACATTTTGGAATCTCTTAGATATATGATTATCAAGAATGTTGATTTCAATGGGCTGCTTAACTTGTCCAAAGCTCTGCTGGTTTCCCAGGCTGTCTGGGCCTCCAAGAGATCAGGACCAAAGGCTCATCCTGCATTGGAACTGTGACAAGTCTTCCAGACCTTTCTAGAACAAAGCTACACCAGGAAAGAAGAGTCTTAGGCAAGGAATCAGATGTCCTAAGGCTGCTCTACATGACCTACATGATGGGTGTTACCTCCTCATCTCCCATTCAGTCAACCCACGGGCACTGGACTTCCTGCCCGACACCCTTCCCTCTCCCCATTCATGCCTGGAATTATTTTCACTAATGACACCAGGGATTCACTAATGGATGCTTTTTCAGTTCCTGTCCTATTTGTCTCCACTGGCAGTGTTTGACTTCCCTGTAGTGTTGACCATTTCTTTCCTCCCAGAACTTCTGCCTGGGCCGCCATGACTCCATACTCTCCTGGTTTTTGTCAGGCGGTCTCTCACACTGGCAGGCTTCCATTCTTTGGTCTTAATTTTCGCCCTCCTGCAAGCTCCACTCTCCGCCTCATGGTTCCTGTTCTCCATGGGTGGCCTCTTCCCAGCTCCAGATGGAACTTGCCAAGCCCACATCCATAGCATCACACATTTCTGCTGTTCTCCTGGAACATCCCCCAGCACCTCCCGTCAGACTCGCCACAATGAAACCCTGCTCTGTCCTCTACCCCACTCATTACTTACCATGTGGCCTGTGAATTCCCTCCTGCCTTGTCCCAGCTTGCTCCTCAGGTCTCTACCCCCTTCTGAGTTTACCACCTTCTGATCTCTCACTTTGCCTCTGCTAATCTGGCTTCTTCAGGTTTGACCCTCCATTATCCTCATCCAAACAGGCCCGTCCTTATCCTGAGAATGGATACCTAGAAACTTCCCCACCCAGTCCTATCCCAAGCCCTGGGAAATTATCCCAGTATTGTCTGCCTCATGTCCCTGGCAAGGAGAAAACGTTTCTTTATCTTATACCCAAACCAGAAATGGGGAGGCTTCCCACGTTCTTCTCTTTGCTGAATACTCTTCAACCTTCCATCACCAAGCCCTGCCCATTCTACCTCTTCAGTCACTCCTCAGATCCTTCTTCCCGTCCGCATCTCCACAGCCACACCCTCCCTCCATTGCCTCTCATCACTGCCCTAATCCCCAAGGGGTACGTGCACCCAGGGCACACCAGACCGTTCACTGAAGGATGAGAAGAAAGGAATTGAATGTCTATCTACCCACACTTGTCTGGTTTTTGTATTTAATTAAGACTCACATACCATAAAATGAGCCGTTTTAAGATGGGGAATCCTGTGGCATTGAGTACACTCACAATGCTGTGCAGCCACCACCTCCATCGAGTTCCCAGACTTACATCTATTTTTACGTCATGTTTTTAGTGTTTACATTTTGTGTATGTTTCAAGGCATGCAATGTGTGAATACAGTTGTATTGTATATCATTTGTGAATAATCATACATCTGCTCAGAATAGGCGGCAAAGACTTTTTTGCTGAAGAAGATACAAAATTAGAAAAGTGGGGACACGTGACCTCCTAACTCATCTCTCACATGTCAGGCTCTAGAGTGTTTTCCAAACTGCCTCCAAATTTTCTCTGCAAAAGACTACAAAAATGATGACAGTACACTCCCCTCACCCCACGACCAGTCCTTAAACGCTTCAATGGCTCCCTGTCACCCACAGGAAAATCCCAAGGCTCCATCGCTGGGCAGGCGAGATGTTGGATTCAGTGGCCTCTGCCCACTCCCCAATACCATCTCTTGCCATCCTTGATACCACTTCCTTCCTCACCACCCAACAATCCCACCACCACTCATGGTTTCTTGAACTTTCAGGCTGCTTTATGTCACAGCTTTGCACATGCTATTTCCTCTTTCAGGGTGCCTTCACTTCCATTGGCTATCTGGCAGATCCCCATGGATATTAAAAACCCTTCCATCCTGCTCATCTCAAAGCAGAATTCCTCACCTGTGCGGGCTGAAGCCATTGCCTTCATGTTAGATGATACTATGGGCAATTTGATGGTCAGGAGGGTGGGCTCTGCCTCCAGAAAGACCTGGGTTTGGGTTCAGCCTCTATCATTTACTAGCAAGGGTAACTTGGGGATGTTACGTTCAGCTTCCTCGTCTATACGGTACCCACTCATAGAGTGACTGTAGAAATTAAACAACATAGTGTGTGTGCAGGATGTCATAAGTATTCAGTAAGTGGTGGAGATTATCATGATGGTTATTCTGTTTGTTTACCTCACTATTCTGTAAACTGCTTGTAAAATTTATAAATTTCATACCAAGGAGAGCTACTACTTCTAAGGCAGAATGTCTTCATTTTAATTAAAAAGTTGGCCAGGATTGGTGGCTCATGCCTGTAAGCCCAGTGCTTTGGGAGGCTGAGGCAGGAGGATTGCTCGAGGCCAGGAGTTCGAGACCAGTCTAGGCAACGTAGTGAGACCTTGTCTGCACAAAAAAATTAAAAATTTTTAAAAAATAGCTAGGTGGTTAGACGTGGTGGCTCATGCCTGTAATCTCAGCACTTTGGGAGGCTGATGTGGGCGGATTGCTTGAGGTCAGGAGTTCGAGATCAGCCTGGCCAACATGGTGAACCTGACCAACATGGTGAAACCCTGACTCTCCTAAAAATATAAAAATTAACCGGGCATGGTGGCGCACACCTGTAATCCCAGCTACTCGGGAAGCTGAGGCAGGAGAACCGCTGGAGCCTGGGAGGCGGAGGTTGCACCGAGCCAAGATCGCGCGGCTGCACTCCTGCCAGGGTGACAGAGTGAGACTCTGTCTCAAAAAAAAAAAAAAAAAGAAAAGCCAGGCGTGGTGGCATGCACCTGTAGACCCAGCTACTCTGGAGGCTGAGGTGGAAGGATGGCTGGAGCCCAGAAGTTTGAGACCAACCTAGGCAACATAGTGAGACCCTGTTGCTACAAAAAATAAAAAATCAGCTGGGTATGGTTGCACACACCCATAGTACCCGCTACTCAGGAGGCTGAGGTGGGAGGATCATCACTTGAGCTGGGGAGGTTGATGCTGCAGAGAGCTATGATGATACCACCGCACTCCAGCCTGGGTGACAGAGCAAGACTCTGTCTCTAAAAAAAAAGTTAATTTTTTAGTGTACAATTGAAACAGAAGTGCTGAGAATGCACTTTCTGCGAGCTGTTTAGGTGTGGACATCTCTAGCCACACCACATCCACGTTGTCCTCCACTTATCCCCTGCTGCCCCCCAAACTCCAACCAACCTCTCTGGGCTGTGTCTGGCCACTGTGCATTTGTATGAGGTCCTCGCTGCCCCTGAGCTGCCTGGGAAGACTCAGAGGAGCCTGCCTGCCACCATCTGCCCCATGCAGACATCCCTGCCATGGCCAGCGGCTTGACACGCTGAAGGCAGACATCCAGTGAGAGCAGCAACAGGTCCCTGGAGGCTGGACTGGTCACAATATTCATTCATTTAAAATTATTTCCAGCCTCTGGCAGAACATCTAGCACGATGGTTAATAAATGTACTTCTCCTGCTGCAACACCCGCCACACTTAATTATAATCAATTAGTCACTTGTGTGTCTTCCGCCTGGTACTGGAGGCTTTGTGAAGTTGAGATGGTGCTGGCCCTGCCCACGCCTGTCTCTGCAGGACCTGTTGCACATAGTAGAATCTCAATAAATATTTGTTGAGTGAATAAATGAATGAAAAGTTTACTAGACTGCAGTGAGGGAAAACAAACTTGAGTGCCAATTCGGTCAAATAGTCACTGTGTGACCTCAAGCAAGTTGTGACATCCTGGAGCTTCAGTTTCCTCAGCTGTAACATGGAAAGCCCAGTCAATACCCATCCTCCCACAGGGGCACGGTTGCTGCCAAAGCAGGTCATAAACTGCAAAGCTTTTTACAGAAGTGATGTGTCTGGGTGTATCTGGACTCTTCTCCTTTCCTGGTGTAGCTTTCTTCTAGAAAGGTCTGGAAGACTTGTCACAGTCCTGACACAGGATGAGCCTTTGGTCCTGGTCTCTTGGATGCCCAGACAGCCTGGGGAGCCAGCAGAGCGAGGCGTGATGTTAGAAGATAGTGGGAGGGTTCTGGGCCATGCTGTGTCCACACAGGTTGGCGGCAGGAACGCTGTGCACCAAGCAGGCCCCACTTCTCCAGCAGGAGAAAGCCGGGGCTTCACCACCACCCCCAGGAAGGGCTGTGTCTCTGCCTGTAGCTCCCCTGGGCCATTTCCCTGTTTACCATGCAAAGTTCCTTTGGCTTTCCTGGAGGGAAGAAGTGCATCTTGCAGCCGAAGCATGCCCTGTGATTGGGAATGAGACCCTAGGAAACACACCTTGTCCTGTCCTCCAGGACCCCGGAAACAGGCCCACACAGCCTGCATTCTCTGGGCATGAGGATGGCAAGGACACAGAGGGCCTGCGTGAGTCTCTTCGTGAGGCTGGGAGGGGACAGAGACATGCGTATGGGAATCCCCATTGAGCAAAGGGACAGCTAAGGTGGTAGTGGGTGAGGGAGTACTGGTTAGAACTGACTGGGGCCATTTATCATAATTCCCAACCAGGCTGGGTGTTGGTGGCCCATTCTGTCCTGGTGCTAGGTTGGGTACAGAAATGGGCAAGGAGGGAGGAGGGTCGTGAATGCCCATCAGAGGCCAACTTCATCTTCACTGACCCTGTGGGCTCCCATTTCACAGCTGACAGGGTGGCTGCCCTCAGCAGGTACCATGAATTTTGGCTGAGTGAACAGGGGATTGAATCTAATCAATGCCTGTTGTGTGTATATTTATATCTCTTGTTTATCCTATGTGATAATAAAAAAGCTGTCATTTATTGAAGCTTACTATGCACCGAGAAGCACTTCTATGCATTAATGTATTTAATCTTCATGATTACATGAATGTATTTAATCTTAGCCTCATTTTACCAATGAGGAAAATGAGGCACAGATGTTTAAGAAATTGCCCAAGGTCAAACAGATCGTTAATAATAGAGTAAGGGGCCAGGCGTGGTGGCTCTCTTTTGTAATCCCAGCACTTTGGAAGTCCGAGGCAGGGGCATCACTGAGGTCAGGGGTTCGAGACCAGCCTGGCCAACATGGTTTCACCGTCTCTACTAAAATACAAAATTAGCCGGGCGTGGTGGCGTGTGCCCACAATCCCAGCTACTGGGGAGGCTAAGGCAGGAGAATTGCTTGAGTCTGGGAGGTGGAGGTTGCAGTGAGCTGAGATCGTGCCACTGCACTCCAGCCTGGGTGACAGAGCTAGTCTCTATCTCCAAAAAAGAAAAATAAATAAATAATAGATTTAGGGTTCGAATATAGGCATGACTGCTCCAGAGCATGCAGTCTCTCTCTCTCTCTCACTCTTGCTCCCTCCCTACACACACACACACACGCACACACATTTCATTCACATACACTTGTATGTATGTGTAAAGACAGGTGTACACATTGTGTTTATATTTGTATGTAAATCTATACGCATAATGTTTATTCCTGGCATGGCTGTCCCACATGAAATTTTCATTAGATTACTCAGCCTTGCTATAAACAACCCAAAACATACGCGTGTATATAAAGTGATTTTACCTCATATGTTAGAATCACATAAATCAAATGGGGGAGAAAATGAGAAGAGGCTAAGTTAGTTGAACAACGTATCTCTGTTAGAACCAAATGGCATCTAGTTTTAAAAGTAGATTAAGGCCGGGCACAGTGGCTCATGCCTGTAATCTCAGTGCTCTGGGAGGCTGAAGTGGAGGACTGCTTGAAGCCAGGAGTACAAGCCCAGCCTGGGTAACATAGTGGGACCCTATCTCTATAAAAAATTAAAAATTAGGCAAGCGTGGTGGCATAGGCTTTTTGTCCCAGCTACTCAGGAAGTTGAGGCAAGAGGATAGCTTGAGCCCAGAAGTTAGAGACTGCAACCCCTACTCTTAAAGAAATTTTTAAAAAAGTAGATTAAAAAAGAAACAAAAGGAAAGGAGGCACAAGTCCCACACATGCATTTTAGAAAGACATCATGCAAGTGGGGAATGCATTCAGGGGAGAGATGTGGAGCAGCCCATCACCAATAAGAAAAATTGCTGCCTGGGCCACTCCGTATGTAATTCATGATTGGAACATGAAGCAGGGACTGCAGCAGTGATATAAGAAGACACAAATAGGGCCGACAGGGATGGAACATAATTACAGAGACACTCAATCTGCTGGTAGCATTTACCAAAGAATAAGTTGCATACACGAGAATTTGCATACAAATGAGATACAGAAAGCACAGGAACAGGATAGCGACAAGGCCTCATACATGGTATTAAAGCATGTCAGAGGCAAAAAAAAAAAATCATTAAGTTGATACCATGTAGGGTTAGCTATATTACATCACCAAAATAAATTTTAAATGGCTGACTGAGCTTTAAACAGGTACATGGCTTTCAAATCACAATATTAGCCAGTATTTGGGGTGTGTGTATCTCATTTTTATTGGTTGGCCTTGTGTATTTGAAATATTATTTTAGGAAATAATATTTTAAAATGAATGCCAAATTTTCATAAACATTATTTTTAATTCTCTTGTGATAGGCTGCATACAATTCCTAGGCAAGACTTTTTAAGAATAATTTCTTCAAATACTTCTTTGCCATTGACACAAACTCTGTTTACACAAATAGGTCAGAAAAATATAAACGTATACATAACCATTCAAAATGTTACAACAGTTACAATTATGTTTAAAGAATCTAATAGTGTTTCTTTACTTTTCTTGAAAAATGCATTGTTGAAATAAATTGTGGGCCAGGCACAGTGGCTCACTCCTGTAATCCCAGCACTTTGGGAGGCCAAGGCTGGAGGATCACTTGAGCCCAGGAGTTCAAGGCCAGCCTGGGCAACATGGTGAGGTTTTGTCACTACAAGAAGTTAAAAAATTTGCTGGGTGTGGTGGTGCATGCCTGTATCTCCAGCTACTTGGGAGGCTGTGGTGGGAGGATCCCTTGAGCCCAGGATGTTGAAGCTGCAGTGAGCCGTGATTAGGCCAATGTACTCCAGCTTGAGTACAAATAACAGTGAGACCCTGTATTTGAAAAGAAAGAAGGAGAGAAAGAAAGAAAGAAAGAAAAGAAAGAAAGAAAGAAAGAAAGAAAGAAAGAAAGAAAGAAAGAAAGAAAGAAAGAAATTGTGAACGGTGAATGGATTTTGTACTGAACTAAGCTACATATCAATGTTTTAAAATAGTACTTGGGAGATTGAGATGGGAGAATTGCTTGAACCCAGGAGGCAGAGGTTGCAGTGAGCTGACATCGCGCCAATGCACTCAAGCCTGGGTAACAGAGCGTGACTCCATCTCAAAAAAAAAAAAAAAAATAGTAATGAAGCCCTCATTTGCAGTTTGTTGTGCATGCATTGCTAGGAGGATTGCTCTGCTCCTAGCAAACTTTTGGACAAAAATTTCCAAAGTATATAATGATAGAGTTTTACAGCTGAGACCTGGACGTGTTCCTGCTCACTCTCCCTGATGCCCAGCCTCATCCCTGCTGTGTAACTTGCTCTTTGGGCACCCCTCAATGAACTTACCTGCTCCGTGAGGGGCCCCTGCAGATCTCTTTGGGTGGCTGTGGAATCAGATGCCCAGGCAGTAGACACTTCCTGGCCTGTGCTCAATGTATGCAGTCCAGCGGAGAGAGCCAGGAATAGCTCCTTGTATTCTGTCTCTGACATATTGTGGGCCATGTGGTCAGACTCCAGTCAGCTTAGGCTGTCATTAAGGAGTCTCAGAAAAAGCTGCTCAACCTGGAGGTGGTCAACCTGAAGTTTTCCGCAGCTGTAAGCTCTGTAGGTGACCTAAGGACTCAGGCGATCCTCCGGCACAAGGGTGCTTATTGTTTGGGAAACTCTGTTCTAAACAACAGAAGCTAAGAGTTTGCTATTATTTTCAAACTCAATATTCCATTGGCTGATACATCTTTGTTACTGTAGCCCTTCCTTTGGGCTTTGTTAATTACTTTTTGTCTTACAATTTTTGCTTTCTGTCTTCTGATGCTATGTGTTTGGGCACATGAATGTTCCTGTTAACTTTACTTTTGATGTTGATTAACCAATTTATAAAATGATTCAATTTCTCATTATAACTCTAATGTATTTTACATTGAATTTGAACTTGTTTGAATAGAAATACCATAAACCCTGCTTCCTTTATGTTTAGCATTTTCCTAAGAGTCTTTATTCTGTAAATTTTAGTATTTCTTTATCATTTTTATTTATATGTTAGGAGCCTAGACGCTTAGTTAGAGTTAATTTTTTACCTAGTATTTGCCCTTTAGAAATTTTTCCCATTTACTTTTATTGTCTTAATTAGTTTATTTGCCTTTTCTGATTTTTAAAGACTTCTCTTTGATTCTATTTCTATTTGAATTGTATATAACTTTCTTTAAGATAGACATCCTGTTTCAGTCCCATTAGTCTTTTATTCTCTAAATCTAATCATTCTGAAGCTGGTAAAAACCAAGCAATATTTAAGGGTTGAAGCTTAGTAAAATGGATACTATGTTGAACAGAGTCACGTGTTAAGTAGAACTACTAATGGCACAACTACAATAATTCTAGTAATTCTGGTAGGTGCTAATGTGAGCTGAGCGTTTACCACATGCCTGAAACCTGGGCTGAGTGTTTCTTTTTTTTTTTTTTTTAATTATACTTTAAGTTTTAGGGTACATGTGCACAACGTGCAGGTTAGTTACATATGTATACATGTGCCATGTTGGTGTGCTGCACCCATTAACTCATCATTTAACATTAGGTATATCTCCTAATGCTATCGCTCTCCTCTCCCCTCACCCCACAACAGGTCCCGGTGTGTGATGTTCCCCTTCCTGTGTCCATGTGTTCTCATTGTTCAATTCTCACCTATGAGTGACAACATGCGGTGTTTGGTTTTTTGTCCTTGCGATAGTTTGCTGAGAATGATGGTTTCCAGCTTCATCCATGTCCCTACAAAGGACATGAACTCATCATTTTTTATGGCTGCATAGTATTCCATGGTGTATATGTGCCACATTTTCTTAATCCAGTCTATCATTGTTGGACATTTGGCTTGGTGCCAAGTCTTTGCTATTGTGAATAGTGCCACAATAAACATACGTGTGCATGTGTCTTTATAGCAGCATGATTTATAATCCTTTGGGTATATACCCAGTAATTGGATTGCTGGGTCAAATGATATTTCTAGTTCTAGATCCCTGAGGAATCGCCACACTGACTTCCACAAGGGTTGAACTAGTTTACAGTCCCACCAACAATGTAAAAGTGTTCCTATTTCTCCACATCCTCTCCAGCACCTGTTGCTTCCTGACTTTTTAATGATTGCCATTCTAACTGGTGTGAGATGGTATCTCATTGTGGTTTTGATTTGCATTCCTCTGATGGTCAGTGATGGCGAGCATTTTTTCATGTGTCTTTTGGCTGCATAAATGTCTTCTTTTGAGAAATGTCTGTTCATGTCCTTCGCCCACTTTTTGATGGGGTTGTTTGTTTTTTTCTTGTAAATTTGTTTGAGTTCTTTGTAGATTCTGGATATTAGTCCTTTGTCAGATGAGTAGATTGAAAAAATTTTCTCCCATTCTGTCGCCTGTTCTGTTCTCTCCTCTCCTGTTCTGTTCTCTCCTCTCCTGTTCTGTTGCCTGTTGCCTGTTCACTCTGATGGTAGTTTCTTTTGCTGTGCAGAAGCTCTTCAGTTTAATTAGATCCCATTTGTCAATTTTGCCTTTTGTTGCCATTGCTTTTGGTGTTTTAGACATGAAGTCCTTGCCCATGCCTATGTCCTTAATGGTATTGCCTAGGTTTTCTTCTAGGGTTTTTATGGTTTTAGGTCTAACATGTAAGTCTTTAATCCATCTTGAATTAATTTTTGTATAAGGTGTAAGGAAGGGATCCAGTTTCAGCTTTCTACATATGGCTAGCCAGTTTTTCCAGCACTATTTATTAAATAGAGAATTGTTTCCCCATTTCTTGTTTTTGTCAGGTTTGTCAAAGATCAGATAGTTGTAGATATGCAGCATTATTTCCGAGGGCTCTGTTCTGTTCCATTGGTCTATATCTCTGTTTTGGTACCAGTACCATGCTGTTTTGGTTACTGTAGCCTTGTAGTATAGTTTGAAGTCAGGTAGCATGATGCCTACAGCTTTGTTCTTTTGGCTTAGGATTGACTTGGCAATGCAGGCACTTTTTTGGTTCCATATGAACTTTAAAGTAGTTTTTTCCAATTCTGTGAAGAAAGTCATTGGTAGCTTGATGGGGATGGCATTAAATCTATAAATTACCTTGGGCAGTATGGCCATTTTCACGATATTGATTCTTCCTACCCACAAGCATGGAATGTTCTTCCATTTGTTTGTATCCTCTTTTATTTCATTGAGCAGTGGCTTGTAGTTCTCCTTGAAGAGGTCCTTCACATCCCTTGTAAGTTGGATTCCTAGGTATTTTATTCTCTTTCAAGCAATTGTGAATGGGAGTTCACTCATGATTTGGCTCTCTGTTTGTCTGTTATTGGTGTATAAGAGTGCTTGTGATTTTTGCACATTGATTTTGTATCCTGAGACTTAGCTGAAGTTGCCTATCAGCTTAAGGAGATTTTGGGCTGAGACGATGGGGTTTTCTAGATATAAAATCATGTCATCTGCAAACAGGGACAATTTGACTTCCTCTTTTCCTAATTGAATACCCTATATTTCCTTCTCCTGCCTGATTGCCCTGGCCAGAACTTCCAACACTATGTTGAATAGGAGCGGTGAGAGAGGGCATCCCTGTCTTGTGCCAGTTTTCAAAGGGAATGCTTCCAGTTTTTGCCCATTCAGTATGATATTGGCTGTGGGTTTGTCATAGATAGCTCTTATTATTTTGAGATACGTCCCATCAATACCTAATTTATTGAGAGTTTTTAGCATGAAGTGTTGTTGAATTTTGTCAAAGGACTTTTCTGCATCTATTGAGATAATCATATGGTTTTTATCATTGGTTCTGTTTATAAGCTGGATTACATTTATTGATTTGTGTATATTGAACCAGCCTTGCATCCCATGGATGAAGCCCACTTGATCATGGTGGATAAGCTTTTTGATGTGCTGCTGGATTCGGTTTGCCAGTATTTTATTGAGGATTTTTGCATCAGTGTTCATCAGGGATATTGGTCTAAAATTCTCTTTTCTTGTTTTGTCTCTGCCAGGCTTTGGTATCAGGATGATGCTGGCCTCATAAAATGAGTTTGGGAGGATTCCCTCTTTTTCTATTGATTGGAATAGTTTCAGAAGGAATGGTACCAGCTCCTCCTTGTACCTCTGGTAGAATTCGGCTGTGAATCCATCTGGTTCTGGACTTTTTTTGGTTGGTAAGCTATTAATTATTGCCTCAATTTCAGAGCCTGTTATTGGTCTATTCAGAGATTCAACTTCTTCCTAGTTTAATCTTGGGAGGGTGTATGTGTTGAGGAATTTATCCATTTCTTCTAGATTTTCTAGTTTATTTGCATTTGTAGTATTCTCTGATGGTAGTTTGTATTTCTGTGGGATCAGTGGTGGTATCCCCTTTATCATTTTTTATTGCGTCTATTTGATTCTTCTCTGTTTTCTTCTTTATTAGTCTTGCTAGCGGTCTATCAATTTTGTTGATCTTTTCAAAAAACCAGCTTCTGGATTCATTGATTTTTTGAAGGGCTTTTTGTGTCTCTATTTCCTTCAGTTCTGCTCTGATCTTAGTTATTTCTTGCCTTCTGCTAGCTTTTGAATGTATTTGCTCTTGTTTCTCTAGTTCTTTCAATTGTGATGTTAGGGTGTCAATTTTAGCTCTTTCCTGCTTTCTTTTGTGGGCATTTAGTGCTACAAAGTTCCCTCTACACACTGCTTTGAATGTGTCCCAGAGATTCTGGTATGTTGTGTCTTTGTTCTCATTGGTTTCAAAGAACATCTTTATTTCTGCCTTCATTTTCTTATGCACCCAGTAGTCATTCAGGAGCAGGTTGTTCAGTTTCCATGTAGTTGAGTGGTTTTTGAGTGAGTTTCTTAATCCTGAGTTCTAGTTTGATTGCACTGTGGTCTGAGAGACAATTTGTTATAATTTCTGTTATTTTACATTTGCTGAGGAGTGCTTTACTTCCAACTATGTGGTCAATTTTGGAATAAGTGTGGTGTGGTGCTGAAAAGAATGTATATTCTGTTGATTTGGGGTGGAGAGCTCTGTAGATGTCTATTAGGTCTGCTTGGTGCAGAGCTGAATTCAATTCCTGGATATCCTTGTTAATTTTCTGTCTCATTGATCTGTCTGATGTTGACAGTGGGGTGTTAAAGTCTCCCATTATTATTGTGTGGGAGTCTAAGTCTCTTTGTAGGTCTCTGAGGACTTGCTTTATGAATCTGGGTGCTCCTGTGTTGTGTGCATATATATTTAGGATAGTTAGCTCTTCTTGTTGAACTGATCCCTTTACCATTATGTAATGGCCTTCTTTGTCTCTTTTGATCTTTGTTGATTTAAAGTCTGTTTTATCAGAGACTAGGATTGCAACCCCTACCTTTTTTTGTTTTCCATTTGCTTGGTAGATCTTCCTCCATCCTTTTATTTTGAGCCTATGTGTGTCTCTGCACATGAGATAGGTGTCCTGAATACAGCACACTGACGGGTCTTGGCTCTTTATCCAATTTGCCAGTCTGTGTCTTTTAATTGGAGCATTTAGCCCATTTACATTTAAGGTTAATATTGTTATGTGTGAATTTGATCCTGTCATTATGATGTTAGCTGGTTATTTTGCTCATTAGTTGATGCAGTTGCTTCATAGTGTTGATGGTCTTTACAATTTGGCATGTTTTTGCAGTGGCTGGTACCAGTTGTTCCTTTCCATGTTTAGTGCTTCCTTCAGGAGCTCTTTTAGGGCAGGCCTGGTGGTGACAAAATCTCTCAGCGTTTGCTTGTATGTAAAGGATTTTATTTCTCCTTCACTTATGAAGCTTAGTTTGGCTGGATATGAAATTCTGGGTTGAAAATTCTTTTCTTTAAGAACGTTGAATATTGGCCCCCACTCTCTTCTGGCTAGTAGATTTTCTGCTGAGAGATCAGCTGTTAGTCTGATGGGCTTCCCCTTGTGGGTAACCTGACCTTTCTCTCTGGCTGCCCTTAACATTTTTTCCTTCATTTCAACTTTGTTGAATCTGACAATTATGTGTCTTGGAGTTGCTCTTCTCGAGGAGTATCTTTGTGGCATTCTCTGTATTTCCTGAATTTGAATGTTGGCCTGCCTTGCTAGACTGGGGAAGTTCTCCTGGATAATATCCTGCAGAGTGTTTTCCAACTTGGTTCCATTCTCCCCATCACTTTCAGGTACACCAATCAGACGTAGATTTGGTCTTTTCACATAGTCCCATATTTCTTGGAGGCTTTGTTCATTTCTTTTTATTCTTTTTTCTCTAAACTTCTCTTCTCGCTTCATTTCATTCATTTGATCTTCCATCACTGATACCCATTCTTCTAGTTGATCGAATCACCTACTGAGGCTTGTGCATTTGTCATGTAGTTCTCATGCCTTGGTTTTCAGCTCCATCAGGTCCTTTAAGGACTTCTCTGCATTGGTTATTCTAGTTAGCCATTTGTCTAATTTTTTTTCAAGGTTTTTAACTTCTTTGCCATGGGTTCGAACTTCCTCCTTTAGCTCGGAGTAGTTTGATTGTCTGAAGCCTTCTTCTCTCAACTCGTCAAAGTCATTCTCCATCCAGCTTTGTTCCATTGCTGGTGAGGAGCTGCATTCCTTTGGAGGAGGAGAGGTGCTCTGATTTCTAGAGTTTCCAGTTTTTCTGCTCTGTTTTTTCCCCATCTTTGTGGTTTTATCTACCTTTGGTCTTTGATGATGGTGACATACAGATGGGGTTTTGGCGTGGATGTCCTTTCTGTTTGTTAGTTTTCCTTCTAACAGTCAGGACCCTCAGCTGCAGGTCTGTTGGAGTTTGCTGGAGGTCCACTCCAGACTCTGTTTGCCTGGGTATCAGCAGCGGAGGCTGCAGAACAGCGGATATTGGTGAATAGCAGATGTTGCTGCCTGATCATTCCTCTGAAAGTTTTGTCTCAGAGGAGTACCTGGCCATGGGAGGGGTCAGTCTGCCCCTACTGGGGGGTGCTTCCCAGTTAGGCTACTTGGGGGTCAGGGACCCACTTGAGGAGGCAGTCTGTCCGTTCTCAGAACTCAAGCTGCATGCTGGGAGAACCACTACTCTCTTCAAAGCTGTCAGACAGGGACATTTAAGTCTGAGAAGATTCTGCTGCTTTTTGTTTGGCTATGTCCTGCCCCCAGAGGTGGAGTCTACAGAGGCAGGCAGGCCTCCTTGAGCTGCGGTGGTCTCCACCCAGTTCAAGCTTCCCAGCCACTTTGTTTACCTACTCAAGCCTCGGCAATGGTGGGCACCCCTCCCCCAGCCTCGCTGCCTCCTTGCAGCTTGATCTCAGACTGCTGTGCTAGCAATGAGCGGGGTTCCGTGGGCGTAGGACCCTCTGAGCCATGCGCAGGATATAATCTCCTGGTGTGCCGTTTGCTAAGACCATTGCAAAAACGCAGTATTAGGGTAGGAGTGACCTGATTTTCCAGGTGTCATCTGTCACCCCTTTCTTTGACTAGGAAAGGGAATTCCCTGACCTCTTACGCTTCCCAGGTGAGGCGATGCCTCGCCCTGCTTCGGCTCATGGTCAGTGCGCTGCATCCACTGTCCTGCACCCACTTTCCGACACTCCCCAGTGAGATGAACTGGGTACCTCAGTTGGAAATGCAGAAATCACCCATCTTCTGTGTCGCTCATGCTGGGAGCTGTAGACTGGAGCTGTTCCTATTCGGCCATCTTGCTGAGTGTTTCAAAGAATGCCTCAATGACAGTTTGCTAGGCCAAAGGGGTAGCAGGGGATGGAGCTGGAACCTGAACTGCAGGCTGTGTGATTCTGGAGGCCAAATCCCAACTCAGAAGGAAGGTCCTCAGAAATCTTGGAAGGAACAGCCTCTCCCAAAGTGGCCTTCTGTGGCTCCTCCAGGGATGTTCAGAAGGTCTCCTTAGCCAAAGATAACTGGTCCTGGGAAAACACCACTTAAATCCACTTAAAGCAGGACCAAAATTTGACATTCAGTAAAAGAATAATAGGTTTAATTGTGATTTTATCTTGAAAAATAGAGTGAAAATTATGAAAATAAGTTTATCTTACATTTATTAAAATGCACATTATAATTGTAATTATGTATGTGCTAATTTGTAAGATAGAAAAGGAACAAACTGAGTGGTATTAGGGTGGCTTTTGGGTACAACATTCCCGACAAAAGAGTAGGGTAGCTCATCAGGACATCCTTTACTTCACACAGAGTGTTACGTCACAAGCATAAGGAAAGTGTCTCTTTTATTAAAAAAAAAAATAGATGCAAAGGATTCATATATTTCCCTGATGCCTCTCTTAATCCTTTGGCATTAAAATCACTTTCTTTTGCAGTGCCTAAGCATTGGTTTTCCTTTCCATTTATAACTGGAGAAATTGCCAAACTAAACAGGTTAGTAGTTTTACATGTGGTTCGTACAATTTTCCAACATCACTTTTGTCTCCTTCATGAAATCCCACCATCTTTTGCAAGAGGTGTTATTTCACCGTGCAATTCACTTGCATTGCCCTTTCATTGTATTGTGTGGCCTTGTGCTACTGTCTGACAAACAAGGTGGGGCAAACTGTACCAGCCCTGGGTCCTGCAAGAAATAGATGGCATACTCACCCAGACTGCATAATTGAGGAGAGTTTAATAAAGAAAACTTACAAAATGTTGTTGGGCAGGGTTGGGGGAAACAAATAAAGGATGCTGAAGGATATCTGGGTTAGCTTCAGCAGGAAGCCATTACAATCTCCCTCCCCCAACCTACCTGTGATGCAGAGAGTTGTAGCTAGAAGGGAGAGCTGCCTCAAAGGAGCTGTGACTTAGGTCACAGTCATTCATGGTAACCCAGCTGAGAGGGAGCTGAGAGAGCGATTGCCCGGGTTTCACTCTCTTCCTGTCTTCTGGCCTCCTGCCACTGACTCCCACTGGCCAAGCCCTAAGGGATTCCAGAGAGTAAAGGAGTCCCTTGATTACATTGATAAAGTTCAGCTTCCCAGGACAAAAAGTTGGGTAGAAAGGGAGAAATTGGGCCAGGTGCAGTGGCTCATGCCTGTAATCCCAGCACTCTGGGAGGCTGAGGCAGGTGGATCACTTGAGGTCAGGAGTTCAAGACCAGCCTGGCCAACATGGTGAGACCCCGTCTCTATTAAAAATACAAAAATTAGCCTGGCGTGGTGGTGGGTGCCCAACACCAGCTACTCAGGAGGCTGAGGCAGGAAAATTGCTTGAACCCAGGAGGCGGAGGTTGCAGTGAGCCGAGATCATTCCACTGCATTCCAGCCTGGGTGACAGAGTGAGACTCTGTCTCAAAAAAAAAAAAAAAAACAGAAAGGGAGAAATTGGATCAGGAGGGACAAACAAAAATATCTCTTATACCGACGTAAAACATGTGGATTTGTTGACTCAGTAGACTGATGTTAAGTGGAGAGGGAAGTCTGAATGGGAAAAAACTTTACAGGTGGTCAATTTGTTATGGACCTTCTCATTTTATAAGTTGCCCTTGCTACATTACCTCATAACTGTGGTGATTTGGATAATGACTACTAGGCTAATGTAATCTCCTATAGTTTCCCTTCTAAAGGAAGCAGAAGATTTCCCTTCTATTGAGAAGAGAGTAGAAACAGAACCAAGGATAAATTGGACTTCCGTTGGGGGATGGATATATTTGTATACACATACACGCATACAGAAAATTGTCATCTATATTGCATGAGTGAATTTACTGAGTTAGCTAGGAGTGATGGGCATTTTGATCGCTAGAAATGCTTTCTGGCATTTTAAAGCATGAAGACATATTTAAAATTTAAGATTTTAGGCTGGGCATGGTGGCTCACCCTTGTAATCCCAGCACTTTGGGAGGCCAAGGCAGGCGGATCACGAGGTCAGGAGATTGAGACCATCCTGGCTAACATGGTGAAACTGCGTCTCTACTAAAAATACAAAAAATTAGCCAGGTGTGGTGGCGGGTGCCTGTAGTCCCAGCTACTTGGGAGGCTGAGGCAGGAGAATGGCGTGAACCCAGGAGGCGGAGCTTGCAGTGAGCCGAGATCACGCCACTGCACTCCAGCCTGGGTGACAGAGCAAGACTCCATCTCAAAAAATAAAATAAAATAAAATAAAATTTAAGATTTTAAGCCTTAACTTAACCACCAGTTTCATAATATCACCTGATTTACAAGGTTTAATGAGCAAAATGAAAGTTTCAAAAAGGAATTAAGTTGAAAATCTCTCCCTGTTGTATCATACTTTCAACGGCTTAAGAAAAAAAAAGTTAACTTCTGATTCCTTCTGTGAGTCTATCAGAAGATCTGAAATGAATGCCATCTAGAATAATGATCAAAATCTACTTGGTTCTATACATTCAGGGTAATTTCCCTCTTTTTGAACATTCTGCTTGTTAATATGGGACAAATAATGACAAAGGAAGCAGAATGCATCATCCTGATAAAAAGCTTAGTACAGGCTCTGCTTTCAAAGAAAAGCGCTGGTTTGTAGCTGGTGTTTTTCACTTATTTTCAAGATGCTATCTTATTAGTATCCACTCAAATAGGAAACAGACCACTCAGTAGTGTAAAGGATTCTTTTAAATTTATCACCCCTTCAACAAACAGTCACAGGGCCCTCTGGAAGGCTGACCATGACCCACAGCCCAAAGCCCTCATGCATCCCCAGCCTTTCATCTCTGGAGTCTCCTTGTCTCCTCTGGTTGCTCTCTGGGAGCCAGGTCCTGGCATAACTGCACTAGTCCAAGCCAAAAGCCTTAGTATGGGTTGCTCCAGAAGTGGACTCTGAGACAAGGATTCCAGGGTAAATAGCTTCTTTGGGAGGTAACAGAAATACCAGTAGGAGAGTTGGGGAGAGAAACAGGGAAAAGAAAGCAGTCCAAAGTGGGTACTATCAAACACTGTGGCCAACTGGAGCTTAACCTTCTGGGGAAATGACCTGGGAACCAGCGTAGAACACACAGCTCAGCTCAGGGGTGGAGGGCTGGAGTATTTATATTGAGTATTTCAACCAACTCTTATCAGTTGAAGGCTGCTTGCTACAGGCATTAATTCTCTGGCACTTCCAGTCTGCCATAGACAAAGGCAAAGTGGGATTTTGAGGCCATTGAAAACTCTCAGTCAAAGAGATTCAGTTAGTGGCAGTTGGAAGTCAGACTGGCAACTGTTAAGGTAGGTCCGGAGGGCCAGAGGATGGGGCAGGCATCCACAGCATCTGCTCCATCATGGCTCTCTCTAAGTATGCTCTCTTCCTATTACCACCAACTCAGGGAAGCTATTTTCTTGTCTTGGAGTGGGGAGAACTCTACTCTCTCTACTCCATTTTTCTCAAAAACGTTGTGGAGTTTTTAAATTCTCTAAGTTCTTCTAAAGAACTAAGTTTTGGGTTGGGCACGGTCGCTCATGCCAGTAATCCCAGCACTTTGGGAGGCAGAGGCAGGCAGATTACCTAAGGTCAGGAGTTCGAGATCAGCCTGTCCAACATGGTGAAACCCCATCTCCACTAAAAATACAGAAATTAGCCAGGCATGATGGTGCATGCCAGCCTGGGCAACAAGAGTGAAACACTGTAAACAACAACAACAACAACAAAAAAAAACCACACTGTTTTGGAAACACCAAAGCCAGAAATGCACAGGTCTCTTTGACTCTCTATTCTAACATATTGTCACATAAGAAAATGGACACAGAGCAAACAGTCTGTACGATGGATAAAAACAAAGGTGGAAATAATGGGAGGTTTATCTCAGAACTTTATCCTTTCCTAGAATCCACTGTTGTTACTACCAACACGACCATTAGTTATTTTATCACTGTGAGTACATCAGAAAACATTATTATGAAAACACTCATGAATACTAATATTAGCAAGAGTGAACCACTATGGTCAAAAAAATAATATGCAATCTTTGACATTAGGAGCTCATAGTTCAAACTTGTTTTTATTAAAATCCATCAGAGTATTTCTCTTTAAGCTATGATGGAATGACTTGCAGTAGACTAATGCTTCAGCTGAAAGCAAGTAGAAAAGCTGGAGAAAAAACAAGATAAGCTTGTTTGAAGGCATTGGAGAGATGCTGGGATAGATGCCAGGACTTTAGGGGCCAAACTCCTAGAGAAAAGGGAAGTTCATTGAGGAGAACTCAGTAATTTTTATTCTACTCATCCTCTTAGGACATTTGCTGATTCCTGATCCAAAGACAGTAAGGTTAAACTGGGCAAAAAAAAAAAAAAAAAAAAAAAGGATGCCAAGAATCAAATAAGTCTGAAGAACTTTTAATAATCTCAAATAGGAGTGGAAAGGCAAACAGGAACTTAGGGTTGCCAAGGCAGTCAACACTTGAAGGGCCAAGCATTCAAAGAGAAGTGAAGTTCAGAAAAGTGGGCCTAATATGCCACACTAGTTTCTGCATTGAGACATTTGGTGATTCTTAATTTTTGCAATGCAAAAGGCTCAGAAATCTCTGACAAAACAGCTGGAAAATAAAACAGAGGTTTTAGTGGCCTTACATAGCTGGGGAGACAAAAATTGGAGTCTAGTCTTTCCAAGCTCTAGTAAACGCCCTAGATCTCTGTTTAGAGTCTTGGGTATATACTAAATGTAGATTTGAATGAGAGACAGATTCAGTCTTACAAAGGCTGCAACATAGCTTTGAGCCAGGGATTTAAGTAAACTGCCCATATTTGAGTTGTCTGGCAGAGAATAGGATTAATCCTCTCTGAAGGAAGATAAATCATTCTCAGACTTTTCAATTTTTGTGTATAATATTTGCCTCTTAATTAAAGTATCAGGTATATATGACACAAAGTTAATAGAAACAGGCAGTAAAAATAGACCCAAAAATGATCAAGATATTTCAGTTATTAGACACAGATATTCATATATCCTTTTTTTGAAAGAAGATGGCAAGATAAAGGATTTCTTTTTTGTTGTTGTTGTTTTTTGAGATGGAGTTTCACTCTGTCACCAGGCTGGAGTGCAGTGGTGTGATCTTAGCTCACTGCAACCTCCGCCTCCCAGGTTCAAGTGATTCTTCTGCCTCAGCCCCCCAAGTAGCTGGGATTACAGGCATGCACCACCATGCCCAGCTAATTTTTATGTTTTTAGTAGAGACGGGGTTTCACCATGTTGGCCAGGCTGGTCTTGACCTCCTGACCTCAGGTGATCCACCCACGTTGGCCTCCCAAAGTGTTGGGATTACGGGCATGAGCCACCGCACCCAGCCAAGATAAAGAATTTCAACAGAAAACTCTAATATATTAAAGTATTATGAACATTCTAGAAATTAAAAATACATCTAAAATTAAGACCTAATGAACACAACAGATGGAAAACAGCTAAGGAGAGGACTAGTATATTTGCAAGTCAGTAGAAAATTTTCACATTGACACAAAGATTAAAAAAAGAACAGGAAATATTTTTAAAATGTTAACAACATATGGATTAGAATGAAATGGATTAGAATGAAAAAGTCTAAAAATATGTACCTAGAATTTCAGGAGGAGATAGATTGATTGGGATACAGAAATAATATTTAAAAAGATAATATCTGAGAGTTTTCCAGAACTGATGAAAGACATGACACCACAGCTTCAAGGATCATTCTTACTCTAAAACACTATAAACAAAGATGGAAAAAAAAACCCCACATACCTAGGTACATTATAGTAAAATGAAGAATCTTAGAGACAAAAAATCTTAAAAGCAGAAAAAAAAAGACAGAGCAGCACTTTCAAATGAGTAACAAACAAATGATAAGGCTAACAGCTGACTTCCCAACAGAACTTCAGACACCTGAAGACAATGGAAAGATGTCTTTAGGCATTGAAAAGAAGTGATAGCCAAACTAGGAATTTATATTCAAAGAGATGCTTTTTTAAAATTAAGAAAAAATAAAAATACTTTTGAACAAACACTGAGAATGTATCACCATGGGTACCCACACAAGAAACACTACATTGGGCTTTTAAGGCAGGAGGAAAATGATCCCAGACTGAAGTACAAAAATGAATGGAGAATAAAGGAGAGACACACATGCACAGATGAATAATACATTAAGAAGAAGAACAACAACTTATGTATCCTAAAATGTATGCACATTTAAAGTTCATGACAAGCATATCACAAAAAGCAGAAAAGGAATAGAGTTAAAAGTCCTAGCCTGGGAACTGGTAAGAGAATTAATTTATATTGAACCTTAAAAAGTAAAAAGCACAGGTGGTAGTCTCTAGGGTAGCCATTTAAAAAATAGTAGAAAAAAACTAAGAGGAAATACATAAAAATTGTAGAATAATAATAGATTTTTAGTTATGTAAAAGAAGTTTTTTTTTTAAAGGCTAGATAAAAGGTGTATATAACAGGGAGAATGGCAGCTACCCAAACAAATTACTGATTACGTTAAGACAAAATGGCCTATTTAAAATACAAAGACTTGGCCACTTGGCTGGGCATGGTGGCTCACATATGTAATCCCAGCACTTTGGGAGGCTGAGGTGGGCAGATCACCTGAGGTCAGGAGTTTGAGACCAGGCTGACCAACATGGCGAAACCCTGTCTTTACTAAAAATACAAAAATTAGCTGGGCCTGGTGGCACGTGCCTGTAATCCCAGCTACTCAGGAGGCTGAGGCAGGAGAATCACTTGAACCTGGCAGGCAGAGGTTGCAGTGAGCTGAGATCGTGCCATTCCACTCCAGCCTGGGCAACAAGAGTGAAACTCCATCACAGGAAAACAAACAAACAAAAATACTAAGACTTAGGCTAGATGAAAACAAAACAAAACAAAACAAAACCCAAACCCAATTATATATGGCTAACAAGAGACACAGCTAAACAAATGACAAAATAGAAAGGTTGACATTTAAAGGATAAAGTGAACTGTGCCTTGCAAACACTAAGGAGAAGAAAGCTGATATAACTGTACTAATCTACCAACTACTAGTCAACTGACAAGGTAGACTTTAAGGCAAGAAACATCTCCAGAGTTAAGGAGAGGCTTTTTTTAATAATAAAAAGGTTCAGCCGGGCGCGGTGGCTCACGCCTGTAATCCCAGCACTTTGGGAGGCCGAGGCGGGTGGATCATGAGGTCAGGAGATCGAGACCATCCTGGCTAACAAGGTGAAACCCCGTCTCTACTAAAAATACAAAAAATTAGCCAGGCGCGGTGGCGGGCGCCGGTAGTCCCAGCTACTCGGGAGGCTGAGGCAGGAGAATGGCGTGAACCCGGGAAGCGGAGCTTGCAGTGAGCCGAGATTGCGCCACTGCAGTCCGCAGTCCGGCCTGGGCGACAGAGCGAGACTCCGTCTCAAAAAAAAAAAAAAAAAAAAAAAAAAAAAATAATAATAATAAAAAGGTTCAAGCCTCAAGAAGCATATGAAAATTAATAAAAGGTTCAGGCCTCAAGAAGCATATGTATTTACTTAATTACATGGTTACAAACTATATAAAGCAAAACTGAAAGAAATAAACCAATCCACAACCTTACTGGGACATTTTAGCTGAATTTCTAATTAACTGACAGAACAAGGTAAAAAAAATTCAGTAAGGGCATAAAAGACTTGACTTGCATAATATCACTAAGAAATTTGACCTGACATATAGAAAACTCCACCCCAAAACGCAGTGTTTTCAAATCTACATTGCATATTTACCTAAGTTGAACATTTTGTGGTCCATAACACAAGCAGTGAAATCATTCAGATCATCTTAACTAAAAGTGAAATTAGACCATAAATCAGTGACAAAATATAACCAGCAAATCCCCAAATTCTTGGAAATTATGTAATACATTTCTAAACAAATCATGGGTCAAAGAAGAAATCAGAATGAAAATTAGAAAATATTTTGAAATGAGTGATAAGAGGCTCTGTTTTCAGCAATGGTGGAGGAGCCTGTATTAGATTAACTCACTCACAAATAAAAACCGTAAGCTCTGGGGAAAATACTAACAATCTCTGAACAACAGCAGCAATGAAACCAAATGACTGTTTGTAAATTAGTCATGTCATAATACAAGTGCTTAAAACCAGTAAAAGAAAAAAATTATAAAAGCTTCAGACAAGAAAGACAAATTATGCACACAGGAAGATTCCAGCAGATCTCTTGATGGAAACAATGCCAATTAGAAGACAGTGGAGCAAAATATTTAAAGTACTGAAAGAAAAAAATCTGTCAACAAATTCTTTATTCAGCAAAAATGAAGACATTTTCAGGCATACAAAAGCTGGAGGAATTTGTCACAATCAAACTTGCACTTCAATAAATGTAAAAGGAAATTCCTCAAGCTGAAGGAAAATGATACAAGATGGAAGTCTGAATCCACACAACGGAATAGGGAGCAGCAGTAATGGCAATTATATGGGTAAAAACAAAACTTTTTCTTACTATTTGAATTTCTGCAAAGGTAATTTCTGGGTAAAAGAAAAATAATAATGTACTTTGAGGTTTATAATACGCAATAATCCCCTCCTTATTCATGAGTGATATGTCAAGACCCCCAGTGATTGTCCAAAACCACAGATAGTACTGAATCCTAAATACATTGTAAACAAATTCCTTTTTCCTTCTTTGCAATTTCATGGATAGAAGATTCATTCTTACTGGAGGCCTTAGCAACCTCAGCGTGCCATTTTTTCTTTCCTGATTGTCAATAGCTTTCACCGCTTCACTTAAAGGAAGCACTTTACAGCTTCCTTGCCATATCTGAATTGCCATCATCACCACTCTTGTGCTTTGGGGGCATTATTAAATTAAATAAGAGTGACCCGAACACAAGCACTGTGACTCCATGACAGTCAAGCTGATAACCAAGACGTCTACTAAGTGACTAATGGCTGGGTAGCATATACAGCATGGATACACTGGAAAAAGGGATGATTTATGTCCTGGGTGGGACAGAGCAGGACGGTGTGAGATTTCATCTTGCTACTCAGAAAAGCATACAATTTAAAATATATAAACCGTTTATTTCTGGAATTTTCCATTTAACATTTTTGGACCATGGTTGACCATGGGTAATGGAAACTGTGGAAAGCAAAACCACAGATAAGTGGGGACACCTGCATATAGAAGAAAAAGGCATGACGGCAATAGCACAAAGGCCAGGAGGGGATAAATGGATATAATCTATTGTAATGTTATTAAACTATATGTATAGTGCTTTATAATACCATTTGAAGATAGATAATGATAAGTAAAATGTGTATACCATAAATCCTAAAGTGACCATTAAAATAACAAAACAGTTATAGCTAACAATAAAAGAGATAAAATTAAATCACAAAATACACTCAATCCAAAAGAAGGCAGAAAAAGAAGGAAAGAGAACACACAATAGGTGAACAAATAGAAAAAAAATAGCAAGATGATGGGATGAAACCAATTGTATCAAAAAGCACATGAAATGATCCACTACCTCAATTTAAAGGCACAGATTCGCAGATGGGATAACAAAATCAAGACCCAAGTATGTGCTGCCTAGAAGAAATGTAAGAGAAATGTAAAGACACAAATAGGTTAAAAGTAAAAGAATGGAAAAAGAAATACCACAGTAACACCAATCAAAAGAAAGCTTGAATGGGTATATTAGTATCAGGTGAAGTCAATTTCCTTGGAAAAGGACAAAGAGGGTCATCTATAATAATAAAAAGATCAGTTCATCAAGAAAACTTACAATTCTAACATTTATATATCTAAAACAGGTCTTCAAAATATATGAATCAAAAATGGGAGGAACTGTGAGGAGAAATAGAGAAATACACAATTATAATATATTTCACCATCCATGTCTCCATGACTGAGAGAACAAGTATACAGAGAATCGGTGGATAAAGAAGATGATCAACCCTATCAATGTATGTGAAATAATTGACATTTATAGAACACTCCACTCTATAACAGCACATAGAAATAGACCAAAACAGACCATATTTTGGGTGCACTTAGAAATAGACCAAAACAGGCCCTATTTTGGGCCATAAAACTATTCTCAATAATTTAAAAAGGGATCAAGTCATACAAAGTCATTGCTCTCTACAATGGCATTAAATCACAAGTAAATGACAAAAATCCATAGAAAATCCTCAGATATTTTGACACTAGATAACAGACTTCTAAATAACCTATGGATCTAAGAAAGACAATCAAAAAGGAAATTAGAAAGTATTTTGCACTGAATGAAAATGAAAACACAACCTACCAAAATCTATGAGATGCAGCTAAAATTATATTTAAAAGGAAATTTATAGCACTAAATGCCTATTCTAGAAAAGAAAAAAAATTCAAATCCAAGACCAAACATTAAAAAGCTAAAATAAGAGGAGCTAATGAAACCTAAAGTAAGCAGTAAGAAAGAAAATAATAAAGATCAAATCAGAAATTCATACAGTAGAAAACAGAAAACAATAGTGAAATATCAATGAAACAAAAAACTGGTTCTTTGAGATTAATAAAACTGATGAACATCTAGTCAAATGGCTTTCCTGTGATTTTTGCTGAACATTAGTTTCCAGGTTACTATCTTTTATTGACAGTATGTGTGTTACATACGTTGCTTTTTTTTCTCACTCTATTGCCCCCATTCTTATCCATATTATCAAGATTTTTATTGAAGTAGCTTAACTAGTTTATTTTACAGCTGGTAAATTTCCATTGATAGAATCCACTGACCTTATTCAAATTTCATAGGTTTTACAAGCCCTCGTGTGTGTGTTGTGTGTGTGTGTGTGTTTAGTTCTTTATATGTGTGTGAATTTCTGTGACCACTACCATAAGCCAAATACAGAACAGTTCAGTTGCAAATAGCCCTTATACTACCTTCACATATCGAGAGCCACCTCCTTTTTACTATCTCCTGCTTCATCTCCAATCCTTGGCATCAACTACTTTCTTTTACTCCATAACTTTATCATTTTAATAAAATTGGATAAATGGAATTAAACAGAGATTGGATTTTCTCACTCAGCATAATTTTCTGGAGACCCATCCAAGTTGTTGCACAGAATAATAATGAACCATTATTAATGCTTCATTCCTATGTATTGTTCCATAGAATCCTATGGAATAGATGAACCACAGTTTGTTTAAACCTTACCTGTTGGAGGACACTTGGGTTGTTTCCATTTTTTGACTATTACTAATAAAGCTGCTGCAAACACTTCTGTACAGATTTTTGTGTGGACGTACGTTTTCATTTCTCTGCGATAAATGCCCAAGCATGCAATTTCTGGGCTGTAAAGCAGTGACATGTTTAGTTCTATAAGAAACTGCCAAACTAAATTAACACAAAATGAATCATACACCTACATGTAAAACCTAAAACCCATACATTTCTAGAGAAAAACAAAATAAAGATATTCATGAACTTAGGTTAGGTATCATATTAGATACAATATCAAAATCAGGATACACACCAAAAAATTGATAAATTGTATGTCATCAAAGTTGAAAAGTTTCATTTTTCAAAATATATTTTTAAGACAATGAAAAGTGAACCACAGACTGGGAAAAAATATTTGCAAGTCCTATTTCTCATTAAAGACCTGAATCTGGAATATATAAAGAACTCTTAAAACTTAGTAATAAGAAAACAAACAACCCAATATAAAATGGGCAAAGATTTGAACTGACACTTCACCCAAGATGACACACAGATGCCAAGTAAGCACGTGAAAGATGCACAATACTATTAATATGAGAAATGCAAATTAAAACCACCATGAGATATTACTACACATAGATTAGAATGTCTAAGATTAAAATGTCCAAATGTACCAAGTGTTGGAGATGATGTGGAGCAACCGCGATTCTCATACATTGCTGGTGGGAATGTAAATGGCACAACTATTTTGAAAAACAGTTTGGCAGATTTTTAGAAAGTTAAACACATACCTACCATATGGCCTAGCCATTCTACTCCTAGATAGACTAGACAAGAAAAGAAAACGTATGTCCACGCCAAGATTGTATGCAAATCTTTTTAGCAGGCTTATTTGCAATAGCCTCAAATGAGAAACCAACACACATCAAGAGGTGATTGGTTAAATGAATTGCAGTGTGTCCATACAGTGGAAGTATTGCCCAGCCAAAAAAAAATAAAAAAGAATTATCAATACAAAGCACGATGCAAATGAATCTCAAAATAGTTATGCTGAGTGAAAGAAGACTGACAAAATGAACAGACTTATGATTTTGCCTCTATTAAATTTAAAGAAAAGGCAAATAATAGAAAGTGTCATCAAGCTGAGGGATGAGGCATGGGGAGGGCAGTGGGAGGTACCACAAAGGAGCACAAGCAGTCTTGTGGGAATGCTGGAGCTTTCCATTATCTTGATTGTGGTGATTGGTAATGGTCTCACGGGTGTATACATATGTTAAAACTTATCAAATTATTTACTTTAGGTATGTGTGCATTCTCATCTGTCAATTCACTTCAGTAAACCTGTTAATAAATTTAAATACAGTTTTTCTACAAAGATATCTTTTGTCCTAGAGGTAGTCACTGGTGAATTCTTCTGAACTTAAGGAAGAAATAATACCATTCTTACACAAACTCTTTTAGAGAACACATGAAAAGAAAATACTTTCCAACATGTTCTATAAACCCAGCATATTCTTGATAGCAAAACCAGACACAAGAAGACAATACAAAAAAAGTCAGCTAATCTCTCTTCTGATGCAAAATCCTAAAGAAAATATTAACAAACTGTATCCTGCAATTTATGAAGAGTATAACATATCACAAGGAATTGGTTTTTTTCAGTAATGCAATGTTAGTGTAACATCTGAAAAAATAGTTCAATGTAATTCATGTTATGGATGTAATTTCATAATAGATGTGAAAAATCATATTATTTCAACAGATTTATAAAAAGCATTTGATTAAATTCAAGACTGATTTATTTACTTTAAAAAACACCAAACTAGATATAAAAGGGAACGCCCTTAGAATGACAAAATATTTACAAATAGTCTACAAGAAACATTTTACTTAATGTTTCTTATAGAAACATTATAGAAAAGCTAGTGAAAGCTTTTATCCCTGTGATTAGGCATGAAACAAAGGTGTTCACTCTCACTGCTTCTTTTTTTCTTTTTTTTGAGACAGAGTCTCTTTCTGTCGCTCAGGCTGGAGTGCAGTGGTGCGATCTCGGCTCACTACAACCTCTGCCTCCCAGGTTCAAGCGATTCTCCTGCCTCAGCCTCCCGAGTAGCTGGGATTACAGGTACCCGCCACCACACCTAGCTAAATTTTGTGTTTTTTAGTAGAGACGGGGTTTCACCATGTTGGCCAGGCTGGTCTCAAACTCCTGACCTCAAGTCATCCAGTCACCTTGGCCTCCCAAAGTGCCAGGATTAGAGGGATGAGCCACCGTACCTGGCCTTGCTCTCACTGCTTCTGTTCACTATTATACTATATAATATGGCCAGTACAAGAAGGTTAGAAAAAAATTACAAGAATTGACAGGAAATAATAAAACTGTTATTCTTCACAGCAGCATGATTGTTTATGTAGGAAAGATTCCACAAACACTCAGAATTAATAATAAATGTAGTGAGAACACAGAAAACAGAGTCAAAATACAGCAATCAATTGTATTTCTACATATGAGGAACAATCACAAAATAAAAATTTAATAAGATACAATTTAAAAAAATCAACAAACGTCATATAACTAGGAATAAACTTAATGAAAGTTATGTAATTCTTCTGCACTGAAAATTACAAGATAGTATACAGAGAAATTAAAGGAGACCTAAATAAATGGAGGATATACCATATTTATTTTTTATCCTATAAAAATCTCATTTCTCCTCAAATTGACCTATTGATTCAGTAAGTTTATATGGGAATGCAAAGGGCCAAGAAGAGTCAAGACAACCTTGAAGAATAAGAAGAAAGATGAAGATCTTATCTAACCACAGAGTAATTCCTTATTTATTTATTTATTTATTTTTGAGACAGGGTCTTGCTCTGTTACACAGGCTGGAGTGCAGTGGCATGATCATGGCTTACTGCAACCTCCACCTCCTGGGCTCAAATGTCCACAGGGGCCACAGGCGTCCACCCCTGCGCCCGGCTAATTTTTGTATTCTTAGTAGAGACAGGGTTTTGCCATGTTGGCCAGGCTGGTCTCAAACTCCTGGCCTCAAGTGATCTGCCCACCTTGGCCTCCTAAAGTGGTGGGATTACAGGCGTGAGCCACTGTGCCTGGCCATACCCACAGTGTAATTTCTATGGAAACAATGGAGAGTCCAGAAACAGACTGGCATGTACATTGTCACTGATTTATGACAAGGGTGACACTGCAGCACAGTGGGGGCATTTTTTCCAAAGGCAGTGCTGGGCCAATTGGATACCCATAAGGGACAAAAATCTTGACATCTGCGTCACACCATACAAAGTTACCAATTCCAGGTGACTTGCAAATCTACCTGTGAAGGGTAAACCATAAAACTTCCAGAAGAAAACATTGGAGAATATCTTTGTGACACAGGGTTAAGCAAAGATTTATTAAATAGGATACAAAAAGCATTGACTATGAGGGAAAATTGATAAATTAGACTATGTTAAAATTAAGAATTTCTGTTCCTCAAAAGAATAGAATGCTAGGGAGTTAAGGTGCAAATCATTGAATAGATCAAAGTATTTGCAATTCATATCTAACAGAGAATTTGATAAAGAAATTATACCAATAAATGAAGAAAATGCAGACAAACCTTGGACAAGACATGCAAGCAGCTATATCACAAAGGGAAGACAAATGTTCAATATTAATATGAAAGCGTTTCACATCATGAGACATCAGATGAATACAAACCAAAATCACAAGGAGATACTACTGCATATACACCAAAATGATTAAAATAAAAAAGACAGACAATACCAAGTGTTGATAAAGATGTGGAACAACTGGAACTCCCAATCACTATTGATGAGTGTGTAGATTTATACAACTCTTTGACAGTAAAATCTACTAATGCTGAATATCTGCATAACTTATGCCCCTGGGTATATCCCCAACAGAAATGTGTACACACACTCCAAAATGCACATGCAAGAATATTTATAGCAGCATTACTGATGGACGCTGAAACGAAAAACAGCCCAAACGTTCTTCAGCATCAATACATGAATCAATAAATTGTGGTATAGTCCTACAACAGAATACTCTACAGTAGGGATCAGCAGACTTTTTTGTCAAGAGCCAGAAAATAAACATCTTCAGTTTTGCAGATAACAGATTGCCTCTGTTGCATATTCTTCATTTTTTTTACAATCCTTTACAAAATAAATGTCATTGTTAGCTTGCGACTCATACAACAATAGGCCATGGTGGGCTGTAGTCTGCCGTTCCCTGCCTTAGATCAATAGCAATGAACGTATTACTGCTACATGCAATAATGCAAATAAATGTCACAAACAGAATTTTGCCTAAGAGAACCCATTCACAAGAGAGTGCATACTTATAATTCCAGGCAAAACTGATGATGGTAGAGGACTTGACAGCAGTCACCTTTGGGGATAATGGTAGTGATGAAAGAGGGCACATAGAGAGCATCTGAGGTGCTGGCAGCATTGTTTCCTGATCTGGGTGATCATCATATATGTATGCATTTAGTGAAAACTTAGTTATACACATATGATTTGTATAATTTTCTAAATGCATATTATACTTCCATAATAATTTTACTTAAAAACTCTATAAAATCACCAATGTTCAGTTTCCTCTGCAATTTTTAGTTGCCAGTAAAGTTAGCCAATTCTTAACTGCCACTGTATGCCAGTTTCTTTTTAGCTGTCCTAATCAGTAAAACCTTAGCCCACCAAAATACCTAGCACCATCTAAAATGTTTGCCAGTGGCCCAGAAGAATGTGTTTGTGGCTCATAGTCAATAGACTGTTGTTAAATAAAAGCAAAATTATTGGCTTTCCTTGTCATGAGAAGGGGGAGAGAGATCGAGAAAGAGAGAGAAAGAAAGAGGAAGCAAGACAGAGTTGGAAAGCAACGAGAGCATTGCCCTTGAGGACAATGGCCCCAGCATCTGGCCTGCGGTCCTTCTGCTGGATCACAACACTTCTATTTTCAGTAGAAAAGAATTAAGAGCACTCTTTCATTAGAAACAAAAAGCCTAGCTGAACATATTTTTCTCATTTGTACTTTATCCTAAACATTTGTAAAGATTTAGCAGCTCACTCCAGCAAGCCTTTTTAATCCACATTCCAGTAATAGAGATTACAGAAATGCTTTCTCAAGGACATTCTTGTGTCCAGGCTTCAACAGAGCCAAGATACTTCATCCTCTTAGGGCGCCTGGTGAAACCTCGAGATCGTGACCCACAGGACAGACAAGAAGATGATTCTCTGAGCCTGGCGTTCTCAGACCAGCATTCTGTCAGGATGGGATTGGAGGGCAAACCCCAGGGTGTGGGCATGAACAGTGGCTCATGCCTGTAATCCCAGCACTTTAGGAGGCCGAGGTGGGCAGATCACCTGTGGTCAGGAGTTCGAGACCAGCCTGGCCAACATGGCGAAACTCAGTCTCTACTAAAAATACAGAAATTAGCTGGGCATGGTGGTGCATGCCTGTAGTCCCAGCTACTCAGGAGGCTGAGGCAGGAGAATCACTTGAACCCAGGAGGCAGAGGTTGCAGTGAGCCGAGATCGAGCCACTGCACTCCAGCCTCAGCAACAGAGTAAGAGACTGTCTCAAAAAAAAAAAAAAAAAGAAAAAGAAAAAAGAAAAAAAGAAAAAAAAGAAAAAGAAAAGAAAAGAAAAAAGAAAAAGAAAGTGGTCAATGCTAGGAAATGCTGCTGTGTCTGAACTCTGGGTGGAAAAAGTAATGGATCCTGACTTTTCTTTCAATAGTAGTTGAGCTGGATATGCAGTAGGATTCAGCATCTTGAAAAAATGTGGCTTTAAAAGCCGAGGAAGGGAAAAAGTATAGGGTATTAACTGGGGGCATGGCATCCAGGGGCTTGTGATCCAGGATGGACAGGAGAGTGTTTAAAACTATCAGAATGGAGAGAAAGGCCAGAGTGTCGGAAGTGTGTGGGTAGGCAGCAACAGGAGGAAGAGAAAATGCAAGTCCAATGTGGAAAGAGAAAAATACAGAGAAAATGAAGTGAAAGGATAGAAAGCAGGTAAAAAGACATCAGGGAAGCTCCCAGGGCTAGCACACCTTGCCTGCTTTCGCCTCCTGGCCCAAGGAGCAGCAAGTGATGGGATAACTCAACTACTGATGACTAGCCCCCGAGGACAGAGTAGCTCTCCTTGACCAAGAGATCTGAGCCCCTCCCTACACCTTATTACCCTATGCCTGTGAATGGAAGAACTCTGGAGGCAGAAAGGGGAGAAGTAAGAATAATAACATGTAAGAGTTCCAGAGAAACTAAGACATGGATATTATATAGCCTGCCCGAGGCTTCTCAATCAGTAGAGGTGTAGCTGGGATTTTAGGTCCTCATATTCCAAAACAAAAACTCCGCCTCCTGGGTTCACGCCATTCTCCTGCCTCAGCCTCTCGAGTAGCTGGGACTACAGGCGCCTGCCACCATGCCCAGCTAATATTTTTGTATTTTTAGTAGAGACGGGGTTTCACTGTGTTAGCCAGCATGGTCTCAATCTCTTGACCTCGTGATCTGCCCAATTTGGCCTCCCAAGGTGCTGGGATTACAGGCGTGAGCCACCACGCCCGGCCGGTAAACATGAGTTTTGAAGGGACATTATCCAACCCAGTGCAGGCATAATAGTCATTATAAATCATGTGGGTTCAGATGACTGCTTTTGATAGCCCAATGGAGTTAACATAGGGAAAACACAAAAGAAAACCCAGAATTCTTGGACAATCAGAAAACCTCTATGGAAGCACTGAGTGAGTCCCTTACATCGTATAGCTGCAGGGGAGCTACAGACCAAGGCCAGGGTGAGGTTGTAACAACTGCAGTGTTGCTGTATCCATTAATTGCTCAACCCTACTAGGTCTCTTATGCTGTTTCTTGTATCACTGCATTAGGACACTGTAGAGAATAAGACGCACCCTAAGAAATGAAATGGGGACATTTGGGCAGACAATCGAGGAGAGTTTTGAACTACCAAATCCCCCTTAATCCCTTGAGGCAGAAAGCAGACATTTGCCCTTCCCCAAACACCTTCCCTCCAGCCTTTCAGTAACTGCACTTGGCAGTTGTAGCAGAAGACCCACTGCCACCACCCTCATTGCCTCTGGGCCCTAAAGACAGCTCCATCCCATTGCCGGCCAGATGGAGATGTGTCAGGACTGCTCTGTGAGGTGATAACCCACACACTTACAGGGTCTCAGAACTTTGCTGAGTTTTATCAGCAAGGATCTAGGAAGCATGTATGGAAGTGAATTCTCTGGACATAAAGCCAAGGAAGAAAAATCTAAAACAAGATTGGGACAAATTAATTAATATAGATGTACTTGCTCAGGCTTTGGGATTTAAAATACTGGTCTAGGCCAGGTGCTGCGGCTCACGCCTGTAATCCCAGCAGTTTAGGTGGCCGAGGCAGGCAGATCCCCCGAGGTCAGGAGTTTGAGATCAGCCTGGCCAACATGGCGAAACCCCGTCTCTACTAAAAATACAAAAATTAGCCTGGCGTGGTCTCATACACCCGTAATCCCGGCTACTCGCGAGGCTGAGGCAGGAGAATCACTTGAACCCAGGAGGCGGAGGTTGCAGTGAGCCGGGATTGCGCCCCTGCACTCCAGCCTGGGTGACAGAGTGAGACTCTGTCTCAAAAAAAAAATTAATTAATAAAATAAAATACTGGTCTTGTGCACTTGACGCTGGCATTAGTAGTTGGTTAGGATTCATGGAGGTCTGGACTCAAATGGTGGCCTATAATCAACGAGGCTAAACTCCCCTCATAATGCTTTGAAAACTTTGGTGTGCCTAAGAATCACCAGGTCATAAGAAGTGCGCTGGAAAAGAAGTGGGCCCTGCAATCCTTGAGAATTTCAGTAAAACTCAGCAAAGTTCTGAAACTCTTTTGAGGGTATGGCATATCACCTCCCAGAGCAGGCCTTGCGCCCCTGCATGAGGGCTGCAATGGAATGAACTCTCTTTAGGGCCTCGAGGCAACAAGGGAGCTGGCAGTGGGCCTTGTGCTATAACTGCCCAGGGCAGTTATTGAAAGTTATTGAATAGCAGCTCTGAGGTGGTGTCTTCTGAAGGTTGGAGATATTGGTAGGTGTGGCAATTTATTGAATTTTCTTATCTAAATGGAGACTTGACATTTTTGAATCCAGATGATTCTGTTTAACCTTCAGGGACAAGGCAGGTGCAAATATCACAATAAACAACAGCGGGCTGTTATCAGAATGCTTTAATGTGAGTATGATAAGAGCTGGGTCCCTGGGGTCCCTGAGAATGAAATAGATGGTGCTGCTTGATCTATGGAGGTAAAAAAAATTCGAGGTCTGATTAATAGAAGCCTAACTTGAGTTGACATAGTGGGAATTCAAGGTCTCTTATGCAATTCTAAGACATAAGCCATTTTGTAGCTCAAGGACATCTTTTTTTTTTTTTTTTTTTTTTTTTTTGAGACAGAGTTTCGCTCTCTCGCCAAGGCTGGAGTGCAGTGGCTCGATCTTGGCTCACTGCAACTTCCACCTCCCGGGTTCAAGAGATACTCCTGCCTCAGCCTCCCAGGTAACTGGGATTACAGGCACGTGCCACCACGCTTGGCTAATTTTTGTATTTTTAGTAGAGATGGGGTTTCACCATGTTGGCCAGGCTGGTCTCAAACTCCTGGTCTCAAGTGATCCACCCACCTGGCCTCCCAAAGTGCCGGGATTGCAGGCCAAGAACTTCTTAATTGAAGGGGTGACTGCGTTCTTTTGAAGAAGGATACAGCACTATGTACACAGAGGTATAGTATCCTGTGAAGAATCTTCCAAACCTCCCCAGAGAGACCTGAGGCCATTTTTCAAGACTGTGTCCTGAGGTACCCAGACTTTCCACGCGTTATTAGACCCTGGCTCTGAACTTGTGCTAATCCCTGGAGAACCAGTAGCCACTGTAAGGTTAAGAGACCGGCAGGACTTGTTTTCTGGTCACAACCCTACTGACTGACACAGAATCTGGTCCAGATGGGATAAAGTGAAAAACTGGCAGAAACCAGCAGGTGGCGATGAAAGTGATTCCCTAAGCTGCCCTTACGCTCATTAACATAAGACACTCCCACCAGCGCCATGACAGTTTACATTGCCATCGCAATGACCCAAAAGTTACCTCTTTCCATGGCAACAACCCGGAAGTTACTGCCCCCTCCCTAAATAACCTGCCCCTTGATTTGCATTGGCCCACCCCTTAATTTGCATATAATTGAAAGTGGGTTTACATGAGTATAAATATATTTGCCAAAAGCTTTCCTTACCACTCTGGATATATTGCCTATGAGGTAACTCTGCTCCCAGAAGAGCAGTACTGTTCAACATCACCTGCTTATCCTTAAGTTCTTTCCTGGGGGAAGCCAAAAACCTTCCCAACTTTGGGACTCACCTATTTTGCCGCAGCAGTGGGCCACACATCACAGTAGAGACATTTTGAAATAAGGGATAGATAAAGTCTTTGCCCTAGACTATGTCACAGAAAGTCTAGTGAGACTGGGAACCCATCCTGTGGTTAATTTCCCCGCTATCAGGATTACAATGGGAATAGATATTCTTAGTGACTGGTCCAATCTTAACATTGGTTCCTGGACGTGGAGTGAAGACTACTACAGTAGGAAGAGTCAAGTAGAAGTCTCTGGAATTTCTCCAGCACCCATCATTAAGAAAGTAAACCAAAGATGTGCCATGTTCCTGCGAATTTGCAAAGATGAGTGCTGCTGTCAAAGACCTGATATAAGCAAGAGCAGAGACTCCAGTCACATCTCTACTTAATTACCTGTTGAAATAGCCAGATGGCTCCTGGACAATAACAAGATGACAATATTAACCAGAGGGTGACAGTGATTACAGTGATGGTTCTGATTACGCTATAATTATTGAAGTAAATCCACAGATTGATCTGATTACCAAAGGGGAGATGGGTGACCACTACAGCATGGAGGAAGGAAGAACTATGTTTCTAACCACGGGGTTCCCTAGGGTGCCTTTTAGCACTCACTTGCCAGAAATCCTGGACAAATAAAAAACTTTGGCAACCTGATGAAGGCAGGACCACTCAGGACCAAGATTTTGCAGGAATAAAGATCTGAGTCGGCCAGGCGCAGTGGCTCAAGCCTGTATTCCCAGCACTTTGGGAGGCTGAGATGAGCGGATCACAAGGTCAGGAGATCAAGACCATCCTGGCTAACACAGTGAAATCCCATCTCTACTAAAAATACAAAAAATTAGCCGGGCGTGGTGGCAGGCAGCTGTAGTCCCAGCTACTCTGGAGGCTGAGGCAGAATGGCGTGAACGCAGGAGGCGGAGCTTGCAGTGAGCCTAGATTGGGCCACTGCACTCCAGCCTGGGTAACAGAGCAAGACTCTGTCTCAAAAAAAAAAAAAAAAAGAAAAGATCTGAGTCACCCTATCTGTCTGTCCAAGGTGATGGCAGAGGGAAAGGTGGAAGAAGGAAGCAATGTCATCAGCTCAGACCTTGACCTAGTACAGAAGAGGGGACTGTAGCATCTGTGTGTCTGATAATGAATTGTGGTTCCTCCTGTTTTCTCCCCCTCATGAAGAGTACAAGTCATGGATAATGTATGAGGTTTCAGGAGAGAGTATGACCAAATTAACCCTAATACAGTCACTGAGGGGACTTTGTGTGTCCCTTGGTTGGAGATACCAATTATTTCCTGAATAAAAGAAAGGACTCTAAGGGGCAGAAGGGTGAAGTTGGCTGGCTAGTTCCCTTGTCTGGGGAGGCTAGCCTGTGTGGACCACACTGACAGACGTCCCTGCCCTCTGCCTTCTGGTTAGAGGGTGGGGAGAGAGTGAGGTGGAGGGATTGATTCTGCCAGCTCCCTGCATACGGATGGTCTGGGGCTGGTTGCCTCCCTCCAAGAAGGCCATGGCATCCATCAGGCAGCCCTCCTCACTCCAGGCTCCAGTCCTATCTCAGGGTGGTAATGGCTGTTTCTAATGCTTCTGTTGATTTCCCTAAACTCTGCCTGTACCTTTGTAAATAGCTCCTTTATTAAATCATCCAACTACCCAGTTTGTGGTGCTCTCTGTGTCCAGCCAGGACCCTGAGTGATACATGGATGAATGGTTTCAACCCCCATTAATAATTTTCAGTTCCCACATGGCAATGCTTGGGCCCAAGATAAGGTAGTTGGGGGTCAGAGCCACAGATGCCCTTGACCCCCCTGTATGTCTCCTTTCCTTCCAATCAGACAAAGATTCGCAGAATCCCAGGAATACCTCCCCACCTGCACCATCTTCTACCTCCCATCCGACCTGGGGCTTCTTGTGGTCTTCACTTTCCTCAGTTTCCCTCAACAACGGTGTCCTTCCCTGAGATCCGCCGCACCTAGCTATTATACTGTCACCATCTCTGTCTCCAGCTCCATGGCTCCGGCATTCCAAATCTCTTCCACAGGCAGTGGATGAATCTCCAGGAACCAGGACTCAGCCTCTCTGCCACTGTCCCTTAGCTGCCTGGCTGGTCACCTAGAACTAATAGCTTCACATATCAGAACAACTGTCCCCACTCAACCACAGTGCCTGACCACCAATTGCACTTTTGGAGCCAGGTCAGCCTCTATTCCCTCCACTCCTGGTCAAAATTTCTTGACCTCTGCTTAGTTCACATTGGAGCTGCCCCCGACCAGACACACACATACTCCAAGGCTAGACAGTTTCACAGCCCCTAATGCCGTGCCTTGCACACAGAGGTTCCTCAATACACGAAACAACACATCGGGAGGCATCTTGTGTGAAGTCCTAGGACAAAGGGTGCGATTTTAATTATTTGTTGAATATATCAAAGGACCAGCATGTACACAAGAGGTTTGAGATTTGACATAGCCTTTTACATAACTGATGTCTGTAATGTGACAGTGAAAGAATCACATACAAATGTCTTTTATAAGTGTCTTTTTTTCCCTTTCTTAAAGGATCGTTTGGGAAAGGCCCAACTTTGAATCCATGTGGAAACGGTGAAAACATTCTGGCACACTCTCTAGTGGTGAACTGGAGTCCATGGACCACCAGGAATGGTGCACAGCAGTGTGTGTGTGTGTGTGGTTTGTGTGTGTGTGTGTGTGTGTGTGTATGTACATGTGTTGGGGCAGTCAGTGCCCCAAGGTAGAGACAGAAGACAGCAGGGCGGCCAGTAATCCTAGCACTTTAGGAGGCCAAGGTGGGTGAATCATTTGAGATCAGGAGTTCGAGACCAGCCTGACCAACATGGTGAAACCCCATTTCTACTAAAAATACAAAAAAAAAAAAAAAAAAACTAGCCAGGCATGATGACGCTCACCTGTAATCCCAGGTACTTGGGAGGCTGAGGCAGGAGAAATGCTTGAACCCAGGAGGTGGCAGTTGCAGTGAGCTGAGATCACGCCACAGCACTCCAGCCTGGGTGACAAGAGCGAAACTCTGTCTCAAAAAAAAAAAAAAAAAAAAAAAGCAAAGAAGACAGTAGGGCTCAGGATTTTGAACTACAGGTTCAGAAGAAAATTTTGGCAGCGGGGGTGTTAGGAAGCGAATGGGTGCCTTTCCCTGAGTAGGATGGAGCAGCTGCAGCCAGGGCCGTGGGAAGGTTCCAGGCCAGCACAGAGTCAAGAAGGAAAAAAAATCACATTTTTAGGTCTCGAAGAAGACAGTGTTTAATGACATAGGAATTACAGCAGTTAAGTAGTGATAGGAGGCTTAATTTGTACTCAGGGGTTAGATTTATTTTAACTCTTGCTATACCTGGTGGTAATTTGGAGTTTATGAAAAGAGAAATAATAACAGCAATAATGATGATGGTAACTAAGTCATGATAAACAGAAAAGCCTCTCCTATCAGTTCATTTAATTCTGAAACAACCCTCTGAGACATATTCTATTAGCATCCCCACTTCACGGAGAAGGAAACTGAGGCACAGAGGAGTTGAGTGCTAACTTGCCAAAGTTCACACAGTTGGTGGGTGGTGGAGCCAGGGATCCCGGTCCAGCTAGCGTGGCTCCAGAGTCTTTGGGGTCTACCTGCTAAACTGGGTCATGTGGAATTTGTCATAATACTTTAATATCTGTAGATAAAGCAAGGAGAGTGAATCTTCTGTTTGATTTTTGTTACCCAGGTCTGAAAATACTGAGTCATTTTTCTTACTGTACCCTAAATCGGCTACCCTGATATTAGCTAAAAGCAGCGTGACCGACTGCCCCGTTTTCCCCGAGACTGCAGGTTTCTCTTGGGATTTTTGGTGCTAACACAGGGAGCATCCAGGCAAACCAGAACGGTTGGTCATCCAAAAAGTGTGCCATTTAGAAGGAACAAATATATCTCTATGGACTCTCACTGATTTACTTTGTTTTGGCAACAAAAACATCACGGGGCAGTTCTTACATTTTGTCTCTGGCAACAACTAATACTGTAGTTTAAGTATAATGGCCCTCATTTGCTTTTCATTAAGCAGTGGCTTTCTTCCCAGGCGTCCTGGGATGATTTTGCTTTGTTGTTTAATAGAGGGATGATGTGGCTAAGGGGATCCCCAGGCTTTCAAAGCCACTGCAGGTTGGGGGATGTAGGCACAGCTGGGTGCAGAGAGAGGCCCCTACGAAGGGAAAGGCCACTAGGGAGAATGAAAAATCTTCTGGGCTGTGGGGACTCTTCCTTCCAGGAGGTCTGACCTCTCTAACCTTTCAGGAACTCCCCTTGTACCGTGGCTCTCCCTGGGCAGGCCTAAAAGAGGATCTCATCTGGCGAGGACACACTGTAAAGGCCCAGACACCCGCATGCACCACCTTGCATCCGTCAGACAAACGCACACCGGGTTAGCCTTTCCATTCTTTGAGTCACTTGAAAATTCAGTGCCTGGTGCACAGCCAGCGCGCCTTTGATTTCTTCGCAGTAATTGGGCCATTGTCCGTGTCTCTCACCTCTCCCCAGTGCGGCCTCAGAGCGTCTTTCCCATTGTGCCCTTGGCTTTCTTTGTCACTTGGCCTCCTGCCATCCGCTGGAATCTTTCCCTTCACTTGAGTGACTTGGGAGACGGCACATTAATGCCAGTCTCTGTAGCAAGATCATACTGTCTCCGCTCCATGCGCTATCTCATTTTATGCAACAGTTCAATCGTCCTGGGTGGGAGGAAAGTCCCTCTTGCTGGCTCGTTCCATTTTATCAGACCAGGCAGCAGTCAAAATGAAGTGACAAGTGCTGGCGGGTGCTCGTTCCCTACGCCTCCATTTGGGCTCACTAATGATCTGCAATATCTGGGCTGAGGCATGTAGATTTGCGGAAATAAGCCCTAATGGCTGCTAATTTCAAGTGGCATCAACTAAGTCACTCGGTCGGAAAGGCAGTATGCAGGTGGCACAAATTGTACAGATAGCCAGTAATGGGGATACTTTCAAACTCAATTCTTGCTTAAAAGTGAATAATTGAGAAATGAATAACCTGGGATTTGGAGTCATTTGTGTAGAATTCTATTTGCATAAAAAGAACCTATGTACCAGAACCAGAAACTCCGGTTTCTGCAGCAGACTAAATCATCCCAAGTGGTGATGGCTAAAATGGAACTCTGAATAATTTCCTGACATTTCCATATCTCCTCTGCATGAGAAATAAGTTCTGAAACCCAAACAGCTCCTCAGAAAAAAAAATTATAAATAAGAAACTAAATATTATTTTCTCCCTATCTCTGGAAATCGAGTGGTAGCACTTCAAAAGAGGTGCAATTAAACCGTTTGAAACCCCAATCTTAATCCATCATAAAACTCTAATAGTAGAGTTCTTCCTGGGGGCAAACTCCAGTCTGCTCTGAGGTTCCTGCTTATAATTATTTTACCGTTATAAGCATAATCATCTTTCTGAAACCTGGTGTTTACTCTTCTAATCTATTTGCTTTACTCCCAACCATCAGCCAGCTCCCAGTTACAAAGACAAGCCTGGAAGGGAATGAAGCCCTTTCTAAGAACTAATAAAAGACCATCTCTTCTGCAAGTGGTGTTTGTATCATGTTTGTCATCATTTGGCTAGAAGAGACTCTAGGAAATGGGAGGGAGATTATTACACAAGAATACATATTGTAGGGAGAAATAAAGATGTGCCTATCAATTCTGTGTTCTATCCCAGAAATTGGGCGATGCAGATCCAAGATGCTCAGCGATGCTCATTTATTTGCTTTGGAGAGAGAGAGAGAGCGGGAGAGAGATGAGAGGGAGAGAGTTGGAAGGTGTTTCAGCCCTGGGAAGCCAGCACTATTGTGCTGGGCCCTGGCATGGCACTGAGGACATTGCTTAAGAGCTCACAATCAACTTATGATTAAAAATATGATGGAGAAGATTCTGGGTGTTGTCTGGCCTGGCAGACTCCTCAAGCTTAAAAGGGGAAGGAGGTTTCCTTTCTGTCAAGTTTTGCTTCGTGAATCAAGAGAAATTGTGTCACAGGTCCAAATTTAGAGTGTTTAAAGGATATTGCCTAATGACATATTAACTTGTGGGCTTACTTATTCACTGCTGACTCTTCTTTCATGGACTCTTCTCAATTCTGCTTTGAACTGGGAAGGAGGCGACAGCTGTGGGTAATGCGAGGATGCTGGGATGCTGAGGTGGGGGTGGGGGTGGTGGCAGTGGACAGATTGGTCCCTCCTCATCTCAATTGTCCTTCCTTTAACCCTGGGCAATATCTCAAACAAGCCCTGCCTCCTGAGGGGTGAGATCTCAAACAAGGCTCACCATCCAGTGCAGCCTGCTCAAGGCACTCTCTCTGCCAAGGGCCTCACAGCCCCTGACCTGGGCTGCTTCCCACAGCATCTGCCAGCTCCAGGCTTATCCCACATCAGGACCATTCTACCAGAAGCTGTATACCTTGCCAGGGGAAATCTCTTACCCTGCCACATTTTCATTATGATACTCCTCCCACCTCTACACCTATAGTGCTAACTCATTGGCTACCATATTAGTGAAGCCCCAATTCAGTACCATTTCAACCCCTCTACCAGGCAGCAGTGTTGCCAGCCTACCAGGCAGTGTAGCTCTGCCTCCCAAAGGCTGAGGAGGATGTCGGTCATTGATGACCACACTCTGATTCTCCCAAATCTTTCTCAAAGCAGCCATCAAATGGCCACTAGCTACAAGCATGAGTTAGCAAGGAAGATTGCTCAGCAAGTAACTATTTGTGGCTCCTATGCTCCAAGCACGCTTCTGGGCCTTAAAGACAAAGCAGAAAACACAGAAAAGCACATGCCCTCATAGGAGACAGACAAGCAGGTATACAATTGGGCGTCAGATAGGGAAAATAACATCATGAAGAAAAACTAAAGCAGGTTAAGGAGATGAAGTTTCCTGGGGAGTCATTTTGCTAATGGGAGTCAAAAAAGGCCTTCTAAGAGATGGTATTTGAATAGAGAACTGATCGAAGTGAGGGAACCAGCCCTGCAAACATCCAGGGGGAGAGCCTTCGGGGCAGGGGACAGCAAGTGCAAAGGCCCTGGGGTGGGAGCCCACTTGAGATCTGTTTGCCATCCTTGTCTTGCAGCCTGGCTCCAATCTACTGCCCCAGCCCATTTTCGTCTCCTGGCCAAGGGCAATCATTGTTCACACGTGCGTAATTCTCATCTTTGTCTCTGAGTTTGCAGTTACAATAAAGTGCTTGCAAAGTCTTGTTTAAATGGCTGAAATCCCTCCTGGAAGCTGCAGGAATTCAGAGGCTTGGATGTAGGTAAATGAAACAACCCTTGTTTTGCTTTCTGGCTAAATGTTGACCCTTCTTATTTATGTAAGGAGATCAATTAGTCATGGAGAAGGGGTCAACTGACCTCTTGGATATTTGGTCCTGAACCATTTAGGAAGGTTTTGCCTTTTATTTAAGATCCTTAGCAAGCTTCCCTTGAAGTTACGTCTATTTTTATAGCCTGCCCCCTCACCTGCCCTCCGTCCTTCTTTCCTCCCTTCATTCCTCTCTTCCTTCCTCCCCACCTCTTTCCCTCTCCCAACTTGCTTTTCCCCCTTGTCTCCATCCTCCCTCCCCACACCTCCCCTGGTGTTCTGTGATGAACGCAGTGATGCAACTTGGGGCTTGTGGGTCTTCCCCGAAGGACTTCTGGAGGGGGCTCCTCCTTGATAGCCCCCATGCTGCCTGTTACCTGCACAGTGGGGGTCTTAGAGTTCATCCTGGCCTCCTGCCTGGGAGGACCCTAGCAAGCTCCACCTTTGGGATTTCGTCCACCCCTGTCCAGTTGCTGCTTCGCTCCTCTTCTTGGTTTGGGTTTGCTGGCTTCTATTATTGGAGGTGGATCTCAGGGGATCTCGCGGGAATGCTCAGCACACGCACGGTTCATCTACTTAGGCTCCACAGTGCCTTGTTTTCTTTATGGTCAGGCATATTTTGTTTCCATATTACTGGATCCATCCAGAGTCATTTTGAAGATTTTTTCCAGTGATACTGTTGGATGATGGAGAATCTCTGGATATGTGTGGGGGCAGGTGGGCAAAGGGAGTTGGGCATGGAGGTGGATTATAACATCAAACATTCGTCTCCAGCTCTCAGAACAAACCAAAGCCAAATATCCACATTCTGAGTGTTTCTGCTTCTGCCAGGGCCGAACATCTCCCTTTTCCATTTTGTTTGTACCTTTAGGACTTGTGTCAATGACCTCCCCTCTGACCTTTCCTACATCTGAAGAACTCTTATTTTTACTTTTTATTTTTTGAGACAGAGTCATGCTCTTTCGCCCAGGCTAGAGTGCATTGGTGTGATCCGGGCTCACTGCAACCTCTGCCTACTGGGTTCAAGCGATTCTCCTGCCTCAGCCTCATGAGTAGCTGGGACTACAGGCATGCGCCACCACACCTGGCTAATTTTTTGTATTTTCTAGTGGAGACAGGGTTTCATCATGTTGGCCAGGCTGGTCTTGAACTCCTGACCTCAGGTGATCCACCCACCTCAGCCTCCCAAAATGCTGGGGTTACAGACATGAGCCACCACGCATGACCAGAACTCTTATTAAACTCATACTTTGCTTTTTGTTTCATTCAGGGTATGCTAGTTATTAAAAACAAACAACAAACAAAATCTGAGTGGCTTAAAGGAATGACAACGTAATTCTTGCTCATGTCACAGTCCATGTGGGTTGGGCACTGGAACCAAGTCCCTTCCATTGTGGCAGAAGCATCTTCAACCTGTGACCTCCTAGGGTACCAAAGAAGGATGGAGAGTGGAGGATCTCCTTGGAATGTTCCAGAGGCCAGGTCTGAGGGTGGCAGGTGTAATTTCTCACCATGTTCTTTTGGCCAGAACTCAGGCAGCTGGTCCTGCCTCTCTGCCAGAGGCACTGTAATGTAGTGAAGTTATCGGCCCAGGAAGAAAAGGGACACATTTGATGGGCACATAAGCACTGTCTCTGCTCTATTTGTTGATGCTTCACTTTGATTATATGTTGTCTAATTATCTTCATGGATGCAGAAAAGTGTTAAGGGGCCTCAGAAGTTTAATTTAAACATCTCATTTTGCAGATGAGGCCCAGAGAAGCAAGGTGACTTGCCAGGTGCAGTTTAGACTAGAATATTCCTCTTCAGATTCCTGGCCCGGAACTTACAATTCCACCCCTAAGCATTTTGCATTATTTTTACCTGACCAAGAAGCCATATACTCACTGAAGTTGGGAATTAGGTCTCTAATCCCAGCTCTTAGATTCGTGCTGGGTGTGAAGTAAACCCTATAATTGATCAGAAGTGAAGTTGCAGGGCACAAGTTTCCCTTTCCAAAGGGGAAACTCTCACGAGGACCTTTTTTATACAGAGGGAGAGGGTGAAAGAAAGAAGGCATATGGCCATATTTCACAAATCTAGGACGCCAATGTCTGAAAGATGCCCCATAATTTAGTTACCACCAAGGAAAAAAAACGCTGTAAATTAAATGTAGCAAAATGCTTTCTTATCACTTCAATTATAATTTTATACTTAGTAATAGAGCTAATATAGGTTTAATAAGATAGATTTGTTAAACTGGAGTTACATATCCATAAAATTCACCATTCCAACCTTTTTTTGGGAGGGAGGGGGTCTCTCTGTCACCCAGGCTGGCATGCAATGGTGTGATCATGGCTCACGATAGCCTTGAACTCCCAGGCTCAAGTGTTCCTCCCACCTTAGCCTCTTAAGTAGTTGGGACCACAAACACGCACCACCATGCCTGGCTAATTTTTAAAAATTTATTTTTGTACAGACAGGGTCTCACTGTGTTGCCAGGGTTGCTGTCAAGCTCCTGGGCTCAAGCAATCCTCCCACCTTGGCCTCCCAAAGTGCTGGGATTACAGGCATGAGTCACTACCCCCAACCTTCAACCATTTTCTAAGTGCAGAGTTAAGTGGCATTAAGTACATTTACATTGTTATGCAACCATCACGCTTTATCTCTAGAACTTTTCTGTCTTTTCAAACTGAAATTCTGTACCCATTAAACAATTCCCCAGTAACTCCTCCTCTGAGCCCCTATTACCCACTACTCTATTTTGTGTCTCTATGGATTTGACTATTCCAGGTACCTCATGTAAGTGGAATCATACAGTAGTGGTCCTTTTGTGAGTTGCTGATTTTGTTTAGCATAATGTCTTCGAGGCTCTTCCACATTGTAGCCCATGTCAGCGCTTCCTTCCATTTTAAGGCAGAATAATAATATTCCATTGTGTATATGCACATTTTGTTGTCCATTCATCCATGGATGGGCACTCAGGCTGCTTCTGGCTAGTGTGAATAATACCGCTACGAACATGGGTGCGCAAATATCTGTTTGAATCCTTGCCTTCAGTTACTTTGGTATATAGCCAGAAGTGGAATTGCTGGATCATGTAATTCTATATTTCATTTTCTGAGGAACTTCCCTACTGTTTTCCACACTGGCTGCCCCATTTTACATTCCCACCCATAGTGCAGGGGGTCCCCCTTTCCCCACACCCTTGCCAGTACTTACAATTTGCCATTTTAAAATAATAGCCGTCCTAATTGGACATAGATTTTTATCACATAGCACTCTTGCAATTGTGTAAAAATGAAAATATAAGTGAAATTAATCATTTCAGGCATTGCTTAAACTTCTTTGCATCCAGTCTGACTTTCCTGAGGCACTGTGTGATTCAGAGAAGGTGACATTTTCCTGCCCAATGTTATGCTCTGTGCTGTAAGACCATCAAACTCACTGGTGATGCAGCATTTTCTGAAGAAGGCCCTAAAAGCACTGGTGCTGGGCTCTTCAGCTAATGTTCTTTCTGTACAGCCAGCCCACTTGTGGCTCCTGCTTTGAGAATATTGCTAAGTATGCCTGGCTTACCATCTAAATACCATCTCCCTACCATGTCCTGGCAACCCCTTAGCTCCCAGGAGTTTAAACAGCACTCCACTCTGACGTCGGAGAGTTTCGTCCCAGCAGCTGATCTCTATTCTGCATGGTTTTGATGCTGGTATTTTAGATGTCAGTGCCTGCCCAGGACTGTTGACAAAAGACATACGATGTCATTGATTGCAAGGCGTGTCTTAATTCCCGAAAGGTTAAAGTAAAAAAAGAATGTTTGTCTTAGAAAGGATGACATATATTGATAAACTATTATAGGTAAGTATTGTATTTTGTACATGGATCACTTGATAGGAAGCCTCTGCTGTAGCTCAGCCCCTCATTTAAAATTACCATTTAATAACTTGGTGAGCAGGGCAAGGAGGGCACAGCCCACCTCATTGAATGAGACTAGAGCCCCTTTCCTCCTGGAGTCACATGAGCAGGGGTAGCAGTGCTGTCCCAACAGGTGGAGAAGGTACACTGGGTGACCTGCAGGGTGTGGAGCCTGTTACTCTTGGAGACAGAGTTTAGTCTGGTCCTTTGTAGAAGAACAAGGCCTATATGGAACAAACATGAAGGCTTTTTCCAGCCATGAGACAGGGGAGTGGACATCATTTGTGCACTGAAGAGAGTCAGTTGTTCTTTCTGATGTGTGAAACAATTTTTTTCATCTCTGTCAATACTTTTGGAAAAGGTTAACCCTTTAATTTGTCCCTGAACTCTGTTCTGGGTTTATTTACTGTGCCGCAGGATCATAAAGAAGTGTGCAACCTGGAACCTGTGCATCTGGATTACTCCTGGGACATTTGAAGGAAATGAATGACAAGGTAGAAACATCCAAAACAATCATGAAAACAGAGAAAAAGATCCCAGGAGAGAAAAATTTAGAAAATTCGTTAAACCCACGATGATGAATTTATCATTCATTTGCATTTTTATAATTGGAAAATATAATATAGTTAGAAAGAAGTGTATTAAAAACACACATTCCAGTAAGTCATAATTATAAAGCCCACGGATCAATAACTGGAATGCAGTTAGCATCCTAGAAACCCAGCCCTGCGTGCCCCTCTGCCCTACCCGCCTGCTTGTTGCCCATGTACCTCGCAGCTTGAAGCTCTTGGCTCCAGGCAGGACTGGCTTCATGGATGCAAAACCTGCCCAGGCCCATGGGGCCCCACTCTTGGAAGGGTCCCAGGCTGGATATTTGATGCTCTGCTCTCACCAGCTTTAAATTCTTTTTTTTTTTTTTTGATCCAGAGTCTTGCTCTGTCAGCCAGGCTGGAGTGCAGTGGCGCGATCTCGGCTCACTGCAAGCTCCGCCTCCTGGGTTCATGCCATTCTCCTGCCTCAGCCTCCCAAGTAGCTGGGACTACAGGTGCCCGCCACCACACCTGGCTAATTTTTTTGTATTTTTTTTAGTAGAGACGGGGTTTCACTGTGTTAGCCAGGATGGTCTTGATCTCCTGACCGCGTGATCTGCCCGCCTCAGCCTCCCAAAGTGCTGGGATTACAGGCATCAGCCACCACGCCTGGCCCACCAGCTTTAAATTCTTAATAGTTCTTTGAACTTGTGTTTTGCAAGTCAAGTCCAATGTGGCAATGGAACATTCATGTAAACAGAGGAGATGTACGTAGGGAAGTGAAAACCTTTTTATTTTACTACCTTTTTCTTTTTTGAGACAAAGTCTCACTGTTACCCAGGCTGGAGTGCAGTGGCATGATCTCGGCTCTCTGTAACCTCTGCCTCCTGGGTTCAAGTGATTCTCCTGCCTCAGCCTCCTGAGTAGCTGGAATTACAGGTGCACGCAACCATGGCTGGCTAATTGTTGTATTTTTAGTAAAGACGGGGTTTCAACATGTTGGCCAGGCTGGTCTTGAACTCCTGACCTCAAGTGATGCTCCTGCCTTGGCCTCCCAAAGTGCTGGGATTACAGCTGGGTGTGGTGGTGAGCCATCACACTTGGTTGTATTTTAGTACCTTTAATGCCACTTTTTTCCTTCTTTTTGGACAAGGGGCTTCATGTATTCATTTTGCACTATGCTCTGTCAATTGATTACAGAGCTGGTTCTGGCAATAGAAATACTTTTTGCAAAAAAAAAAAAAAAAAAAAGAAAAGAAAAGAAAAGAAGGAAAAGATAAAAAAAGGAAGGAAGAAAAGAAAAGAAAAAAGTTAACTGGCAATTCTTGTTAAGGAAACCTGTGGATATTTTCTACTGACCCAGCTGGAGGCAGACCTCCAGCTACTTCGGTGGTAAGGGAAGGGATGACCACTCAGCAATTCATCTCAGTCACTGAACAAACATAAGGGCCAACCATACGAAAGGTGCTGTGACAGATTAAGGAAGAGTTTCCTCAGGGAACTGAGTTTCTGGGACAAAATAAAAGATACATTTTCCTCCCCAACTCTTATTTTGCCTGTCAGTGTCCCTCTATTGCACCACAGTGGGAGTGATCCTTCAGATTTAGGACACTTCTGTCCTTAAAGCCTTTCAATGGCTTCCCAGTGCCCTCGGGATAAAGTGCAAACTTCCTAACCAGTGGTGATTACTCCATACATTTCCTGCAGTAATTATCAGACAACAGAACTCATAATGGGTCAACAATAAGAAAATTTCATACCTCACAGAACAAGAAGTGCAAGGAACAGAAGCTTCAGAACCACTTAATTCTTCAGCCCAAGGATCCCATCATGGACGAAATTCTCTGCATCTGGCCACTTTGCCTTCCAGCACATTGATTCTTCTTCTGAGGTTGGTTTTTCTTTTGATCCTAAGATGTAGCCAGAATATACCCACAGGGGAATAAAGGCAAAAGGCAGGGAGGGGACCTTTGTTCCTGTGCCACTCTTAGTTATTAGGAAAACCTCTGTAGAAAGCTCTTTTCCCCATTGTCTTCTCCGCAAGCACAGCATTGCATTCTTTTTAGTGTGAAACCAATCCCTGGAGTGGTCATGGGATATTACCATGATTGGCTTAGATCTTGGAGTGGGGAGGGGCCTCACCTCCTCTCAGTGACTTGCTGCTTCCTAATTAAATAACTTAGGTTCCAGTTGTGAAGAAGTATAGCCAGGGGTAGCGCAATCAGCAGTGCCTCCCACACTGGCCCAGCCAGACCTTCTCTACCAGCCCCGCTTGCTCACTCAGCCTCTCCATGACCATGTCTCCTTCATGTCCCATTCCTCAGCCAATAAAATTCCTCTTCTTTTCTCAACCTGCCAGCTCTGACTTTGTTTGCGGTGTTTGCTCATGCTGTTCTTTTTACCTGGAATTCTCTTTCCACTGAAGCACCTATCCCCAGCCCCCACCACACGCACTCACATATGTGTGTGTACACTAACACACACACACACACACACACACACACACACTGACCTCTCTACCCGGCTAACTCTTGCTTGGCCTTTAGGTCTATAGTTGAAGCCAGCAATGGGAAGTTGGCAGCCTCTGGTCTCTTGACATATTGCATTTGGTTTCATCAGTGTTTTTCTATTTTTGGATTAGTTCTGGACATTTAAAAATAAAAACCCAGTGTTTTGGACGTCTCTTGAAAATTGGGAACAGACACCAGGTCCACATGGTCTCAGCACTCCATTGTGTTACTGGACCGACCTGGAGTCTGCTCACCTGGTGCAGTAAGACCAAACATTCACACTGAGGTTTTGCAGTAGGAGAAAGGAGGGTGCCAAGCAAGGAGAACTGGGCAGCTCACGCTTAAGACTTGACCTCCCTGATGGCTTGCAAGCAAGAGTTTTTAAAGGCAGGGGTAGATTTCAGGAAAGCAGAAGTTATGGGCAAAATCGTAAATCAATGCATGCAGGTTACACATTGGTTTGGCCTAAAAAGGTGGGATATCTTGAAGGTGGGGAAGGCCTTACACATCATAGGTGGATTCAAACATTTTCTGATTTGCAATTGGCTAAGGAAGAGAAGCTTTGTCTAGAGACTTGGAATCAGCAGAAAAGAATGTTGGGTGTGGCCCGTGGGCCTCATTTCCTCCAGGCCCCTCAGGAAGAAATTTAGAACAAACAACGGTGGTCAGAGTTTAGTCCGCAGTTTCCTCTTATCTGAGGTCTATAGGCCAGCAGATCCATTTGGTGAGGGCGGGGTTTCTGAGGAACAACTCAGGGACATACGTTAAGATGTTATCTTTAGTTTCCACAGGGAACCAAACATCTTGTGATTTTTAACTTCCATTGGCTATTGTTTTAAGCTGCTATCACCTTCTTGCTTACCAAGTTGCTCATTTACTTTCTCAGGGCTAGCTAGGTTCCTAGAGTTTCCCTTGAAGGAACTCAAGACTTTATTTTATTTCCATGTATGATAGGGAGTCGGGAGGGACAAAAGAATGGGTCCTTGTTCCTTCTCAATTGCTTCTCCTGGGGCTAAGGGACAAGAAAAGGAAACAGTCCTGTTGGAGCAAGGAGGCAGAGTTGTGGACCTGCTTATAATTGGAGGCCTGGCCCCAAGGTATGGAAGAAGGAAGAAGAAATTCCCTCTTTTTCTTCATGCCTTCCAATCTCTTGCCAGCCTCTCCCATTGGCTGAACTCAACCAGAAGTCCTGCCAGCACAATGCATTTTGCAGAGGGCAGCCTACTACTGGGGCACACACCGAACAGAGCAGAGGAAGGGAGAGAAGTGATCTGGGTGGGGAGCAAGCAGACAGCAACCAATGCAAAGTCCTTCCAAGAAGAGCTCACCCTGGAGCTGAAGCAGAAGTATGGAGGAAAAGTATAGAGGAGAAAATCCTGTTTTCAAGATTTTTGGTTGTTGTTGTTGTTCCTTTAGAGCTTTTCTGCTGTTGATGCTGTTGTTTAGTTTGGCTTATTTATCAGTTATCGTTTTATATATGGGGAAGTTGCTGTCTGGTTTGCAGTTATTAGCACATGTAAATGTGTCTGCTGAGCCAGCTACCCCTTGTAAATCACAGATAATGTCTTCATTCACCAAGGCAGAGGAGCTCTATTTAACATTTGGCCTTGGGAGTAAAAATCAAAATGAGGTGCTCAGTAGTGTGGGGGTTTTGTCTTGTTCTTTCAATGACTGAGTGCATTCACTGATGGTCAGACCTCCACAACGGCATGTGCAGCACGTGCTGTTTCCAATGCCACAGGGAAGGGTGGAAACTACTTTTGTGATCAATCTAGATTTCCCTGTAGCTCTGAATTAAACAGAAAACTTGCATAAATCTCCTCCTTTCAAAACATAATTCTCTTAAAAAATGAGATTTAGATTGGCTTGGTCCTTCTGTTTCCTGAGACAGAAGGAACATTCGGTAGATTTGGTTCCTCCACCACTGTAGGGAGAACGGCCGGGGTTCGATTTCTGCACTTTGGGGAATGAACCTGGGCATAGACTTAGAGGAACTAAGATCCCATTGTTATTCAAACTATGCAAGTTTAGAATGTAAAGTTTGGAGTAGATTTCTTACTGTGATTTAGTCAGAAAAATCTCAAACCCTATGTCTCTCCACCAGAAGTTCTGAAAAATGAGACCACGACAATAGGCGTGCACTCTGTTGCCTCCCCAGTAAACACCCAGGGGCCAGGCACTGTGCAGGTTCCCAGCTATGACTGGAATAACAGACACACCTGGTGACCACATTGAAGGGGCTCAGGTGGTGCTGTTTATGCTTAAAGTGCAGAGAACAAGTTCCAGAGCTCTGTTGTGCAACACAGTGCCTCTAGTTAATTATGCAGTTCTGTGCACTTGAACATTAAGAGGGTAGAGCTCATGTTAAGTGTTCTTACCACACACACAAAAGGCGGTAAGAAGGCAAAAGACATTTAAAGAACTTGAAGGCAGCAAAGGTGCTTTTAAAAGCCTTTAATGAGAGCTTATACTAAAGGATTTTGACCTGGAAAACAGATTGATTTCCAATTCTCTATTGCTTTGTGCTGTCAATGCTGGCAGTCTCAAGGAGGCTATTCTCTGTATGCTGTAATTTTTAAGATTATGTAGATTTAAAAAATGAGTTATGTATGTCTACGCCACATGCATTTCAAAGGAATACTTTAAAAATCACCCCAGCAGGATGTTGATATCCCATGGGTTGTGGAGGGCCATGGTGCATCCATCAGAACTGGAGTGGAGAGACTTGGGTTCTAGCGCAGGGCTTTTGACCCTGAGCAGTGGCGGAGCCTCTCTGTGGCTTAGTCTCTCAATGACAAATCTATGATGCACCTCCCTGCCTTGCTTGTCTCACTGAGGGCTGATGGGGACAGAGTGAAAGCTTGTTCAAGTGCTTCAAGCAGCACAGAGCATCATACAAAGGCAGTTTGCTAGGCATACGGGGCTATCACCTGGTTTGACTCCTAGGGGAGTTGGAAGGAGGAGGGGGCGTGGAAAGGATGGGCTGTTCCGCAGCAATGCAGTGCGTCTTGGCTGCTCATATGGCAGCTGGTTTGGGCAGATGTTGAAGGAGGTGAGCCGTGGGTACACCCCTAGCTAGTGATGCCAGCCCCTCCCTGATCCCAGAAGCTCTAAGCCCTGTTTTATCACTAATCATGGCGTATGGTAAGAACAGGGGTCATCTCCGGACTACAGGCAACGTGAGCTGCAGTGTTTTTCTTTCATCTCAAGTGTGTTGCCCTGATGTAAACATATGTGGGTTGGGACTCCCAAACCATGGCAACCTGAGGCTGTGGTCAAGGAGGTATGGGTCTGCTGGTTGCTTTGCTTACGACTCCCTAAACCCTCTTTCCCCCACCCCACAATGTCCTTCTAGCTTCCTGGCAGGGCTCCCAGGTTAGTCCCATGTGGTCCTTTAGGGTACTTTGCCTCTGAAGTCAAGACACTACCCTTTCTTGTTCACTGTCAGCAGCCTCCAATGCCTCTGCCTTCCTACGGGGCTGGTGACATGGCGTGGCCCTTGTGCAACTTTTGGTTTGGCCATGGCTTTGATCTCTCTTGTTAATGTTGTCTCCTTAGTCACCCCTCATTGCCAATGCTGGGCCTGCCTCCCTCTACATAATCCTGGCCGTATCCCTTGTGCAGGGCAAAGACTCTCTGTCTGTGTTAAGACCTAAAAAAAATTAAGTTGTCCAACAGGGAGGCTTAGAGTCTTACAGTGACCCTAGGCTGCAACACTTTTCTTTTTCTCTTTTTTTTTTTTTTGAGATGGAGTTTCACTCTTGTTGCCCAGGCTGGAGTGCAAAGGTGCGATCTTGGCTCACCGCAACCATCTCCTCTCAGATTCAAGTGAGTCTCCTGCCTCAGCCTCCTGAGTAGCTGGGATTACAGGTGTGCGCCACCACCCCCAGCTGATTTTGTCTTTTTAGTAGAGCTGGGGTTTCTCTATGTTGGTCAGGCTGGTCTCAAACTCCCGACCTCAAGTGATCCATCCGCCTTGGCCTCCCAAAGTACTGGGATTACAGGCGTGAGCCACCGCGCCCGGCCGCTGCAATGCTTTTCTTTTTCTCCGTCTTTCATTTCAGTGTAGTGATCCCACCCCCTTCCCGCTGGGGCCTTCGTTTAAATTCCCTGAGGGTGGACTTCAAAATTGTTCCCTCCCATCTTTCCGGACTGGGATATGATAACTGCTGTTCCCAGGCCCACGGTGGGCATTTTATCCCCATCTGATCTCCTCCCAGAAAAGCCGAGAGGAGGCCCTTTCCTTTCTATCCCCGGACATGTGTGAGGGCCCCAGCTGCAGGGTGGCCGTGACACCCTGGATCCTGCAGGCCTCTCTGCCCACTTGGGGAGACGTGATGCGCAGAGCCGGACAAGCACACTGTCCTTTAAACTTACCCTGTAAATTGAACTTCAGGCCAAGACAAATATGGAGTTTTGAGCTCAAACCTATTAAAGGGATTTATGTGTGACTAAAAATAGAGAAAAATTCATTACATTCTTTTCTTGTAAGAAGCTGGATTTGCTTTGCCAAGTGTGTCTCAGAAAGTGCATCTTTTTTTTCCTGTCAATAGTTTCATTTGCTGCCATTCCCAGCAGGGCAGATTGTCCATTAAATAATCACAATATAAGGAAATCCTCAATAAAATAAAATCTTAGCTCAAGAGTACATAGGTACACCTCGCTTTAAAGAATAGAGATGTTCTTCAAAGTGGCTTTTCGGTAAAACAACTAAGAAATACCAGAAATGCACCAGAGGGAAATAAAAAATGTGGCTCTGACTCTAGACAAGAGGAGAGGTTGGGGTGCGGGCAGCAGCAGCCTGGGGGAGGGGCAGAGCTCATGCCTGGGCCTGGCTGTGGCTCCAGGAAGCTGGACGCCGCCGCCTGCTCCTGGGAGGCTGCTGCCCAGAAGGCCAGCAGGGAGCTCGGGCCCCTCTTCCCCGCCCTCTCCCTTCCTCGCCTGCTTTGCACCATTATCAGCCCAAGGCAGAAACAGTGAGAGATGGGAAGCTGCCTTGGAGATGATCACAGAGCCAATAGGAGAACAGCCTTGCTTCATGGACAATTTACAGCAGCTGTCTGAAGCACAGTTGCTTCTGGAATGCAAGGCACAATGGGTACAGCTCGGAGGAAGGCATTTTATGTACTAGAAATTTCTGTGCTGAGCTTGGGAAGCTGCCTTTTAGACACACAAATGGCTTATATAACCCAGAGGTCAGCTGGGGCCTCTGTGTCCTTGGAGAGCTCTGAAGAGGCTGTCCTGTGAGGTAAAGGTGGCTTCACAAACTCCCCCTTTTCAGTGGCCTCCTGCTGACTCCTGCCACCCCCAGACTGACTCTAGGTGTGGGTCCCACCTGCCTTTGGCTCCTGTGTCACCTGTCCTGAGGAAGAGTCAGATATGGAATCCCCCAGGCCCTCCCCCTGAAATCCATTTACGCAGAGGCAGCACAAGGCACCCTGAGGACTTATCTGAAGGAGGTGGTCAGGGTCACAGTTCCAAAATCCCCACAGGCTCTCCTTTAGCGGTGATGGACATGTTTTAAGACTGGAAAGGGTGACGGCTGCGTGCTTCTGGGGAGATATTAAATGCTCCTGAGTTGTGCTATATAATTTTAAATGCTTCATCTTACATGTATCTCACCTTAATAAAAAACAGAAACTAAAACATTTTCCCTGCAAACCTGCCCTCGGCAGAGCACAGCCCTTCTCCCCCTCGTCCTCCCTGCTCTGCCTGGGGCACCCGCATTTGCCCTCACCCCCTCCTCAAGAGGCTCAGCAACTCAGGGCCTGGCCGGGCACGGTCACGCCTCCTCACAAGCAGTCAGTGAAGGATGGTCCTTTCAGTCTGTGCCCTGGACTTAGCTGGAGGAAGGTTTAATTTTTAGTGAGCCAGCAGCTTCTGTGGCACTATCTCCCAGATGGGGCTGGGCCCCAGTGAGCGGGATAGACAGATCCTAGCCTCAAAACTCCTCAGGTTCTCAGAGGAGAGCTTGTCAGTGCACCTCCGTGGTCGGTTGGGGGCTCTGAAGTTGGATGGCAGCCCTGGAAGGCAGCCTGCCGTGGCTTCTGCCCTGCTCAGGGGCCTGTGCCTGCCCTCCAGGCTGTGGTCTCAGCCTCTCCCCTCTGTGAATGAGGCGATTCTGCTCGCCTCATTGGTGATGGGACATGGCCAGCACACAGTGAGTGACAGTGAGTATCAGAGATCACCCTTCTTCCGCCTTGGAGCAGGGCCAGCAGAGGGACTCAGCTGTGTGGGGTTTTGACCTGAAGTTCCTATGGCATGACCAAGTATATTCACCTTCATTCTCAGCATTCCAAGGGAACCTGCCCAATATGGACTCAGGCATTGGGGTCCCTGGGATGGCTAGGCTGCCTGGAGAGCAAGCGGCTGGAGGTCCCTGGGCCTCACCATCAGTGCCTTGCAAGGCAACTGGATCTTGGTTAATTGCTTATATTTATATTAATTACAGTTTACAAAACACTTTCACAATAATTTTCTCACTTGTTTTCACAACCACCCCAGGAAGCAGATTTCATCTTCATATTTAGAGATGAGAAAGCTGAGACTCGAAGAGGTGAGGTGACTTGCCTAATGTCACACAGCAAAGAGCAGAAGCAAGAGTCCAAACCAGGCACCTGACTCCCCAAGTGACCTCCTAGGCAGGAGCTCTGTCCATGAGATTGTCCTTAGCAGGGCTCTGCCATGGGCCCGGCACTGGGATGGGGTTTGGAGGGACTAATGGAAGCGAGGTTCACATGGATCTTGTCCCCGTGAAGCTTACAGTCTCCATAAAGGCAGCTGAAGTTCAGCAGTTCCTGGCCCAAATGGTCACCAAGACATAGTCCTCAAATCTCCAGGTCATGTGTGATCATTTTATTTTCTTCAAGAGCATATTGTGATGGTGAGCTGGCCACTGTGAGAAAAGTGGTGGCCGGCTGCTAAGGTTTGGATCTGTGTCCCCACCCAAATCGCATGTTGAAATGTAATCTCTAGTGTGGAGGTGGGGCCTGGTGGGAGGTGATTGGATCATGGGGGCGGTTTCTCATGATTTAACACCATCCGCCACTTGGTGCTGTCATCATGATAGTGAGTTCTCATGAGAGCTGGTCATTTAAAAGTGTGTGGTACCTCCTTCCTCCCTCTTCCTCCTGCTCTGGCCATGTGAAGTGCTGGCTTCCCTTTGCCTTTGCCTTCTGCCATGATTGTAAGTTTCCTGAGGCCTCCCCAGAAGCTGAGCAGATGCCGCCGTGCTTCCTGGACAGGCTGCAGAACGGTGAGCCACTTAAACCTCTTTTCTTTATAAATTACCCAGTCTCAGGTATTTCTTTGCAGCAGTGAAAGAATGGATCAATACACCGGCCCTCGGTGCGGTCAGGGAGGTGGCCCAGCGGAGAGCAGCCTGAACCCAAGGCAGAGTCAGGGACCCGGCTCCCTAAGCCTCTGCTCAGTTTTCTCATTGGCCAAATGGAAAACATCAGAGTATCTGCCTCCTAAGCATATTCTAAAGATTGAATGAGAAAATCTACATAAAAATATTTAGCTAGCACAGTGTCCAAAGTTGTATTACCACCCACTCAGGCAAGCTTGGCTCCATGTTAATCATCTTCACTAACGGGCATTAGCTGATCCTACAAGTTTTGCAAATGATTGTGTCCTATGGGATTCACTACTTCACGTGCAATTAACCACTCAAAGTTGGATGTCCTTTATTTTTATATATGCATTTAGGCATAGATAAAAAATGTAGAGTACTAAAAACACTACCATAATGAATAGCAGACAACGAAATTATTCCTTGAGAGCTTTTTTTTTTCTGAATCCTCCAGCACAAAAGACATTTGGAGGAGAACAATTTAATTATAAAAGCATTTTTTTTACATCTACTATTTCATTTATTGTCAGATTAGGGGATAGACCTTAATTATAGTTTTTAATAAGTATTCTTAACCTGTTGCATATCTATGGTGTTTTTCAAAGTTACTACAATACAGTAAATAATTCTCAACAGATTAAGAAGGTAATAACATATTCCTTTTAAAGAAAGATATTGAGAAATATGTAAGAAATGATAGTCTCCTATTCTCATGTCTGTGTTCACTACCCACGTGTTTTCTGGGAAGAAATATGAAATAAAATGATTTTCAAAAGAGAGTCCTTCTCAAACAAATACTGACGGTTAACTGCTTTTACATATAATGGCAAGTTGAGTCAGCCACCATTTTTAATAAAACTGATTAATGACTAAGTGTGGACAAAACAGGGAAGTGAGTAATCAGGTGGAATTTATGCTATCCTAAAGCCGGAATAAAAGTCTATGAGATGGAAAAAAAGTCTTTAGGGGCTTGGCCAAGTTCTTAAATAATTGGGAGGCTGAGCAGAGGGGCCGCTCTCAGGAATCAGCATCCAGTTGCACAGACAGAGCCTATTAAAAATTAAGAAAATAGTTTGAGATGACTATTTTAAGCGTTATGAATTGCCAAATGGCAAATGCCTAGCTGAACAGATGACTGGTTTGGATTCTTAATAGCCAATTGTAAAGGAAATGGACCACAACAGGCTTTCAGACACAGAAGTGGCCGTCCGTGCTGAGACCGAGGTGTGGGGTACATCTAAATGTAAGGATCAGCAGTTCCCCAGAGAGCAAACGTGAAAAGCTCAAGTCTAATTTCCCATCATTGTTGAGCATTTTCCAGAAAATTAAGGGCCAATCTGGAGCTGGAGATAGGAGTGTAGGGAGCATCTGCATTGGACTGAGTCTTAGAGTTGGGGAAGCCCAGGGACGGGGTGAGACTATTTTAGGCGTTATTTAACAGTCTAATAATTCGAGGGGTTTTTAAGACCATTGTATTAATCATGCTTTTTCTTGTCCATATTTCCTGGTGCTTTGACATCTTGGGGCCCTGCTTGACTCTGAAGAGACTGCCCCTTCCAGGGCTGGCCAAATCCTAGAGATAGTAAGTGACTTGCCTTTACTACGCCAGTAAGCTATAATCACCCAAGGCCAAGTACCAGACAACCCAGGAAGGCATCTACACCCCAGAGCCTGCTGAAATTATTCAGACCAGCCAATCCTAAGCCTGCCTACACTGCCTTGTCCTTTCCTTCCTGCAGAAACCACAATAAAGGCTGTCACCCATGTTTCCCCCTCAATCTCTCTACCTCCTGACAGCCCCTGGTACTTCCCATGTGGCCCTGCATGGCATGGCCTGTCCTCACTTCTCGGGAACTGTGAGTAACAAACTATCTTTTCAATGGCTGTCATCTCCTGATCTCTAGGCCTCACCATACTGGAACAATACTAAAACCTACATTTTAAAACAGCCACATCAAAATGTACTCAGCATCAAAGAAGCCCTATTAAAGTGTCATGTATCCAGAGAGGGCAAGGCCAAAAAGTGACTTTGGGCTCCATCCTGGGGGCCTTACATGCCTGCACGAGGCAACTGCACTTCATGCCTGGGACAGTGGGAAGCTTCTGCAAACTCCTGAGCATACAGACAATGACCACAGATGTCCTTGAGGAAGACCAACCTGGCCCTAGACTGTAGGATGTACTGTAGAGGCAGGGAGACCAGAGAGGAGGCTGCAGTAGCTGCCTAGGCAAGAGAGTCCAGTCCTGTACCTGGCAGAGGGAATCCAAAGGACACTGTAGATCAGAAAGGACATGATTTGCCAATGAATGGAACGTGGTGAGCAGTGGAGGAAGAATCATAATGACCCAGGGCTTCCAAATGCCAGCCTCTGGAAAGAGAGGGGAAACTGAGGCAGAAAGGGAGGTTCTGGAAAGATGAGAAGGTTTGCAAGTAAGGGATCATTAATTCCTTCAGTTCCTCTTTTCAAACCTGGGTGATGGTCATCATCACATCACGTGTGCCTCATCCAAGCATGTGCGGAGCTCCTTCAGGCCCTGTCCTAGGTGCTGAGGAGAAAGTGGTTGAACGGACAAGCCAAAGTGCCCATCTGCACAGAGCTTATATCCTGGGGGTGGGGCTGGGGAGAAAGGAATGGAAATACACGCCTTTGTTTCTTTCGAGAGCATTATGACCTAGGAACTGCAGGCCAACCATGCTCTTCTCCAGCGATTTGCTATTCATTCACCCCTGAAAACAGGTTCCCATCTGCTTCATCAACCTCACTCACACTGACATGAAGATATCATTAGAGCTTTTAGCAGGAAAGCTGGAGTCAGTTATAGCCAACTTAGAAATCCATGTTTATTTTTTTTTCTCCTTCAGGTTATCAAAGACGTGTTCCTAAAGAGAGCCAAGGTGTCCCACAACTATCAGTCAAGTGCGAGCGGGTGACCTGCTACCCGCTAAAGAGAGGGATTTTTCAGTTGTTACTCATTCTTAGTTCCTAGCACCGGGGCTAAGAAGCCCACCCTCCCAGCTCCAAGGACCTCTCTCATTTATATGGCGTATACCTTTCTTTTTTTTTCTTTCTTTTGTTTTACTTTTTTGGAGATAGAGTCTTGCTCTATCCCCCAGGCTGGAGTGCAGTGGCACGATCTTGGCTCACTGCAACCTCCGCCTCCCAGGTTCAAGGGATTCCCATACCTCAGCCTCCCGAGTAGCTGGGATTACAGGTGCATGCCACCATGCCCAGCTAATTTTTTGTATTTTTAGTAGAGACAGGGTTTCACCATGTTGGCCAGGCTGGTCTTGAACTCCTGACCTCAAGTGATCTGCTCACCTCGGCTTCCCAAAGTGTTAGGATTACACGTGTGAGCCACCGCACCTGGCCAGCACGTAACTTTCTATTTGTTTTTCTTCTGCCTTCAGAATAATCATTTTGCTTCTGATTTCTTCTCTGACACTAAGACTGGGAGTCACAGGTCAAGAGGAAAACCACAGATTAGGAACAAAGAGGAATGCACTAATGGGCAAGAACATATAAAGCTTACAAATAATAGGTTGAGAGCTTTTCCAACTGTCCGTCTTGCCTCTGCCCTCTGAGGTTGGAGGTCGGCAAATGTGTTCTGGCTGTGGGTAAAAACTGCTGTGTTTTCCTCGTTGACCTAAGTGCCATAAATGCGTCCTCCAGGTTCTCTCATTAAAGATGAATTTGGGTAGATTAGAGATGGGGAAAAAAAAACAGCGGAAGGTAAAAGGTTTTCATCACTTAATAATACCAATTTTATCATCACTTAGCATAACTTATTTCTGCCAATTTTATCATCACTTACAATAACTTCCATTAGGGTAATAAGGCATTAAGTATATGTTGATTGCAAATAATCTGGTTACATTCACTAATTATATGGAGACTGATTTTTTTCCTGTTTGAAATATAATTTTAAAACATCTCTACTTCCTAAAAACAGGACATATCAAAGTAAGGAGACACATATGCTGTGGAGATAGAAAATGAAATTCTTGTGTATTTGGCAAGTGCCTGATTACAAGATGAAAATAGACGGAGAATTCATCTGCAGAAATAAAGAATGTAAATGGCTTGCTGCGGCTGATTTGCTCTCACCTTCTCTCCCTTGGGGTCAAATTAATATATTTACTACTGATAAGGTGTTTTATATAGCAGAGGTGTTGGTGCTCAAATGCCATCTCACAGAGTAGGGGGCTGCTCTGAACACATGCTCTTTAGAGAGATTAAGTATAAATTGCCAGGCTCGGAATTTTATGAGTCTTCCATAGCTGTGAAGTGCTGGTTTAGGTAGGGGATAGAGAGGCTTTGGATGCATTAGATTGTCATTTAGAGCTGCTATAAAATTTTGTAAGCCTGTCCATTCTAACCCAGCTTTCAGATGGCTATCATCACTCAACGGTAATAATGACACTACTAGTATGACTAGCAAGTTGCAACTTGAAGATTGACACATATGGACTAAATTCAAACTATTGTTTCCAACTTGATAAAACACCCCTTGGCTGTTTGCAAGTTTATGAGATCACAAATGCCCTGTGCATCCAAACCAGAGCTAGATTTTCAGAGATGCCATTTTTGGTATTTCTGGAATTGGAAGTAGTTTCCTATCAGCCAGCCACAGACATTTTCCAATCTATTTTTCAGTAAAGTGTTCAGATTTTTTTTTTTTTTTGGCTTAGAAGAAATAAAAAATGACTCAGATTTCAATTAAAAACATAATGATAATGATAGTTTGCACTGTGTCATATTTTCAACTATTTAAAAACAATTTTGTGTTTTTGCTCGCTTTTAAAGATCCTGAGCGTGAGGAGAATTTGTGTGATTTATTGCACTTTATAGATTAAACAGGCATTCGCTCCATTTTACAGACAAGGAACTGAGGCTTAGAGAGACCAGTGACTTGCTCAAGGTCACGCATCAAGTAAGTGTCAGCATGAAGACTGGGAGGCTCCAGGTGTCCTGCTCTGCAGCTTTCAACCGTAGCACATGAAATATGGATGATAGGAAATGCAAACCACTCCTTTCACTGTTAACTAAACCACAATGCACTTTCACCGCAATCTTCATGAGTATGGCTCTTACAGAAGGCTGTGACCTTTCGTATGAGATCTGGTCAGCCTGGGCCGATGTGAGGGCCTGTCAAGCTCACGGGATGGTGTCTTTATGTTTTGCACACTTGCCGTCAGATCAGTGTGAAGAGGTGTCTGAGACAGCCAAAACTGGGCTGCCTCTATGTTTGGAGAGTGGGGCACATGTGAAGTGGCTGCGGGGACACCAGCTGTGCCACAGCATTGCCAAGGGCCTTCAGGGCTCATTGACTGCACCTAGAGGCATCTCTCAAGTTGCGCAGTCACTGTGGTTTCCTTCCTAAAAGTAATGAAAGGTGGGAATAAGTTCTGTCTCCCTGAAGGTTTCCAGACAGCAAATAAGAAACCTAGCACAGGCTGGGGCACTGTAACTCACGCCTGTAATTGCAGCACTTTGGGAGGCTGACGGGGGAGGATCACTTGAGACCAGGAGTTCTAGACCAGCCTGGGCAACATAGCGGGACTCCATGTCTATAAACAATTTAAAAATTAGCCAGGCATGGTGGTTGCATGCCTGTAGTCCCAGTTACTTAAGGGGCTGAGGCAGGAGGAGTGCTTGTGCCTGGGAGGTCAAGGCTCCAGTGAACCATGATTGTGCCACTGCATTCCAGCCTGGGTGACAGAGTGAGACCCTGTCTCAAAAACAAAAAAACAAAACTAGCATAATTCAAATTTGAATATGCCCTAAGATAGGATAAGTATGTCCCTTCTGATTGCAGATTGTTACCTGAGGGTGTATGCATTCCCAATGACATTGCTACTATACTTGATATCTCACCTTGGGAGAAAAAAAAAGGTCAAGAAAGTTTAAGTCAAAAAAAGTCATAGTCCAAGGAGGAGAGCTTTCCTTGATTTCAGTCTCTCCCATCTGTGTGTGCCATCCACAATTAGAATCACACATTACAAGTTCCTGGGTGATTCCAGGGCCAAGGGAAGCAAGGTTTATATATTGCTGAGGAGAATGCTCCAACCTGAATTGTAAGATGCGTCTTGCTGTCACATTCTACTTGCATTTCTAAAACTGTAAAAAGGAATTGCTTGGCTTCCCTAAGTGTAAAATCACTAAGGTGAGATTATGTTTCCATGTTACGATGCCCCCATCACCTCTTGAGATTTACTGAGCAAGATGCCTTGTGGGAGGGGGTTTAAATGCACAGATGTAAGCCCTGCAATCCCAACACTCACAATCTTTATATTAACAAGAACATGCTTCTAATTATTCCAAATTCTGTTAAAATTAAGCCCAAATGTTCAATTTTCCACGTGTTCCTCTTAATTAGAAATGAAATGAAAGAGAAAAAGAAACCATCAAAATTATATAAATAAAAACAGATGGAAGAGAGTGTTGGAAGCTCTTTTCTATAACATTCCCTTTAATAAAATTCATTGGTTAATTTGGTTGATAAAAGCAGCGTTAAAATTAAATAAGAATTAACATACACTCGGATAAATATTTGTCGCTTCTTTCATGTGCTACCATGATAAAGGTAATTTAGCTTAAAAGCAGTCATCATCTTTCTTCATAACTGATAAAGCATTACTAATTGTGTGTGTTAATATGGTACAATATGGAATTGAATAGAGATTTTATCTTAATAACATCTCCATTAAATTAAGGACAGTGTTGTATGACAGGAAAGATAAGTCTGTTTATTCCAAGCCAGCACATCAAAAGAACAACTGTGGGAGATGGTGCAATAACTAACATTTTCTATAGTGTTCTAGCTGGCAGCCTCACATTTATAAGGCTTGTAAGCAATGTTGTAAGCAATGCTGTTTTGTGAGATAATCTAGATAATGTTTCATTGAGAAAAGTGATATTTTAATTATGGTGTAAAAGATACTGATCTTTTCCTTTCTGTGTCTAATAGGATATTTCTACAAACAAGATGCTGGATGGAAAATGATCTGATTCTATTTCAATAAAATAACCACCCTTTGAGGCAATTTCACCACCCCTGAGCCTCTGTGAGCAGGACATGAGGGGCCAGGGGTTACCAAGAAGAGAGTTGACAATAACGACTGGACTGGGGGAAAGAGGGGGCCATGGTGTCAGTGCCTTCCTCCTTCTGTCCCTCATGGGGCTGTCTTGTGCAGGACTGCCTTCCTGCCCCATGGCGGTGCACTCAGCTATGTCCCTGCAGGCTGGTAGGCCAGGATTCCCTCTGCCCATTAGCTGCAGACAGCCTGGCCCGGGGCTGAAAAGGGGGAGCTGAACCCTGATGGCAAAGAGGGAGTTAGAGTCCAGAGCTCCCTTCCCCACATGAGCCTGGGGAGCTTAGCTCTGATAAGTACATCGTTGCCTTGGCACCATCTGCCCTGGAGGACCAGGAGATGTTTGGAATGCCAGTTGTTGTGTCTGTTAGTTTGTATTTTAAAAGCACATGCCACAAACTGCCTATTCAGAGACCGGATTTGCTATGACTGTGAGATGCTGTGCCTTGATATGCTGACATTCTCCCATGTCATCTCTCTGCCTCTGGGAGCAAATGTCCTCCAGCCCTACAGACACATGCAGGGCCTCGGAAGACGTATCTCTTTACTGCCACTCCGGCCACGCACATGTCTGATAAGAAGCAGTATTATAGTGAATAGCCAGAGTCAATATTAAGTATTGGATAAGAATGAAAGTAGTTTGGGAATAATTATAACCACCTCCCCTACCCCAAAAAATATGCTGTTCAAAAGTCAGTCTGGAGACACAGATAACAACCCTATTTTTATACCAACCCGACTGAATTCTTAATACATGGCAAAAAAGAAGATCATGGCTTAACATAAAGCAGGAGATGTAATAAATAATGAACTGCACTAACAGCTTAGCATCATAAGGAGACAGATGGAAAACTTCTCTCCCGAGATCACTGCTTCCAGAATTAGAGAAAGGGCTTCTGGACGTGTTCAGGGTGGATAGTTCAAGCCTGAATTTCAATGAGATGGGAACACTTTTTAGTATAAACGCAAGATTTTCATGTCTCCCTTTTAGGAAAAATAGGGATTATGGCGTTCATCTGTTTCATCCAGAACTAGAAGCAAAACCCTAAACCTCAGACTCTTCCAGCATGTCTGATCCAATCAAACAAGGGAAGATGCTGCGGGTGCTTTGTATGCTAAGGAAGTGCTACGATGCCATCGTCTGTCCAGGAAAAGAAAGGAACACCCATCCATGTGGTTAAGCCATCAGAAAACTGGAGCATTGGGAATAAAGGAATTATTTCCACGAGACAAGCACGCCAGCCATTGGCTCATAATGAGCTGAAAGACCAATGACTGCTTCTCAGAGACTCCCTAGGGCCCAGTGTCCTGGGGGCAGACCTGTGGCTGAGTCAGCATGGTGCACAGCAGAAAGTGGGGGGAGAGTGGCCAGCGCTGCCCCGGCGGGCTCTGTCTGCATCACCTGGAGCGGCACAGACCCTTCAGTCTCCATTCTCTCTTCAGGAAAGAGGCCTACTCGCAGATGAACGCACCAAGGCTCAGGTAATCTCAGGAAGCTCATTTACTCACACAGTCCTGGCCCATCGGGCTCTCTGGAGGCCCTTCTTCCTTGGCTGTCACCTATTTCTAAACTGATATGTAATAGTTGTACATATTTATGGACTATATGTAATATTTTGATACATGCATGCAATGCGTATTAAGTCAGGGTAATTGGGATATCCAAGACCTCAAACATGTATCACTTCTTTGTGTCGGGAACATTCCAAATCTTCTCTTCTAGCTATTTTGAAATATACAATATGTCATTGTTAACTGTAGTCACCCTACTGTGCTATCGAACCCTAGAACATATTCCTTCTATCTAACTGTATGTTTGTATTCATTAACCAACCTCTCTTCATCCCCTTCTACCCTCTACCCTTCCAGCCCCTAATAACTATCATTCTACTCTCTACCTCCATGAGGTCAACTTTTTCTAGCTTGCACATATGAGTGACAACATGCTATATTTGTCTTTCTGTGCCTGGCTTATTTCAATTACCATAATTACCTTCAGTTCCATCTATGCCGCTGCAAATGACAGGATTTCATTCTTTTTTTTGTGGCTGAATAGTACTCCACTGTATATACATACTGCATTTCCTTTATTCATTCAACTATTGATGAACACAGGTTGATTCCATATCTTGGCTATTGTGAGCAGTGTTACAAAGAACGTGGAAGTGCAGGTATCTCTTCAACATACTGATTGCCTTTTCTTTGGATATCTACCCAGCAGAGGGATTACTGAATCATATGGTAGTTCTATTTTTAGGTTTCTGAGGAACCTTTATACTGTTATCCACAGTGGGTGCGCAAATGTTCATTCCATCCATCAACAGTGCGCAAACATTGCCCGTTCTTCACATCTTCACCAGCATCTGTTATTTTTTTGTCTTTTGATAGCAGCCATTTTAATGGAGGTGAGATGATATCTCATTGTGGTTTTGATTTGCATTTCCCTAATGATTAGTGATGTTGAGCATTTTTTCATATGCCTGTTGGCCACTTGTATATCTTCTTTTGAGGAATGTCTTTTCAGGTCATTTGCTCATTTTAAAATCTGATTATTTTTATTATTTTTTTGCTATTGAGTTGTTTCAGTTCCTTACATATTCTGGTGATTAACCCCTTGTAGGATGGGTAATTTGCAAATATTTTCTCCCATTCCGTGAGTTGTTGCTTCACTCTCTTGACTGCTTCCTTTGCTGTGCAGAAGATTTTTAGCTTGATGTTACCCCCTTTGTCTATCGTTGCTTTTGTTGCCTATGCTTTTGCAATCTTACTCAAAAAATCTTTGCTCAGACCAAGTCTTCAAGAGCAAAATTTGCATAATATCTGATTAGGGTCTGGGGACCATTCAGAGCAAGTCCCCTGGGGCACCTGAGCCAATACGTGATCTAAACCTTCACCACAATCATGAGCCATCACATCAAATAGACCATTTCTTCCAAAACCCAACTGACTTTTTACAGGAATTGTGCATTTAAAAATGTTGAAGTCATGCTTCCTTCTCTTGGGGACACTGCAAATAATGGGGTGCTCTAGTTTCACTAAAGTGCCTCAGATGAACTTTCCAACCCACAACCCTTAAACACAAATGAGTAGTAGCATGGACAGTCAAGTGCAAGCTCAAGTTCAAAATGCCAAAACACAGGATATCAGGCATAAGATTAATTTACCTCTTACTTGCAAGAAAAGGTAGGAAATGATAAAATCAAAGGTACATGTTTTCAAAACCAAAAGAAACAACAATACATACAAAATGTTAACAAAGAGATGATGATTGTGTCAGTTATTCCCAAGGTCAGGCTGGGGGAGAGTGTAGTTGGGAAGACATCAAAAATCAGAAATTGTGGATGCCTCAGTGTCTACTCCTTCCAACACAGTGGAATATAGACTGGTCTGAGAATGTGATGGTGTTCAGGACAATGGGTTTTCATGAGATTGGGGCAGAGCTTTTCTTTTTTCTTTTCTTTTCTTTTCTTTTGAGACGGAGTCTCACTCTGTTGCCCAGGCTGGAGTGCAATGGCACAACCTTGGCTCACTGCAACCTCCGCCTCCTGGGTTCAAGTGATTCTCATGCCTCAGCTTTCCAAGTAGCTGGGATTACAGGTGCCCACCACTATGCCCAGCTAACTTTTGTATTTTTAGTAGAGACAGGGTTTCACCATGCTGTCTAGGCTGGTCTTAAACTCCTGACCTCAGGCAATCTGCCTGCCTCAGCCTCCCAAAGTTCTGTGATTACAGGAGTGAGCTTGTTACTTAGAAAAATTTCAAACTCATAGAAAAACTACAGTAATTACTCCTATATATCCTTTATGTGGATTCACAAAATGTTCACATTTTGCCACATAGGCTCTCTCTCTCTCTCTGTGAACATATATAGTTTTATGTTATTTTATTTATTTTTTGCTGAGCCTTTTCAAAGTTGTCGTTATGATGATTCCCTACATACTTCAGGATGCATTTTCCATAAGTGAGGACATTCTGTTACAGAACACATTCACTCTCATTTTCCATTACTGCATTAAAGATTACCACAAACCTAACAGCTCAAGACAACACTCATTTATTATCCCTTAGTTTCAGTGGGATTATCCCGTAGCCTGGGTATGGCTTAGCTGGGTTCTTTGTATAGGGTTGCACAAGGCTGTAATCAAGGGTGGGTCAGGGTTAGGGTCTCATCTGAGGCTTGCCAGGGGAAGAATCTGCCTGTCTTGGCAGAGTTCAGTCCTTGCAGCTGTAGGACTGAGGGCTTCAGCTCCTTGTGGTATCTCTGCTGGAAGCTGCTTTCAGCTCCTAGAGGACACCCTCAGTGCCTCCCATCACAGATAACCCACAGCATGGAAGCTTGACTCTTCAAAACCAGCAAGAAAGTGAGAGACGCCAGCAGGAAGCGGCTACAATGTTACGTAACACAATCATGTAATGATGTGCACATAACTGCAGACCTCTAGTCACTTTTGCCATAATCTATTGGTTAGAAGAAAGTCATAGGTCTTGCCCCTTCTCAAGGGAAGGGTGTCACACAAGTCAAGAACACCAGATGGGCTAGGTGCAGTGGCTCATGCCTGTAATCCCAGCACTTTGGAAGGCCAAGGCTGGCAGATCACTTGAGGTCAGGAGTCTGAGACCAGCCTGGCAAACATGATGAAACCCCATCTATACTAAAAATACAAAAGTTAGCCGGGCGTGATGGTGGGTGCCTGTAATCCCAGCTACTTGGGAGGCTTGAGCCTGGGAGACGGAAGTTGCAGTGAGCCGACATTGCACCTCTGCACTCCAGGCTGGGTGACACAGCGAGATTCCATCTCAAAAAAGAACACCAGGTGGTGGGATCATGAGGACCACCTTAAGTATCTGCCATAGCATTATACAATGACCAAATTCAGGAATTCATGTTGATATTGTCCTTCTCAATGTATTAGTGCCTGATGTCAGCTTGTCCCATTGTTGGTGATATTAATTCTGATTATTTGGTGAAGGTTTCTTATCTGTTAAATTTACCAATTTTCCTTTTGTATTTATTGCCATAGCCTTCATCAAAGTTTCACCCCACCATTTTAGCAAAATTGCTGATTATTTGCCTGATTCAATTATTACCATGATGATTGCAAAATGCTGATAAAAAAAAAACTCCATCATTCTTTTTTAACTCCATTATTCAACATGTATTAGTTGGTGATTGACTGTAAGAAAGAGCTTTCCCTCTGCTGTATATCTGAGGGTATTTCCCTGTTCAGTAGGTCATCAGGCTGGGCTGCAAGATAGAATATAATGTGCATATGGCCGATGTTAAAAAGTAGATAAGTGTCCCCCGGGGAAGACACCAGACAGGATTTGAGGTCTTTGAGAACAGACAACATGCACACCTGGCTCGAGTGGCCCAGCGATGACTTGCAGCCAGGGGAGAGGCAGCGTGCACACAAGATCTAGCCCCTTGCATTGCGCTGGACCCCATGGCTGGTGGGTCCACACTCCACAGTGTGATCACACACAACCCACTTCATGGACCCCAACTCTTCCCCACGTAGGATCTGAAATGCAAAAAGCTGGGGATGTGTCTGACAGCCATCAGATCACACACTGAAGCAGAACACAGGAGTGCACATGGAATTTGTAACAGGGAACGATATCCCCTCCCAGGTGATAAGCCCAGCACAGGCTATGCAGGCTCTTTATCTTCCCATAAGAAAATGTTCCAGGCCCAAGGCCCATCTTCCACAGCTGAGAGTGATGCACAGACCACACGTGACTGCTTTCCCAGTGGTGGCTATGTATTTATGCAGGCATGGACTTGAGGAATCTTATTATTTTAATGGCTTAAAATATATTACTGGCAGGACTTGTTTAGATGCTCTAAATTGTCCCATGTTTGGTCAGTGGGAGCCCTTTCAAGCTGGCTTCTGTCTCCTGAGTCCTTTGAACATGTCCCCAGCATTCTTTGAGTACTTCCTTACTTTCTGGCATTACAAGATGATCCAGGTCAATCTTGTTCTTTCCTGTCCCAGTCCTGGAATCAGCCATTTCTCTAAGCAGCCCAGATTTCTTGTGTATGGAAATGGCATTTAGAGACCAAGATCAGTGTGCACGGGAGAGTTTCAAACAAAGACATGGGTGATAGAATTGGGAGAGGACACTGCCGTGGGTGGGACATTGGATGCCAGCTGTACTGTAGATTCTTGAGAGGCTGAGAGTTAACTGTCAGCAAAGTTTTCTTGAATGCCCCCAAGTGTTTAGAACCACATTAAACCTTTAATGCGTCCCCTTTTCATGCCTGGTTGATTGATTCATTTATTCGTTGACTGTACTTATTGCTTGATAATAGAGCCAAAGTTAGTTTATTAGATGTAATTTCATGGACTATTGCAATAGGTGCAATAAAGTGCATGAGCAGCTTGGAGGTCATCCAGGCCACACCTCCATTTGGCTAATGAGGCCTCTTGGACCTCAGCAGGGGGAAATGCCATCTCCAGGTCACACACTTGGCCGACAGCAGAGCCAGGTCTGGACACCAGCCCACCCGGCTCACTCTGGCACCTCTCATCAGTACAGCCTATAATGAGATGCCAGAAAGAATCCTCTCCTTTTAAGAGCAGAAAAGGTCCCATAAGCCTCACCATGACTTGTCTACTGTGGCTTAGCATGGGAGCCATGCATTCTGACCAAGCCCACTGCAGCCAGCATTCCTAGCCTGAGGCTCATGGGCTGTCACTAAAATCCAAACTGGAGGCTGCCAGTAGGCAGGCCTTCAGTTAACAGAGTCACCCTCAACCATGGGCTCTCTGGAGTTCTGAGGCCAGCCAATCCACCAGGCTTTCTCCACCACTGACCATCTGCAGGCCCCTAAATTCTAGAGGCTGTGGTGATTCTGGGAGTCTCAAGGTCCCCATTTCCACCCTGAAGTTCTCTGTGTCTATTTCACTGTGAGAGTAAGCAATGGTACTCCTCATTCATTCAAAATAAATAAAATGTTCTAAAAAGCTAGTGTCGCAAGCGTAGCTGTGGTTCACTGAGGCCTTAATCCATGCCTAATCTCTTGCATACTTCCTCTCTGGTCATTGCAACCACCATGCAAGGAAGCTATAATTATCTCCTCATTTTTCAGATGAAAAACCTGGGCCAAAAGAGACAAACAACCTTGTGTAAAGTCAGGGTAAGGGTGTGGAAGTGTGAGTTGGCAGCTGAACCCTGATCCATGGACTCTGAGCAGGTACCTCCCCTCTGCAAGGATGAAAGGACATTTAAGGCCAACAGGCTGAGTGGAGGTGGCTGGACACTGATTATTCTGCTCCCCACCACTGGGGTTGGCCTGCGTTCCCAGGATTGCGGTGGCCCCTTGGCTCTTCCCCTACCCCATCCCATCCCTGGGCTTCTCTCTCTCACTCTCTGCCAGCCCCAGGCGGGCTCCTCGTGGCCCCAGGCTCTCTTCTGCCAGCAGCAACTCCTGCACTGGCTTCCTGCCTCCCTAAAAGGACTTAGTTCCAGCTCTGTTTTTAAATCCCAGAAAATGTTCTGGCAGGGCCAGCCCATAAACGTCCTTCTTTTGGCTGGAGCCACACTAGAGGTTTCCCCTTGCAGTCCTTGGCACGTTGCCTGGGGGCTGCTGTGCAAGGGTGGGCCTTGGCGGTAGAGGTTTTCCTGGCCCCCTTCCTAGGAAGCACTTATGGGACAGTACCTACAGATGGAGACGAACAGTTGGTCAGGGCTCAGACAAGTTTAACTTCCACTGTGGGATCAATATTCAAATAAAAACGTTTTAGTGACTCTGATAGGACTGATACTGGGGTTCCCAGTAGCCATGAAGAGGTTACAGAGTCAGACCTGGACTCCAATGCCAGTCCTACCCGCCACTGGCCATGGGACCTTGGGCACATTATCTAACCTGGCGAGGGGTGAAGTGCGTGTGACCCCCGTCTCAGGGGTTGATCTAGCCTAAAGCTAATGAAGCTTAAGGTTTTTGTATTTGTAATTTTGTATCCTTTGCTTGAGGGAGCACCTCAAATGGTATGAGCTGCAAAGACTTGGAGCTATTTCCACCCATTATCGAAGGCTATTTACCTGTTTTAAGGGACAACTGTTTTTTCTCTCTAAGGAAGAAGTGAAATGGTGACTTTGATAGCTTTGTGACCACAGAACCCAAGGAATAGACCCAGAAGTCTCTGGAAGGGAAACATCACTGTCACATAGCCCTCCAGGCCTTGGTCCAAACTCCTCCCCTTCCCCCACCAGTCTGGGTCTCCTGAGCCATGCACGTGAAAGTGCTTGGAAATGGCCAAGTGCTGTTCAGATGTCGGAGTAAGTAAGTGCTGTTTTCAGGTCACGTTCCTCTAGCGCAGCAGATCCCACCTGGCTACACGCTGGAATAAGCAAGAGACTTCCAGAAACACAAATGCCTGGGCTGTACCCCAGAGAGATTCCATCAGAGTCACAGGGAGCAGGACTCATGTCTTGGCACCTTGTTTAGGTTGCTCAGAGGATGCCACTGTGTGGCCGAGGTTGAGAGCCTCTGCTCTCGAAAGCCATCCTGGGCCTTCCAGATCATGTGCTTCTGCAGTAATAATTCTGGAGTATTTATCTTTGCTGCTCATTTGGTGCTTAGCCTTGTCTCCTTGTCCTGTCATTTGCTGTTTCTCCTTCACTGACTAGGCAGTGAGGACCCTCACAGCCTCTTCCCTGCCATTGCCCCAGCTCTGGGCATTTATTTAATTCTGCCTAAAACTGCGAGCAGGAGGATGTATCTGACTGTTTACTGTGCACTCAGGCATTTCCAGTCCCGCTGGATAGGTGCTTCAGCCCGTCTTATGTGCTAGGAGACTCCGTCTCATCTAAGCCCTACAAGAAACCTGCAAAGGAAGGAGTTTAGTGGCTCTATTTTACAGATGAGGAAGGTGAGGCTCAGAAAGGTCAAGTAGCTTGCCCAGGCCACAGGGCTACCCAGTGCTGGAGCTCTGTGTGCAAAGCCTCATGCCTCTCTCTGCAGCATGCTGCCCTAGCTATGGTCTTGTCGAAGCAAGGACTGACCAGAGAGAAAGTGTGTTTGGGTGCAAAGCTGGAAGCCAGCTCAAATGGTAATTAAGAAAACTGTAAAGCTGAGATTTGAGTTTTTTTGCTGCAGAATTTCATGATATGATTCATGCTCATTTTGTGTGGCCAGGGTTAGCTCTGAATGATTAGGTCAGCTATAAAATGTGGGTGCTTTCCTGAGTTCCTGCCGAAATAAATTAATAATAAAATGACCTATAAATATTTAATAGCCGATTAGAGGTTTTTCTCTTTTTTTGGATGAGTATCAACATCCTTGGATAATTGCACTTGAAAGTTGCAAATAATCTCTGACCCTTGTATTTTTCGATATAACCTATGTAAATTACCTCTCCAGAAAAATCTGTTTGGAGTAACAGACCTTGCAGGAAACGTGAATAGCAAAACCATTCAAACCTGGAGGTCACTTCACTCTGAGAGGTGAGGACAGCGTGCTGGACCAAGAAGAGGTGGCAGTGGGTGCTGATATTCCCTCAAATGACAGTTGCTTCTGTGAAAGATACAGCTCCCCAGTGCCCCCAG